>NC_000007.14:46300848-46603878 GCF_000001405.40 Homo sapiens | reverse complement strand
TACTGTTCTGTAGTCAGACCAGGCGATGCTGCTGTGTGGAAAGGGTGAGGGAGGATGGAGGTGAGGTCAAGGTCAGGAGATAGACTTGTGATTTTTATTTATAGGTCAGAGTTTCTCAATTACATTCTCATACTCAGAGATGGTACAGGCCCATGGGTGATGGGGAGGGGGCCAGCCTTGTGCACAGTGAATCACATAGGACCCCAGTCCTGTTTATAGACACCCAGAACAAACAAGTATTACTCATGACAATCTATCACATGTCATTCTCACAGTAAGTCTGTTGTCCTCTTGGTGTGCCGGTCCTTAGAATGAAACACGAATGTTAGGCCAAGAGACTGTGAGTACTTGAGATGTGAGGAGGGCATTCTTCCAAGAAGCTGGCTTCACAGTGTCCCTGGACCAGCAGCACAACATCACCCGGGAACTGTTAGAAATGCACATTCTCAGCTGGGCCTTTACCTACGGAGTTGTCAACCCTGGATGGGCCCTGCAGTGTGAGTTCTAGCAAGCCCACGGGGGACTCCAGTTCTTGCTCGACTTCGGGAACCTTTGTTGGCCTGGTGTCTCCAGCCTCAGACATCATAAGAATCACACAGAGTGCTTGGAAACAGGCCTGCCAAGGCAGAATCACCTTGCAGAGGCTGCAAATGTGGCTCCTTGACCCCAGATAATCCATTCCATCAGGCAAGAGGCCTTGACCAGGGAATACCTGGGAATTGTCCAGCAAGACATTTCATACTGCGATATCCACACCCCTCCCTGCAGATGCCCATTCAGAAGACAGGCTGGTGTGGACATGCGCAGCACCAAGCAGGACCCCACACAGGCCTTCTCTCTGGTTGGAGGAGGCCATATGCTAGCTGTGTAACCTTGGGGAAGGGGCTTAACCTCTGAAAGCTTGCTTTACTCTTCTGTAAAATAGTCACAATAACAGCAACTCCCTCCAGGGTTTTTATGAGAATGAAATGACTTCATGTGGGACAAATTCCTGGTACTTGCTGAGGATTCATAAACGTGAAACATTATCATCAACATTATAGCATTATATTACATAGCTCTGATTGGTGATCAAATAGGCCACATTTATCAAACCCCTATTACTCCCACTATGGCTGCTCCTGCTACTGTTACTGTGAGCCTTGTTGCTCCTGCTACTACTGTTACTGTTACCTACCAGTGCTACTATTGCTGCTAATACCACCACTGCTACTAGTACTACTAATACTGCCGCTATCACTACTGTAATACTATTGCTATTGCTGCTGCTAATGCTACCACTAATAGTGCTGCTGTTCCTGCTCCTGCTACCACCAGTACTACTAGAACTGCTGCTTCTGCTATTGCCATTCCTGCTCCTACTATTGCTACTGCTAATACTACTGCTACTGCAGCTAATACTGCCACTGCCACCACAACTACTACTAGTGCTATTGCTACTAATGCTGCTACTAATGCTAGCACTAATATCACTGCTACTACTGCCACTGCTACTACAGCTATGGCTGCTGACGCTACCATCACTATCACTATTACTACTACTGCTGCTGCTAATACTGCCATTGTTCCTACTGCTATTACTACTACTGCTGATGCTGCTACTGCTACTATTGCTACTCATAGTATTATTCTTTGCCAATAGCTGGCATGTGTTTTAGTAGAAAGAGGAAATACAACTGTAGAGAGAGATGGAGAGAGATAGGACTATGGAGTCAATTAGACCAGGAAGAAGTGGGGAGGCCTCCCTGCCAAGGAATGCATTTAACCAGGAAACAAGCAGAGGATTTTTGAGGAAGAGATAATAAACAGCACCAACAGGAGCACAAGAATGTGCTTAGAGGGCTCTTTCTCCGGGAAGGTGGTCACCTTTTATTTCCTCTCCTTTCTTCCCCTGGTCCTCACTTCTGGCTTTAGACTCTTACCAACCCACATGGATGAGCCGGGTGAGAGGTTTAGCCTGGCGTGCCATTTGCAGACTAAGCTGTCTGCGTGGATTCTATTTGAGAGTTCATTAATTTTGTGACATGATATTAAGGGTCCTTGTCATCCTAGTGGAGTCCATGGCCCCACTCAGGTTATGCTCTCTGTCTACTTGTGGCGAGAGTTTACCAAATACTAGGTGAAGTACAACAAAGGAAAGCAGGCATCCTTTTATCAAATTTACTGGGCACTACCGTTTGAATTTTAAAGAAATAAACATTTCATATGTATAAGCACCTAATAAAACATGGTATTAAGTTGTATTTTGCCAAATTGATTTACTGAGAAAAATTTAGAATTGATCATGGCAATGTTCGAAAATGTCTCTTTAACTACATGCCCTTTCATTTGGAAATATTTTCACTTTTAAAATCTTTGCTAATTTGGTGTTTAAAAATGAAGAGCAATTGTTACTTTCACTGGTTATTTTGCTTGCTGGAGAAGTTGGCTAGTTTTTCTTATGTTAATTGTTTCTCTTCTATGAAATGTTGATTCCTACGCTGTTCAGATGTGGATGCTTTGAAAGCGTGAGGAATCCAGGCTTGAAGTCAGAAACTTTTGTTTTGTCCCAGTTCCAAGATTTGGGGTCAAAAAAGGCAATATAATGTAACCCTGAATCTATTCCTAGCTCTAAGGATCACCTGAGTGGCATGTGCAGAGATGCTGAATAATTAGAATATCAAATACTTGGTCTAGAACATGAACTAGCTACAGGCCTGCCTTCCAGAAGCCCTTGGAGAAGATCAGTCAATGAGCAGATGAGCTGATTTCAGTGGGCCTGGGGGAACTGATGATGGAGGTCAGGCAAGGGTGGCTAGGGAAGCTCAGGGAGGGCTCACAGTGCTCACTCCTGGACCCTGGAAGGTATGTTTGACGTTTGCTTCTTTGTTCACTCATTGAGCAAGTCATTTATTAAAATAAATACCACAGATTTAGCTTCAGGACAAGATTTCCTTCAAGTTTCATACCTGTCTACTATAAAATCATTTTTCATAAATGTCACAAATTTATCCTCCTGCAGTTAGGTTTCTAAGACAAAAATGCAATGGTTGATGGTGTCTCCTTGACTTTTGATAAAAGTGATTCAAACATTTTTAAATAAAATCTCTGGGGGGTGGATCAGCAATCTTGGGCTTGTCTGTACAGCAGGAAGATGGGTAGGTTCCTCTCCAGCTGGTTTTTTAAGCAAGCAGATCGTAAGCGGATTGGATTTCACAATTGGAAGCATTCTGGAAGAGATATGGTGCATGTTTGTAAGAGTCACCAATCTTTTAGGTCACATGGCTGGCAAAGAAGCAGACACCACTGTTCTCTGTGAGCACATCTGGGAATGAGTTGCTTCACTCCTGGAGCTTCGTGTGTTTTCTTCTCCTTCATAAGAAGCTTTCAACATAACCTTGAGGGGCCAATAGCCGCTCTCCACTTCTCACAGCCCCTTTAGCGTCTGATTTTCCTGCACTGGAATCAGGGCCCCCAGCACATTTCTGGGAAGTGCACAGATCTAGATTCCAGGCCACCACCTGCTCCTCAGCAAGGATCACTTGGCTTCTTTCATTGTCTGTGAAGTCCGTTCCCTCCTATTTCCCAGCTGGGACGAGGATCAGCTCAGGTCTATAAACTGGGCAGCTCTTTTTGGGACATCTCCTTTAATCTCAGAGAAACTGTATGAATGAGGCATTGTTGTCCACATTTTACAGATGAGGAGACCCAGCCACTGAGGCTAGATCATCACCCAGGGTCACAGGGTGACCAACAGGGTACATGCCAGAGGCCGGCTGTCAATTACCCTATCCTGCGACTCCTCCCTACTTCCTTCCTGGTTCACAGCTCCCAGGAAAAGTGATGAGAGAAGCTAGGTAATGGGAAACAGAGATTTTCAGGCCCTCTCCTTTGGAGCTGACTCCCTTCCTACCTCCTTTTTCCTCTCTCTCTCTCTTCCTCCATGCCCAGCTCTTTCTCCTCTCTCTCTCTATCTTTCTCTCTGTATCCCTCTCTCTCTCTCCCTTTCTTTCTCTTTTTGTCTTTGTCTGTCTCTCTTTCTTTCTCTTTCTCTTTTTCTCCATCTTTCTAACCCCCTCTTGCTCTCCTATCTCTCTTCCTCTCTCTTCTCTCTGTATCCATCTTTCCCTCTCGCTCTATGCCTCTCTCTCTCTTCTGCTTCTGTCTCTGTCTCTCTCTCTTCCACTTTCCACCTTACACTCTCCTCCTGAACCCAAAGAACATCTCTGACTTTAGCTGCTATTTCCTCTGCCATTTTAAAGGTGATCTTTGTAGAATCACAGCTGCAGGGTTGTCTTCCTGCCCCCGCGGGGTGGACAGCAGACCAAGACCCCATAGGAGCACAAGGACTCGGTGAACCCGTCTGTCTCTGGGCTTTTGCATTTCTTCGTTCTGAGACTTGTTCTGTTTACTCTTCCCGTTGAGATTCTAGCCACAGTTTGACGGAACCGCAGCAGGAAAGTGGGCAGTGGACCATTGGATTTTCTTGTCTAGAATGTTCTATAACAGCAAGCAGCATTGATGAATTGAGTTTCACATGCCCTATTTTAGATCCTTTCTATGGGAATACTTAACATTAGATGAATGGGGTTTATTATCTTTGTATTACAGGTGAGGAAAAGGCCTTGCTTAGAAAATGACTCAGCCAGACCAAAGGGCCATTTAATGCCTGCCCTTCCTGAGAGAAGGCCAGATTGTATGGGGATCCAGTGTCCCCAAGCCCTCGTGGCCTGGCGCAGAGAATAGAAGGCCCTGCCTAGCTGTGAGGCAAGCACAGCGTTTCCCCGTGGCCTGTTCATTCCTGCTGTACTTTCACACCAGATTTGCTTGTTTTGATGTGTTCTTTGCAAAACTATGTATAGGGACTCTCCACAGACTGTGCTCTTTTAAATGTTTTTAGGGAAAAATTCTCCATATTTCTTTATTTCTTGAATAAGGTAGCTTTTTCACAACTGCCTTTAATTCAACATTTATTTGCTGACACTTGCTTTGCATCACACCTTGTATGTCACCGGACTACTACAAAAAAAGAGCAGGAAGTAGCCCTCTCACCTGCCGGAGCTTGTGGTCTATTCGGAGAGCTGCCAAACTATAGCGTAGCTGTCACACTGAGGGACAAAGGCTGGAGTATGGGAAATGCATATGTGAAGTGCAGTGCCTTGGCCAACCTAACTCCAGCAGAGAGGCTCGGGAAAATTACAGGAGGTCCTCCCTTATCATTGTTGGTGGGTTCTCAGAAAGTGTGACTTCAAGCAAAATGATGTGTAATGAAACGGATCTTACCATAGGCTCATTGATGTAAACAAGGGTTAAGTTCCTATGATGTATTTCTGCTCACAAAAATCACCAAACTTCTAAATAAAGATTAAAATACTTCTAATATTAAATATTAAAATAAATGTGAGTGCTACATACATTTAAGAAAGATCAATAGAAACAAGTCAGATAATTATTGATTCAATTATTACAGTTCAGTGTTGCAGGTGGCTGAGGCATCTCCCATCAGCTAAGAAGACAAGGCAGAAACCAGCCCTGAACAGGACCCCATTCCATTGCAAGGCGCGCGCGTGCACGCACACATACACACACACACACACACACACACACTCATAGTCACTTACTCTGGGAGACCTTAGACATGCCAATTCACCCAATGTGCATAACTCTGGGATGAGGAAAGAAACTGGATTCCTGAAGGAAGCCCACACAGATGTGGGGAGAACATGTAAACCCCACACAGACAGTGACCCAGGACTGGAATCAACTTTTTTTTTCCATCAATATTATAACAAAATGACATTAAACAATACAATGTTATTGAGGAACCTACTGTATATGCGAATTAAACCTGAAGAATAAACTGCAATTAGCCTGGCAAGAATAGTGTTCCACAGGTAGAAAAAAGCTGGCTTGATGGCTGGAGGTGGAGGTAAAAGGAATCTTGGGATATTTGGGGATGGGGAGAAATGTAATATTGAAGAAGCCCAGAGAGAAGTAGGAGCAGGAAGAGCAGAAGGGAAATCGGCAGCACAACACCTCCCTCGAAGGGCTGTCCCTTGTCGCACATGTAGTACCATGCCTGTGGGCAGCACTGAATATGTAATTGCTGGGAACATTCTGTAGGAAACAGACACCAATATCTCTGTCACTCTTGGGTGGACAGGCTTGATGTGGTAGATAAAAACAGAAAGACCAGACTATCTTTTTCCACTTACAGTCGACCTTCATTATTCCTGGATTCAGTATTCAAGATTTACCTACTCGCTAAAATGTATTTGTAACCCTCAGATAAGTATTCCCAGTACTTTTATGGTCATTTGCAGACAGGGCAGAGCAGTGAGAAAGTCTGCATCACCGCTGCTTCTGTTCCAAGCTGAGGTGAAGAAGTGGATTCTCTGCCTTCTTTATTAGCTCATACTGTTAGCACAGGTTCTCTTCAAGGTCTTGTTAGTTTAGTGTCTTTTGCATTTTTGTATTTTTTTTGTTGGTGATTTGTGCTGCTTAACATGGGCCTGAACATAGTGCTCAAGTGCTGCCTGGAGTCTCATCCCACGAGAAAGCTATGATGCTCTGTAGGGAGAAAATACTTGTGTTAGATAAGCTTTCAACTATGAATTATCGAGCTGTCAGCCCTTAGTTCAATTATTATTAATCAATAACAGATATTAAACAAGGTATCTTTAAGCAGAACACACGTAAAACAACATAAAACAAGGTCATGTATTAATCAGATTATTAAAATGTTGTGAGCAGAGCCTTACAGGAACCCAAGCCTTCTTTTCCCTAGGAGCAGCAGGGCGCTATCATCTAATTCAGTGTTTGCAGCAATTTCACAAAATAAAACTACTGTTAATAATGAAAATCAACTGTATCTTACATTTCTATGTTGAAATATTGGTTTCCACATAGTTTGGGGTTCATTCAAAACCCCAAACTTTTAGAACTTTTTAGAATTTTTTTTTATTATTATACTTTAAGTTCTGGGTTACATGTGCAGAAAGTGCAGTTTTGTTCCATTGGTATACATATGCCATGGTGATTTGCTGCACCCCTCAACCAGTCACCTACATTTGGTATTTCTCCTAATGATTAGCCCCCCACCCCACAACAGGCCCCAGTGTGTGATGTTCCCCCCACCGTGTCCATGTGTTCTCATTGTTCAACTCCTACATATGAGTGAAAACATGTGGTGTTCGGTTTTCTGATCTTGTGATAGTTTGCTCAGAATGATGGTTTCCAGCTTTATCCATGTCCCTGCAAAGGACATGAACTCATCCTCTTTTGTGGATGCATAGTATTCCATGGTGTATATGTGCCACATTTTCTTTATCCAATCTATCATAGATGGACATTTGGGTTGGTTCCAAGTCTTTGCTGGGTCAAATGGTATTTCAAGTTCTAGATCCTTGAGGAATCGCCACTGTCATCCACAATGGTTGAATTTATTTACACTCCCAACAACAGTGCAAAAGCATTCCTATTTCTCCACAACCTCTCTAGCATCTGTTGTTTCCTGACTTTTTAATGATTGTTACTCTAACTGGCATGAGGTGGTATCTCATTGTGGTTTTGATTTTCATTTTTCTAATGACCAGTGATGATGAGCATTTTTTCATATGTCTGTTGGCTGCATAAATGTCTTCTTTTGAGAAGTGTCTGTCCATATCCTTTGCCCATTTTTTGATGTGGTTGTTTGCTTTTTTCTTGTAAATTTGTTTAGGTTCTTTGTATATTCTGGATATTAGCCCTTTGTCAGATGGTTAGATTGCAAAAATTTTCTCTTATTCTGTAGGTTGCCTGTTCACTCTGATGATAGTTTCTTTTTCTGTGCAGAAGCTCTTTAGTTTAATTAGATCCCATTTGTCAATTTTGGCTTTTGTTGCCATTGCTTTTGGTGTTTTAGACATGAAGTCTTTGCCCATGCCTATATCCTGAATGGTATTGCACAGGTTTTCTTCTAGGTTTTTTGTGGTCCTAGGTCTTATGTTTAAGTCTTTGATTCATCTTGAGTTGATTTTTGTATAAGATGTAAGGAAGGGGTCCAGTTTTAGCTTTCTGCATATGGCCAGCCAGTTTTCCCAGCATAATTTATTAAATAGGGAATCTTTTCCCCATTGCTTGTGTGTGTCAGGCTTGGCAAAGATCAGATGGTTGTAGATGTGTGGTGTTATTTCTGAGTCCTCCGTTCTGTTCCATTGGTCTATATCTCTGTTTTGGTACCAGTACCATGCTGTTTTGGTTACTGTAGCCTTATAGTATAGTTTGAAGTCAGGTAGTGTTGTGCCTCCAGCTATATTCTTGCCCAGGATTGTCTTGGATATGCAGGCTCTTTTTTGGTTGCATATGAAGTTTAAAGTAGTTTTTTCCAATTCTGTGAAGAAAGTCATTGGTAGCTTGATGGGGATAGCATTGAATCTATAAATTACTTTGGGAAATATGGCCATTTTCATGATATTGATTCTTCCTATCCATGAGCATGGAATGTTTTTTCCATTTGCTTGTGTCCTCTCTTATTTCCTTGAGCAGTGGTTTGTAGTTCTCCTCGAAGAGGTCCTTCACATCCCTTGTAAGTTGGATTCCTAGGTATTTTATTCTCTTTGTAGCAATTGTGAATGGGAGTTCACTCATGATTTGGCTCTCTGTTTGTCTGTTATTTGTTTATAGGAATGCTTGTGATTTTTGTGCATTGATTTTGTATCCTGAGACTTTGCTGAGGTTGCTTATCAGCTTAAGGAGATTTTGGGCTGAGACGATGGGGTTTTCTAAATATACAATCATGTCATTGGCAAACAGAGGCAATTTGACTTCCTCTCTTCCTGTTTGAATACTATTTATTGCTTTCTCTGGGCTGATTGCCCTAGCCAGAACTTAAGTACTATGTTGAGTAGGAGTGGTGAGAGAAGGCATCCTTGTCTGTGACAGCTTTCAAAGGGAATGCTTCCAGTTTTTGCCTATTTAGTATGATATTGGCTGTGGGTTTGTCATAAATAGCTCTTATTATTTTGAGATACATTCCATCTATACCTAGTTTATTGAGAGCTTTTAGCATGAAGGGGTGTTGAATTTTATTGAAAGCCTTTTCTGCATCTATTGAGATAATCATGTGGTTTTTGTCATTGGTTCTGTTTATGTGATGAATTTCATTTATTGATTTGCATATGTTGAACCAGCCTTGCATCGCAGGGATGAAACCGACTTAATTGTGGTGGATAATCTTTTTGATGTGCTGCTGGATTTGGTTTGCCGGTATTTTATTGAGGATTTTCGCATCTATGTTCATCAGGGGTATTGACCTGCAATTTTCTTTTTTTGTTGTGTCTCTGCCGGGTTTTGGTATCAGGATGATGCTGGCCTCATAAAATGAGTTAGGGAGAAGTCCCTCTTTTTCCATTGTTTGGAATAGTGTCAGAAGGAATGGTACCAGCACTTCTTTGTACCTCTGGTAGAATTTGGCTGTGAATCCGTCTGCTCCTGGACTTCTTTTTGGTTGGTAGGCTATTTATTACTGCCTCAATTTCAGAACTTGTTATTGGTTTATTCAGGTTTTTAACGTCTTCCTGGCTTAGACTTGGGAGGGTGTATGTGTCCAGGAATTTCTCTATTTCTTCTAGATTTTCTAGTTTTTTTTTTGCATAGAGGTGTTTATAATATTCTCTGATGGTAGTTTGTATTTCTGTGGGATCAGTGGTGATATCCCCTATATCATTTTTTATTGCATCTATTTGATTCCTCTCTCTTTCTTCTTTTTTAGTCTGGCTAGAGGTCTATTTTGTTAATTTGAAAAAAAAAACAGCTCCTGAATTCATTGATTTTTTTGAAGGGTTTTTCGTGTCTCTATCTCCTTCAGTTCTGCTCTGATCTTAGTTATTTCATGTCTTCTGCTAGCTTTTGAATTTGTTTGCTCTTGCTCCTCTAGTTCTTTTAATTTCGATGTTATGATGTCAATTTTAGATATTTCCTGCTTTCTCTTGTGGGCATTTAGTGCTATAAATTTCCCTCTAAACACTGTTTTAAATGTGTCCCAGAGATTCTGGTACGTTTTGTCTTCATTCTCATTGGTTTCAAAGAACATCTTTATTTCTGCTTTCATTTTGTTGTTTACCCAGTAGTCATTCAGGAGCAAGTTGTTCAGTTTTCATGTAGTTGTGCGGTTTTGAGTGAGTTTCTTAATCCTGAGTTCTAATTTGATTGCACTGTGGTCTGAGAGACTGTTTGTTATGATTTCCACTCTTTTGCATTTGCTGAGGAGTGTTTTATTTCAATTATGTAGTCAATTTTAGAATAAGTGCAATGAGATGCTAAGAAGAATGTATATTTTGTTGATTTGTGGTTGAGAGTTCTGTAGATGTCTATTAGGTCTGCTTGGTCCAGAGCTGAGTTCAAGTCCTGAATATCCTTGTTAATTTTCTGTCTCATTGATCTGTCTAATATTGACAGTGGGGTGTTAATGTCTCCCACTATTATTGTTTGGGAGTCTAAGTCTCTTTGTAGGTCTCTAAGAACTTGCTTTATGAATGTGTGTCCTCCTGTATTGGGTGCATATGTATTTAGGATAGTTAGCTCTTCTTGCTGCATTGATCCCTTTACCGTTATGTAATGCCCTTCTTTGTCTCTTTTGCTCTTTGTTGGTTTAAAGTCTGTTTTATCAGAGAGTAGGATTGCAACTCCTGCTTTTTTTTTTCTTCCCATTTGCTTGGTAAATATTCCTCCATCCCTTTATTTTGAGCCTATGTGTATCTTTGCATGAGAGATTGGCATCCTGAATACAGCACACTGATGGTTCTTGACTCTTTATCCAATTTGCCAGTCTGTGTCTTTTAATTGGGGAATTTAGCCTGTTTACATTTAAGGTTAATAGTGTTATGTGTGAATTTGATCCTGTCATTGTGATGCTAGCTGGTTGTTTTGCCTGTTAGTTAATGCAGTCTCTTCACAGCGTCGATGTTCTTTACAATTTGGTATGTTTTTGCAGTGGCTGGTACTGGCTCTTCCTTTCCATGTTTAGTGCTTCTTGTCTGTAAAGGATTTTATTTCTCCTTCACTTATGATGCTTAATTTGTCTGGATATGAAATTCTGGGTTGAAAATTATTTTCTTTGAGAATGTTGAATATGGGCCCCCACTCTCTTCTGGCTTGTAGGGTTTCTGCAGAGAGATCCGCGTTAGTCTGATGGGCTTCCCTTCGTGGGTAACTAGACCTTTCTCTCTGGCTACCCTTAACGTTTTTTCCTTCATTTCAACCTTGGTGAATCTGACGATTATGTGTCTTGAGGTTGCTCTTCTCAAGGATTATCTTTGTGGTGTTCTCTGTATTTCCTGAATTTGAGTGTTGACCTGTCTTGCTAGGTTAGTGAAGTTCTCCTGGATAATATACTGAAGAGTGTTTTCCAACTTGGTTCCATTCTCCTGTCATTTTCAGGTACACCAATCAAATGTAGATTTGGTCTTTTCATATAGTCCCATATTTATTGAAGGCTTTGTTCGCTTCTTTTTATTCTTTTTTCTCTAATCTTGTCTTCTTCTTTACTTCATTAAGTTGATCTTCAATCACTGATATCCTTTCTTCCACTTGATTAATTCGGCTATTGATACTTGTGTATTCTTCACGAAATTCTTGTACTGTGTTTTTCAGCTCCATCAAGTCACTTACGTTCTTTTCTACCTTGGTTATTCTAGTCACCAATTCGACTAACCTTTTTTCCAAGGTTTTTAGCTTCCTTGCATTGGGTTAGAGTATGCTCCTTTACCTCGGAGGTGTTTGTTATTTCCCACCTTCTGAAGCCTACTTCTGTCAGTTCGCCAAACTCATTCTCTCTCCAGTTTTGTTCCTTTTCTGGTGAGGAGTTGTAATCCTTTGGAGGAGGAGAAGCGTTCTTGTTTTTGGAATTTTCAGCCTTTTTGCACTGCTTTTTCCCCATCTTTGTGGATTTATCAACCTTTGGTCTTTGATGTTGGTGACCTTTGTATGGGGTTTTTGAGTGGACGTGCTAATGCTTTCTGTTTGTTTCTTTTCCTTCTAACAGTCAGGCCCCTCTGCTGCCAGTCTGCTGGAGTTTGCTGGAGGTCCACTCCCGACCCTGTTTGCCAGGGTATCTCCAGTGGAGGCTGCAGAGCAGCAAAGATTGCTGCCTGTTCTTTCCTCTGGAAGCTTCAACCCAGAGAGGCACTTGCCGGATGCCAGCCAGAGCTCTCCTATATGAAGTGTCTGTCGGCCTCTACTGGGAGTTGTCTCCCAGTCAGTCTACACAGGGATCAGGGACCCACTTGAGGAGGCAGTCTGACCCTTAGCAGAGCTTGAACGCTGTGCTGGGAGGTCTGCTGCTCTCTTCAGAGCCATCAGGCAGGGACATTTAAGTCTGCTATAAGCCCCTGACTGGGGCTGCTGCCTTTTTTACAGGGATGCCCTGTCCAGAGAGGAGAAAGCTGGCAGTCTGGCCACAGCAGCCTTGCTGAGCAGCAGTGGGCTCCACCCAGTTCAAACTTCCCAGAGGCTTTGTTTACACTGTGACCATAAAACCTCCTACTCAAGCCTCAGCAATGGCAGATGCCCCTACCCCCACCAAGCTCGAATATCCCAGGTGGATCTCAGATTGTTGCTGTGCTGGCAGCGAGAATTTCAAGCCAGTGGATCTTAGTTTCCTGGGCTCCGTGGGAGTGGGAGCCACCAAGCCAGACCACTTGGCTCCCTGGCTTCAGCACCCCTTTCCAGGGAAGTGAACAGTTCTGTCTCACTGGCATTCCAGGCACCACTGGGGTATGGAAAAAAAAAAAAAAGAGCTCCTGCAGCTGCTAGTTGGATATCTGCCCAATTAGCCACCCAGTTTTGTGCTTGAAACCCAGGGCCCTGGTGGGGTAGGCACCAGAGGGAATCTCCTGGTTTGTGGGTTGCGAATATGCTGGGACAAGCGCAGTACCTGTGCCAGAGTTCTTCAGGCTCAGACCCTCACGGCTTCCCTTGGGTAGGGGAGAAAATTCCCCAACCCCTTGCATTTCCTGGGTGAGGCAATGCCCTGCCCTGCTTTGGCTGGCCCTCCATGGGCTGCACCCACTGTCCAACCAGTCCGAGTGAGATGAACCAGGTACCTCAGTTGGAAATGCAGAAATCACCTGCCTTCTGCGAGGATCTTGCTGGGAGCTGCAGACCTGTGCCTATTTGGCCATC
The DNA here is from genome assembly GCF_000001405.40 of Homo sapiens. NCBI lineage: Eukaryota > Metazoa > Chordata > Mammalia > Primates > Hominidae > Homo > Homo sapiens. The sequence continues at coordinate 46,590,738 of NC_000007.14, read as the reverse complement.
TTGAATCCTTAGAACTTTTTTTAGAACATTTTTTCTTTTTAAGTTCTTTTGGAACTGTCTATACCTTAATGTTTACACTTTTTCATGTCATCATTACCATTTATTTAATATTATATTAGGCAATTTTTTTTCTGATAAATTCAACCTATTTATACCCCCAATATGTTAGAATTCCATTTTCTTATTTCTTTTCTTTATTCTACTAATTTATTTTATTTTCCGAACTCTAATAACATTTGAGTCAATCTGTTTTCTTTCAAATTTTCAACTACATCTTCCTTATTTTCAAAATACAATAGTGAATCATTGTATTCATCAGAATGTGTAAAGTATTGCTGCAAATACAAACAAGTCCCAAATCTCAGTGGGCTGGAATAGTGTATAGAGCACACTAGACAAAAGTAATTGCATCTTAGAAAAGGACTCCATTTTATATTTCCCAGTTGACTTTACCAACAAGCATAAGATGGTTTGTTTAATAAACAACAACAAAAAAATTACTACCTCCAACCAGATAAAAACACAAACAAGCGTACTCTTCCACTATCAGTTCTCACCGGAGGAGTCTTTGGCTATAAAAGAACAAGCTGTCAGCAGCTCTAAACATTCCCCCCAACTGATAAATGTCCCTCTGTCACCTGTGATAAGAACTTGGCATCTGTCACTGAAGGCTGTGCCACCTCAAAGACTCTTCCTCGCAAGACCCAGGGGCTGGACCATCAGGCCCAGACCAGGACTCCTTTTGTCTTCTTCCTTCCCCCTGGGCTAGTTCGTTAACACTCTCTCCTATCTCTCTTTCTCTTGATGCTAAATGTTACTTTGCTTGTTGTGGAATGCTTAATCCCTAACATTTATATATTGATTCAGCATATTATTATGTATGGTTTGTAATATTGACTAACTTGTGGAGCATCTTGAACCTGTGTGCCCACACTTCTGACTGCTGAGTAAATGAGATGTAACAAGGAGAACTGCTTCCTTGGGAACTCCATGTGGCTCATGGCTTTTGTGATTGAATCACAATCAGTAAAAGCTTGACATTGTGGAAAGACACAAACATGCGTGGACCTGGTTATCTCTAACTTTGCACCACTCATGACAAATGGGAAAGATTTATTTTTTTCTTATGCTACATGTCTATTTCAGCTTAGCTGTGGCTTTTGCTCCATATCATATTGACTCAGAGATGTGAACAGCAAAGCCCCCAGTATTTGGCATGTTGCCGGTTGCTATAGCAGAGAAAAGAGAACGTGGCAAATCACACAAGCACTAGCTTTGAAATATTTCCACTTAGAGGTGATAAATATCATTGTTTCTCACATTTCCCCCATGATAGCAAGACACAGGGGCCCCAGCTTGCCTAACTTCACGGAAGCAAGAGACTACATCCTGATCATGAGTCTGGAAGAGAAATTCCAGCACCAATGACAGCCATAGTCTGTCGTTCCAGCTCATTGTTTGTACACACAAAACACACTCACCCTCTTCCCAAGAAAAACAACCCCAAGATCCCATCCATAAAGCACTATGCATAAATCCCAGGATTTCTGGGAGAAAAGAAAGAATGACATAAGAATTAAAAAGGCAAATTCCTTGCCTCCTCACCGCATGCTCAATTTGTAATGGCAGAACAAGATTGCAGTAACCTCAACACACATGCCCAGTGTACAAAGGGAAGAACGGAAGCCACATAAAGATATCCTGGGATACAGCAATTTGAATTTCCCTTGGACATGTATTTTGAGGGCCTGTTACTTGGGGGGACAGGGAATGTTCCCTTCACAGGCTCTGATTCTTGTTCCTGTGGATACCTTCTTTGTCTACTTTTCTTCATGGCTGTTTGCTCTGCCATCTGGAAGATTCTCCCTTTTACAATCTCCTCAACCCCACTGAATGTGGCCCTTGGGACACATGCCCTTGCTGAAACCTGAGAGTTCTCCTCAGTTCACTTTCTGCCCCTAGGTATGTGGGGCACCCTATGGGTCAGTTTAGGTCTCTAATAACCAATCTTGACAAATTTTGTGATTATTTTGGCAGTACAGTTATCTCAAATACTTAATAGGCACCTTCTCTGTGTGATTTCTATATACCAGTAGCCATATCTACTCCTCTTTTATTTTATTTTAATCCCTTTTTTTGTTTGTTTATTTTTGAGACGGGGTGCTGCTTTGTCACCCAGGCTGGAGTACAGTAGCTCAATCACAGTTCAGTGCAGCTTCGATCTCCTGGACTCAAGGGATCCTCCTGCCTCAGCACCCCCATGTAGCTGAGACCACAGATTCTCACCACCATACCTGGCTGATTTTTTGATTTTTTTTATTAAGACAGCCTCTCAATTTGTTGCCCAGGCTGATCTCCTAGGTTCAAGTGATCCTCCAGCCCCAGCCTCCTAAAGTGCTGAGATTACAGGTGTTCACCACCATGCCTGGCTCATCCCCGTTTTTCAGACATAGCTCTCAGAGTTACCAAGTGTCTTTGCTATTTTTCCAACCACTCTGTCTTTCGATTTGATTACTGTCTCATGTAGCTTGAGCTTATTAGGTTTAGTAGAAAAGCTATACATTTAGACACTTTTCTCTGAGCTGCTGGATGAAATTGAAAGAATTTATTGGATGCTACATTTTAATTATTATTTTTTTTAATTAGATGGAGTCTGGCACTGTTGCCAGGCTGGAGTGCAGTATCATGGTTTGGCTCACTGCAACCTCTGCCTCCGGATTCTAGCAATTCTCCTGCCTCAGCCTCCCGAGTAGCTGGGATTACAGGTGTGTGCCACCATGCCTGGCTAATTTTTGTGTTTTTGGTAGAGATGGGGTTTCACCATGTTGTCCAGACTAGTCTCGAACTCCTAACTTCAGGTGATCCACTGGCCTCAGCCTCCCAAAGTGCTGGGATTACAGGCATGAGCCACCACACCTGGCCCTTGATTAAATTTTTACTCTGAGACATTTGTTCAGAGGTATTTTTAACTGGGTTTAACAGACATAGCTTTTATTTAATGCGTGCTACAAAGCTAAGATTTAAATACTATTTTTATGTGAATATTTTAAAATATCACTGGTAATGTTCAAGGTGAGACGTTATTCTTTTTATAACACTACAGGCCCCTAAATGTGTGGACTCTTTCTATTTCCTTTCATTCTTGTTTGCAAAATATTCAGTTCTTTGCTGAACTCCTTCCTTTCCTTTCAGTATGCTTTGCCAAATACAGCAGCAACCCACTAATACTCTGTTTTCCAATACTCTCCACCTCGCAAGTTACCAGAGATGGAAAGTTTATGAGATATTTCACTACAGTTACTGGATCACCAAATTCCAGCCTTGGTCAACCATTTAATTTCTACCTATTATGCAACAATGTGTCCATACATTTTGAGTTTGTATTATGCCAAACTTTAGGTATAGTTATGATTGAATTATGTCCACCCAAAATTCATATGTTAAAGGCCTAACCCACAGTGCCTTAAAATGCACTAGGAGTTAGATTCTATTTAAAAATAGAATCATTGCGAGCTTAATTAGTGAAATAAAGATGATGCCATACTGATCCCTAATCTGATATGACTGGTGTTCTTATTAAAAGGTGATATTTGGACATAGACAGGCACGCAGGGAAAATTCCATATGAAAATGAAGGCAGGTTGAATCATACAGTAGATGTCTAGGAAAGTCAAAGATTTCCAGCAATCCACAGAACCTACGGAGGAGTCCTGGAACAGATTATCTCTCACTACCTTCGGATGGAACCAACCCTGCTAACATCTTGTCTTGTACTTCTACCCTTCACAACTGTGAAAGAATAAAATTTCTGCTGTGTAAACTGCCCGGTTCGTGGAACTTTGTTATGCTAGTCCTCGAAACTAAGACAGGTACCGTTTTCTTTGAGTTAGTATAGACTAGACTATATTGATGCTGGAGTCATTAACACCTCCAGTATCTCTTAGTGGGTTAAAACAATACAGTGTTTTTCTCACTCTTATTACATGTCAATCACAGGCAGTTGGGTGCTCTGCTTCATGACTTCTTGACTCAGAGACACAGGCAGCCAAGTCCTCAACAGCTGGAGCATTTCTCTGAACCAGCTCTGAAAGTTTTCTGCCCAGGAGTGGGATGCACATTCCTTCTGCTTACATTTAACTGGCCAGAGCATGTCACATGCTATGCTTGAACGGGTAGGAAGAGAATGAATGTGTTGGTCAATATCACTAAAGACTTCTAAAAAAAACCTGTATTTCTGTCCATCTGCCTTCTTGACTCCAACTACAGATGCACCAGATGAGTAAGAAGTACTCTGCAGAATTTTTTTTTCATTGAAATTATTTTGAAAACTGTGCAAGTCTGATTCTTGGCTAATTGCATTCCAGTACATATGCCTTTAATTCAATTGGCACACATATCCCGCAGTACCATTATGTGTCAAGGACTACAGTGTGTATTGTCACTTTACAGTCAAACAAGTGCAAATGTCTATCCCAATTTTTGTAGAGGGGAAAACTTAGATTCAGAAAACTTCAATAACTCATCGAAGTTTAGAGTTCTGAATTCAAGTTCAGGTATTTAGCCTTTTAATCTCATCCTCTTTAAATTCTTTTTTTTAAGTTTTATTTTAAGTTTAGGCACATAAGTGCAGGTTTGTTACATAGGTAAGTTTGTGTCATGGGTATTTGCTGTACAGATTATTTCATCACTCAAGTATTAAGCCTAGTATCCTGTAGTTATTTTTCCTGATCCTCTCCCTCCTCCCACCTTCCACCCTACAAAAGGCCCCAGTGTGTGCTGTTCCCCTCTATATGTCCATGTGTTCTCATTATTTAGCTCCCACTTATAAGTGAAAACATACAGTATTTGGTTTTCTGTTCCTGCATTAGTTTGCGAAGGATAACGCCCTTTGGCTCCATCCATGTCCCTGCAAAGGATACGATGTCATTCTTTTTTTATGGCTGCATAGTATTCTATTGTGCATATGCACAACATTTTCTTTATCCAATCTACCATTGATGGGCATTTAGGTTGATCTATGTCTCTACTAGTGTGAATGGTGCTGCAATGAACATATGTGTGCATGTGTCTTTATAACAGAATGATTTATATTCCTTTGGGTATATACCCAGTAATGGAATTGCTGGGTCAAATGGTATGTCTGTATTTAGGCCTTTGAGGAATTGCCATACTGTCTTCCACAATGGCTGAACTAATTTATACTCCCATCAACAGTGTATAAGCATTCCTTTTTCTCCACAACCTCGCCAGCATCTGCTATTTTTTTGACTTTTTAATAATATACATTCTGACTGGTGTTAGACAGTATCTCATTGTGGTTTTGCTCTGCATTTCTCTAATGATCAGTGGTGCTGCTGATGCTCTTTAAATTCTACTCATCAATAGTGAAATACTGTCTCACGTGGTAGGTGACTTAATCATTTTATCAATGGTTTTATATAAGTGTTGGGGTCTTTCCATAAAGTCTATGCTGTTTCACTTATGTTGACAAAGACATCTATATGCTTCTATAATGAAGTTTCCCTGCTGGAAGAATTACACCAATCTTTGAGGAGAAATACATTTTTTCTGGTTACTTTATTTTTGAATTATTTTTTACAGTCCAGGATTTAAACCATCAAAGTATTTATACCATCAAACATACAAATTCAATGTTCATCTTAGAGTGTGCCTGGAAGTTGAATAATTTTAAACCAGGGACCAGGAAAAGAAAAAAAACTCCTTCCATTGAGAAGATTAACTGAATGACAGGTTGTTTTCTACTTTGAAATTTAGGAGACCTGGGAAGTTACTTAAGTGCTTTCTGATTCTTTCAAAATATAATTAAGAAGTTTTTCAACTTTTATCTCTGATCCTAAAATTATGTTCCAATTAGAGGTCCTCAGTCTAGAGATAATGGGCCATTAATTGCCCTGAAATTCATTTTTATAAATATTTACATTGTTAAGGTAACTTTGCAATTATGCTCTAATAAATTATATGTTTGATTAGAGTTCAGGCTGCACAGAGCCAACTTTCTCCTTCACTCACAAGGTTTTAAAGGGACCTCATTATTTCTTCCCATGTGACAATGGCCACAGCGGCTCTCAAGAGTCCTACTGGGTTATGCTGTCCATGTGCTTGAGCTCTTTAGGGATACTTCTGAATCTTAATGTGTACATTGCTTTTGCTATAGTGGAAAAATCCCAACTGTTCTATCAATATCTACAGGACAAAGCAGGGAGATATATGGATTGACAGATCACCAAATGGGCAGAGCTGATCACCTGCCCTCAGGAGGAGTAAGGTCCACTGATCTCTGTAGTACCAAAGAAATGGTGTATTTCCTGGAACATGCAAGAAATTTGCTTAAATGTAAATGAGATAGTGAGATACTGGAGGTAAACATTTTAACTTGAACTACAACATGACATTGAAGGGTTACCAAGTAATGAATGCTGTGACTGAGGATAACTTTGGAGGCCTTCTGGACAAATGTCATTCTACAAGGCCACCTGCATTGACATTAATAATGTCTTGTCTGATTTATTTAATCCCTTCACATCTGTGAAAATTCAATAGCTGAAAGTCATATCGTAAACACATATGTGTTTTGAAACCCTGAGTTACAAAAATTATGTGTGTTTTACTTGTTTATTTTATGAAGCCCAGCATTAATGCTAAGAGACTAGGGGGCTTTGATAAACCCCTGAGACTCAAACCATACATGATGTCATCTATTGGAGGCATTGTGATTGATTTTTCCATTCCAAAATTAGACCCTATAAATGCAAACCATTTCTTCCAGAGTTTAAATAGCAGAGGATACAGAAGAATCACTCATCTAATGTGGCTTTCAAGATGTGTGAACTTTCCAAACCCTTTTGTCTCTGACAGTCATCCTGAATCATGAGGATTTTTATAGGGTGTGACCATGCTGATCTTGGAAAGTTCTGCCTTTTTACCATTTTATGTTTCCACATTTCCTGGTGGAGCAATCACAGCACCAGATGTCATGTTGCCTGATTTTTGTCAACTGCAGTGACTGTTGGAATCAGGCTGTTTGGGTCACATAGCCCAGTTGTATTAGATAATGGATCGCCTCTTACTCTTTAGCTGTGTTGAAGATCACAAAATACCTCACACCTCAGTAAAATACATGTGCCAGGGATAAATGTTTCACTAACTTAAAGTTATGTCTTGTAACCAGTTTTTAAATTAGGTCATAATAACTAAAATTAGATTTAAAAGCCTCTCTGGTCTGGAAATAAGGTTCACATTCCTTGGGTATATATTCTAATCCCATGACAACCTTGTACCTGCTTACTTCTCTGTTCTTATTTCTACTTGTGACAAATAGGCATCCTGCACTTCTTTCATAGTATACCCTTTACATCTTTCTTACTTGGATTGGACCTAGTTTGATTACTTTTGTTACTGTCTACCCTTCTGCCCGGGATCTTTTATTCATTAATTCATTCATGCATGCGTGCATTCACTTAAATTTAATATGCTCTACTATTTGACTTAGTAGTGTGTTCAAAACTTACAATACAGATATAAGTGACATGTGGTCCATTATGCCTAGAAATCTACAATATTGTGAAAGAAATTTGAGTTGAACAGTGAGAACACATGGACACAGGGAGGGGAACAACACACACTGGGGCCAGTTGGGGGGTGGGGGCAAGCGGAGGGAGAGCATTAGGTCAAATAGTTAATGCACGCAGGGCTTAAAACTTAGATGATAAGTTGATAGGTGCAGCAAACCACCATGGCACATGTATACCTATGTAACAAACTTGCACCTTCTGCACTTGTATCCCAGAACTTAAAATTAAAAAAAAAATAATAATAAAAGAAAATTCACACCAAGTAAGCAAGAATTCAACCTCAGAAATAATATGACATATTTCTAAATATCTGATGGAACCAGCACAAATCAATGCCTTTAATTTTATCTTCTCTGGTCATCCAAACTGTGTTACCTCTCTCTAATAATGCCCTGTTCTGTTTATGGTTATTTATTTTGACCTGCGGCCTTTTCCTCCCTGTGATATTAGGACCCTTGATGACAAATCTTTCTATGTCACCTGGCATTTAGTGGATTATAATTAATAAATATCAGTGAAATGAATGAATGAACTCTTGTTGTAGAGTCCCTTAGATTAGCGATTCTCAAACTGGAGTGCCCATGAGAATCACCTGAAAGGCTCGTTAAAATGCAGATGCTGGGCCCAGCTCCAGGGATTCTGATTTGGTATATCTGGGGTGGAGCCTGAGACCTTCTCACAAGTTCTCAGATGATGCTGGGTCTGGGGACCCCACTTTGAGAACAGTTGCCTTGAGATGTCTTCCCAGGAACTCCATCTGTCAAGTCAAACTCCTACGTACTCCAGTCTGTGTGTCTGAGTGGTTTACCCTTATGTTTTCACAACATGACCGAGCCGACACATTGCCATTTCCTGAACTCTGTTGGTCCATTTGGCCTCTGTTTCCTGAGTGCCTGGTTTGTGCACCTCACTAGGCTATGTACCAGGAAACAAAGTGAAGGAGAAGCAGCGCGAGGCTTGAAGCAGCTCAAGAGTCAGTGTGGGAAACAAACATGTTATCATTAATGTCAATGGGAGGCAACAGAGGCAATGATACTGGGATTCACAGGCGATGAGTGCTAACCTTTCTAAGGCTGAATGGGATGTAGACAGATGAGGATAAGAGGAATGAAGACTTGCATAGAAACAAAGACATATCTATATGTTATTAATTAATTCCACAAACTTATACCTGCTCTGTACTTAGTATTTTGCAAGTCACTGAAAAGTTTTTTAAAATATAGGACCTAACTGCTATCCCAAAGGGACACACAAAGCCCAAGGAATGATTTCTATTCCATCTGTGAACGTTGTCATTGACACAGATGCTGAACTCCACACATGGTGAGGTCCTGGAATAGATGCTATCTATCCTGTTGCTGACCTGCTCTGGTCCCATCCTCTGGGTTGGTTTTGGAGTGACATGAGTTTATACATGCCTCTTTTTCTCTCATCTTCACTGTTGTTTCTCCCTGGTGACCTTGCTTGCTTCTCTAGTTGTTGAGGAACACTTTCTGTTCACTAGTAATGCAAACACGCAGCTTCTTATGGTACCTTCCTGAGGACTTGGGATAAACTCCCTCAGGAAAGGGTCAGAAAATGCCCAAATGTATTTAATCAAATAACTTAGGTTAGGGCCTCTTGTTAGAGCTTCCTAGCTGTGCTATTCTGAGAAATTCCTCCAGGGCTTTGAGAATTTCTCCTCACCCTCCCGTGCATCTAAGCTGCTCCCCTGGGAATGGGATGTGGTGTGTACAGATGAAGCCTGCAACGGAAGAGTCCTTCAACATGTTTCTGAGGGTGTATCTAAACTGTCACATAATCTTCCCATTCCTGTACCTCCCCATTCTTTTCCCCTCAACTTAGAGCAAACATGTTATTCTATAAAGGGAAAAATGAGATGGAATCAGAGATATTTCATATTTGCTGGTAAATATGGTAATTTTTCCTTCCATATGTGTCAGCAGGTTTTCAGATTCTGAAATTCATCATGTTGCTTGTCAAAACAAAAACTTATAATCCTTACTACATTCTCAGAACATTTAAAATATTTTCCTATAGCAGCGTGCCCCTCTATATAATGATTTGAGATGGGCACTGCTTTTCCTGGGAGGCATTCTATGTTCCTCTGTTTAGAATCTGCTGCTTGACTTAGTCACATTGGCCTCCTTGTCAGCTTTCATTAACTCTGCTTCCTTCACAGTTACACGCAACATTACACAGACAGTTTACGCTCCATTCATCAACTACTGCCTTCGTGAACTATCTTCATGAACTATCTTGAAGTTTTGCAATAGAAATCTGCCAGAAGGTTTGGTTTGCCTTCTAATTTCCTTCCCGTTAACGTTTACATGTTTTAGAACAATTTCTATCAAGACATTGAGGAATTATACTTCATATGCTTGTGACATTGATTAAATAGGCACATTTATAGTAACCATTTAAATCCATGCGAAGAGGAGCTTCAGCCACTCCAAGGTTAACCCAGAATCACAGACAAAAAAAAGCTTTTAATTTGATTTAATTTTAATCTTCTCTGGAAGAGATCACCGGCATAACAATCACTACAGTATACGCTCGTGGGGCAGTGGTGGGATTCAAGAGAAGGAAGAGTGCTGAATGAAGAAAGCAGGACGTTGAGTTTTGGTCCTGGCTTTTGACTTTGAGAAAAGTCTTCATCACATCTTTGGGGACTATCAAGTTGTGTACTACCCATTTTGGGCCCTTTTCAGCTCAAAAATTATTTGACTCTGTGTCACAGAATTATTATTTGAATTTTAATCAACTGAAAGATAATGCTTTAGGAATACATTTTTTTAAACTTAAAATTCCATCCATAGCAAAATTATGGGAACCACTGGTTCCATTGCTTTAGGAAGCAATGGAATCTCCACCTGTCTGCGTAAGTAAAAAGACAATGTGCACTTTCCTGGAAATAACTTGTGGCGGTATCTCAACAGAGCAGCTAAATTGTCTAGGTCCTTGTAATTTAACTCTAGAATAACTTCGGCTTTGGAGGATTCATGTAGATTTATCTTGCCTTCCATCATTTTAGGAATATATACAAGGAAAATAATGGAGATGAATGAAATTTTTATAAAATATTTATACACATGAGTTTCTGATGGGTTATAAAGCACTTAGGACCAATTATTGTGGAGGCACAGAGTGGGATAAACTGTAAAAGTCCCAGGTCTCCTAACAAACATGTCCACTGAAATTGCTACCCAACTTCTAGTTGCCAGGCCCTGACCATGGTGCTTTGTGAAATCCTGATTTCAGATTTGTCCTCAGACTTTGTTGGCACTTGGTATGTGTCCAGCTTATTTGATGATTAATTTAGATCTATTCCATTTCATAATTTGTATGGTGACAGTGATCTTTGGCATTACACCCTGACAGTCTAGGTTTCTCATACCGAATCTCTGGGAAACAATAGTAAAAATATCTACCATGCATCGATACAACAGTTTCCCTCACAGCAGCCTCTTTGTTTAAGAACTTTGGAAAGTTTGAATCCTATTATCAACCCTGAAAGACAGACATAGTCTACTCTACTTGAGTAAGACGAAAGTACGGCTCAGAAAAATGAGGCTATTTTGCCATTAGATCCTAGTTCTTGAAGTCAACCCAAATTCGTGAGCTTGGACCTTACACCATGAACCCATTTTCTACTTTCACTTAGGTTATACTGCCTTGGCTCTGACAACTCAGTGTCCTGAGACCATGATTCAACAGGTTCTTTATCTGTGACTGTCGTTAAGCTGCAGGTAATGCACTCCTTACCAAGGAATCAACTGTAAAGCCAGAATGTGGTATGGTCACTGCTCACCAGCTAGGTGTGTAGACCTCACCTGGCCACGACTGAATGTTCTATGCATGGTAGAGATGCTTCTCCATAAATATCCTGAAAGATGGGAGTATCCTGAATGGGAGGGGGAGCCACTCGGAGTGGAGCATCTCAGGACATTCTGCACTTTGGATACATCAGAGCTGGGCTTCCAAGAGGATCTCATTTCTTCTTGTTAATTCCATCCATTAGTTCTCCTGCTCCATATGTATTTCCTGAGTGTCTCCCATATGGCAAGTGCCCTCTATACCCTGAGGGGCAGTGTTGCCTCATGGTTAGAAGCACAGACTCTAGGGCTTGGCTGCCTGGGCTTCCATTTCAGCTTCACCTATTCCCAGCTGGTGAATATTAGGCAGGTTACTTCATTTCTGTATGCCAAGATCGCTCTAGTGTTTTTTTTTTTAAATTTTCTTTAATTCTAATGAAGACTAATGGTGTTAATAATATGCGTGTACTTTATGGGATAGTGCTGGGCACACAGCAAGTAATATATGTGTTGACTATTACCACCATCTTATTCACTCTCATAATTTCATCATCCAGCTCTATGCTCATGACTATATATAAAATACCTGGGTTATCCTGGGCTAGATGGCTGCCGTTTTATTGGCCTCTGAACTCATAAACTCAATTTCTATTTGCCGTTTCCATCTGGAGATCAGCAGAAACCAACAGGTATAAAACAAGGCTCACTATTTTCCTCCGAACTGCTTCTCCTGTGTTTCTTACCTCAGTAAAGTAAACCACGTTCAATCACATGGAGCAAGCCAGGAACTCAGGAGTTACCCTTGACACTTCCATTTCCATCCCTTCTAACAATTGTTATCACCGGGTTCTGTAGATTTCATCTCTTGTATTCTCTCAAATGTACAGTTTACCATTCCATATGCCAGTGCTTTGTTCAAATATTAATTTCTCATTTGCATGATTGCATTAATTCTTGAAAAATTCTCATTGCCCAGTCTGTCCTCAGAGGGATCTTTCTAGAATTCAAAGTTGATCATGTCTCCCCACTAATTGAAACTCCACCAGTGTTGGTCAGCGTTGAGTCCAGATGCCTGGATGCAACACACAAGCCATTCATGCGGCCCCCTTGCTCGCTGCTCCAGGTGCATGTCTTGGGACTCACCCCCATGCACTCCAGGTGGCAGTGATGCCAAACAACCTGTAGTCCTCTCAATGCCATATGATTCGGCAGGCCTTCAGCCAATGGCCAAGTCCTACTAGTCCTTCAGTTTTCATCTTGGTCACTGGCTTCCTGTGACCCCTTCCTATGCTATTCCTTATCTGTCTTAGTGAGCTTTCCTCCCACTAGAAACCTGTGCCCACTCCCATCCTCACACCTGGCCACTGCTCCATCTCAGCCACACTTTTTGTGTCTGCCTTTTACGCTGGCCCAGTAGCCCCTGATATTACGTTTTAAAAGACTTCGTATTTGTATGCACCTAAAACATGCAATGACATGTAAAAGACATTTGAACATGTTTGATGAATGGCCAGGTGGATACATAATGAGTACAAGGCAAGCTGGAGAAATGGATGTGTATGGACATACATATATGAGTGGATGGATAGAGCTATGGCAGGATTCAAGCTAGTGACATGAAGAGACCGTAATTTCAGGCTCTCAGAAAGAATGTTATTAAAAGTCACCATTCCCAAACCATGAAAACTATGTCTGGTGGACAATTTATAGCCAGGCTGGAACAAGCTGAGCATGTGTTAAGGACATAGTGATGCAGACATTGAGATTAACTCACATGGGGCCTACAAGGTCACAGGCAAGTTCATGGAGTTGATTTTGTCATCAAAGGAGAGGCATCTAATGTCTCTGTTTAAGGTATTATTTGGATTTTTAAAAGAATATGAACTAAGACAAAGTGAAGCTAGAGCCAACTAAATCAAATCATTAGGCTTCCTTTCAGGGAAGATTGTGTTTTGAGAACAGGACTAAATAGCACCATCTGCAAAATGCTCAGCACTGAAAGGGCCCCCCAGTAAAGCAGAAAAGTCTCTGAGCATGAGCTTTTTATTTCCCTATTTTAACTTGAGATAGCTCATTTCCTGAAATCTGGATGGAATGCTAGCCTCATAATCTCAGCTAGTAAGTTACAGGATATTGAGTCAATTCAGTGATCCCTGAAGCATAATTATTTGGAGTGTGATAAGAACATGCTTGACCTTGAAATCATACTTTGTAATTACCTAATTTCACAAACATGGTCAGAAAGTTGGAGCAGAAATTATAAGGAAGCAGGAGGGGGAAATGAAAGGCATCTATATTAAAGATGGTTATGCCTTGCTTTAGAAAACAATAGAGTTTACATAAATAGAGAGTATTGTGAATTCATCTCTTGGCATAACCATTAGACCAAGGCAAAATAACTTTTTTTTTTTTTTTTGAGATGGAGTCTTGCTGTGTCACCAGGCTGGAGTGCAATGGTGCAATCTCAGCTCACTGCAACCTCTGTCTCCCATGTTCAAGTGATTCTCCTGCCTCAGCCCCCTCAGTAGCTGGGACTACAGGCGCGCACCACCATGCCCAGCTAATTTTTGTATTTTTAGTAGAGACAGGGTTTCACCATGTTGGCCAGGATGGTCTTGATCTCTTGACCTCGTGATCCACCTTCCTTGGCCTCCCAAAGAGCTGGGATTACAGGCGGAAACCACCACGCCCAGCCTCAAAATGACTTTTATATGCAAGGGAGGTCTCTGTATTCTCTTGAATAAAAAATTCAGTTTATGTATCAGAGAGCACTGGCTTGGTGGGGATACTGCTTAGTTGGTGTCTGGAGGAACCTCGTTTTCAATAGTTTTTCCTCCCTTTATTTACCCAGCACTTTTAAGCACAAATGTCACAGTCATAGCCTGACTTGACCAGACTGAGAAGAATCAGAATTTGTTCTTAGTGGTTTGAGGCTGAAGTCTGTGTGTCAGGACCTACATTGCAGGGATGAGGCCTGCAGTCTCCCAGGGCCCCTCTCAGAAAGACCTCACCTTTGGTTCAATGTTTCCACTGTCACCATCTTGCAATTCTTAATAACTTATGACCATGGAGCCCCTAATTTTCATTTTGCACTGGTTCCAACAAATTATGTAGCTGGCCCTACAGACAATATCAGAGAAAAGCCTTGTGACCTTAGGCTTCATTGCCTCACAGGCAAATGGGAAGAATTGACCCTGGGGAAAGTACTCATTTGGAAATCCAATGGAATCATAGAGTTAGATGTGCTTTTATGAAAACCTATCCAGTTCTATGCAACTATCCATATTACTCAGTTACTCATTTATCACTACTAGTTAGTATTCCATGGCCTGTGGCAGAGAGATGATTTTTCTGTCCTAGATTATGAAAATCTCAGGGAAACCTTGCTCAGTTGTTTCTACCCTAGGCTCCTTAAACAGAGCCTGTTTTAAAACAAAGAGATCCTCTGAAAGCTGGCCACAGGACTGTCACCTATCCAAGGTATGCTTTCAGATATGTTCTTCGTCTTCTGCACCTTTCATCTGGAATTCTGGCTCACATGAGCCATCACTATGGCAACTCCATTTTCTTTTCAACATTTATTTTAGGTTCCGGGGGCACATGTGCAGGTTTGTTACATGGGTAGTTGTTGGGCCTTGGTGTACAAATGATTTCATCACCCAGGTAATGATCATAGTATCTGATAGGTAGTTTCTCAACCCTTGCCCTCCTCCCATCCTCCCTCTTCAAGTAAGATCCAGTATCTGTTGTTCCCATCTTTATATCTATGTGTACTCAATGTTTAGCTGCCACTTGTAAGTGGGAATTTGTGCTATTTGGTTCTCTGTTCTTGTGTTAATTCACTTAGGTTAATGGCCTCCAGCTGCATCCATGTTGCTGCAAAGGACATGATTTCATTCTTTTTTATGGCTGTGTAGTATTCCATGGTGTGTATGTACCACGTTCTCTTTATCCAGTCCACCACTGATGGGAATCCAGGTTGATTCCATGTCTTTGCTATTGTGAATAGTGCAGCAATGAACATATGCATGTGTCTTTTTGGTAAAATAATTTATTTTCCTTTGGGTATATACCCAGTAATGCGATTGCTTCGTCAAAGGGTAGTTCTGTTTTAAGTTCTTTGAGAAATCTCCAAACTGCTTTCCACAGTGGTTGAACTAATTTACATTCCCACCAGCAGTGTATAAGTGTTCCCTTTTCTCCACAACCTTGCCAAAATCTGTTATTTAATGATAGACATTCTGACTGGTATGAGATGGTATTTCATTGGGTTGTTGATTTGCTTTTTCTAATGATTAGTGATGTTGAGCGTTTTTCATATCTTTATTAGCCGTATGTGTGTCTTCTTTTGAGAAATACTGTTCATGTCCTATGCCCATTTATTTTTTTATTATTGTACTTTAAGTTTTAATGGGGTTGTTTTTGTCCATACATACTCACAGTTTAGCTTGTTGACTTAAGTTCCTTATAAATTCTAGATATTAGACCTTTGTTGAATGCATAGTTTACAAATATTTTTTCCCATCCTATAGGTTGTCTGTTTACTCTGTTGATAGTTTCTTTTGCTGTGCATAAGCTCTTTAGTTTAATTAGATTCCATTTGTCAGTTTTTGCTTTTGTTGCAATTGCTTTTGGCATCTTTGTAATGAAATCTTTGTCCATGCTTGTGAGCTGACTGGTATTGCCTAGGTTGTCTTCTAACGTTTCTATAGTTTTGGGTTTTACATTTAAGTCTTTAATCCATCTTGAGTTTATTTTTGTATATGGTGGAAGGAAGGGGACCAGTTTCAATTTTCTGCATTTGGCTAGCCAGTTATCCAAGCACCATTTATTGAATAGGGAGTCCTCTCCCCATTGCTCATTATTATTTTGACTTTGTCAAAGATCAGTTGGTTGTAGGTGTTTGGCTTTATTCCTGGGTTCTCTATTCTGTTCCACTGGTCTAGTGTCTGTTTTTTTGTGCAAGTACCATGTTGTTTTAGTTACTGCAGCCTTGTAGTATAATTTGAAGTCAGGTAGTGTGATGCTTACGGCTTTGTTCTTTTTGCTTAAGATTTCTTTGGCTATTTGGTCTCTTTTTGAGTTCTATATGAATTTTGGAATAGTCTTTTTCTAGTTCTGTGAAAAATGGCATTGCTAGTTTGATAGGGATAACATTGAATCTGTACATTGCTTTGGGCAATATGGCCATTTTAACAATATTGATTCTGCCTACATATGAGACTGGAATGTTTTTCTATTTGTTTGTGTCTTCTCTGATTTCCTTGAGCAGTGTTTTGTAATTCTCAGAGAGATTTCTCACCTCTCTGGTTAGCTGTATCCCCACATGCACAGTTTCTCCACCAGGTTCCTTTTCCTCACCTGTGGTGCTGCTGTCTCTCTCTAATCCTTGGGGCTCATCAGGGGTCAGTCCTGAGTGTCCATCTAATCTCACCCTCCCTCCTGTGTCCTCTCACAATTCTTAGCTATCATCCTGAATGGAATGTGTTACATTTATAAGTGTGCCTTCATCTGAACATTGTGTCTGCTTGAAGGTGATCAGCACCACCAGACAGACTATAGATTCCTATTCCCAGGATGACGGGTATGATGGCTCTTTATTTCAATAATTTATTTCAGAATCTGTCACAGGAGTCATTCAGTAAAAATAAACAAACTTGAATAAATGAATGGATTTATTGAAGTGATTAATTCTGTAATCTGCTCTAATTGAAACTACAGAGTACCAGAAAAATCCAAAAACACACAAATATTCTGATATTGACACAGAATTTCAGAGTTAGAAGAGAGTGTAGTGAAAATATTTAAGCACTCATCGGGAAATGGGACTTAAGATCCTTAAGGTGAGCATTTCTGCTCCTGACCAAGATGAATTAACAAGAAGCATATTTATACTCCCACCTGAAACAACTCTCCCTCTCTCTTTCTCTCTCTCACACACACAAATGCACGCGCACGCACACACACACACACACACACACACACACACACAAATGTATGCAACAGTGATATTTAAGACTTTGCACATCAGGCAACACAAGACATTGACTCCTGGGAGAAGGGAACACAGGAGGTGATGCCTGCACTTGCCCCAGACAATTTTCAGGCCATGGGGCATAAGGACAAGCCCAGGTAGAACTCAGAGTCTCTCTGAATGGAAGACAGAACTGGAAGTCCAGGGGATCAGAGAGCTAGGGTTTGCAAAGCAGAACACAGAGAAAAGAGAGAGGCACTGAGAGAAATAATTCCAAGATCAGCATAGGCTTCTCTTAAGCCTTCAGCTAATTACAGACCAGCCTATCCATGCATGTGAGGAAACCGCACAAAGCTGGAGAAAGAACTATGTGAAAGCATTAGAGGAAAACATCCTTGGGACTCACACAGAGAAGAAAATATTCCAATTTCTACCAGCCAGTGTGGAAAGCACCATAATTCACAGGGTATCAAGCACAGCGCTCAGAAACATTCTGCTTCAGAACAGGGAAAACATATTTTTGTTGCTAATGCTGTGGTCTCCCCTAACACAGCAAGACCTGAAAAAAAAGCAAACTGTTTCCAAGCAATTTAGCTGTGTGCCAGAGATAAATGCAAGAATATCTGTAGAAATACAAAAATATCCAGCACATAATAAGGTAAAATTCTTGTGTGGCATCCAGTCAATGATGAGAGAAATACTAAGATAGAGGAAAAAAAATCATCAAAACCAACCCAGGTGTGACACAGATGTTAGAATTCTCAGGAAAGGATGGGAACACAATTACTATGACTGGGTTTCACATTTTCAAGAAGCAAAAAATTGAACACGTTAAGAAGAGACACAACTATATAAAAAGATTCCAATCGAACTTCTTGAGATAAAAAGGATAATATTCAAGATGAAAGATATACCACACAGACGTAAGAGACTAAATACTGCCTTGGTTAATATGAAAACATAGCCATAGAAATAATCCAACGTAGAGAGAAGGAAGACAGGGAAGAAAAGCAATTGTGGTTAATTGAGCTGTGGGACAACATCAGATGGTTAAATAATAGTATAATTGGAGTCCTCAAAGAAGAGGAGGGAGCAAAAAAAATTTGAAAGAATAATGACTAACATTTTCCAAATTCGATGACATCTGCAAACCACAGAAGTAAGTAGCTCAACAAACTCCATGTACAAAACCCCTGAAACCTCATAGAGCAATTGCTTAAAACCAGTGATAAACGGAAAATTACAAAATCATCTGGGCTGGCACAGAGTGAGGGATACAGTGTTAGATACAGAGAAACAAAGATCAGAATGACAGCGGGCTTCTCTCCTCAGAAGTGAACATAGGTCTTTGCTTGTTCGTTTGTTTTGAGACAGGGTCTCACTCTGTCACACCCAGGCTGGAGTGCAGTGGCCCAATCTCCGCTCACTGCAACCTCTGCCTGTCAGGTTCAAGTGATTCTCCTGCTTCAGCCTCCCGAGTAGCTGGGATTACAGGCGCATGCCACCACGCCCAGCTAATTTTTGTATTTTTAGTACAGACGGCGTTTCGCCACGTTGGCCAGGCTGATCTCGAACTCCTGACCTCAGGTGATTCACCCACCTCGGCCTCCCAAAGTGCTGGGATTACAGACGTGAGCCACTGCTTGGCCTGAAGATAGGTCCTATGCATTCCAGCCCCACATTTTCTTTGCAGGAGGATTGAGGCTGGGGGGATATCTTGACAGCTGCCTAGAAGTCATTGGCCACAGAACCAGGCCCAACGCCCAGTTCCTGGGGTCCAGCCCATTTTCTTTGTGCTTGATCACAAGAGGTCAGGTGTCCGTTCCACACTGGGTGATATGAGTGGGGATAAGGGTCTCCAGGAAGCCCTGCACAATTGGGAACAGCCTCCAGACCACTGCCCTCCGGTGTCATACTGCCCCTGTTGTAGCTGAAGAGGGGACTGAATGATGGAGGAGTGTGTGCAGCCAGTTAAATGGTACACTAAATGTCACACAGAAAGACATTCTGTCCTCTTCTCATCCACACAGGGTCATGCCTCTTGCGCTCTTCTCTGCCCACAGGACAATCTTCCCTGCTGTGCCAGTTGCCAGGGACTTGGGTTGCAGGTGTTTCTATATAGCCCTGCTTTCAGAGTGACATTTGCTCAGAGCAAAGGGTGACTGTTTTTTGTTTTCATCCCCCAATCCTGCAACCTGAAGATCCCAGAAGAGTCATAAACATGCATCCCAGCTTTAATAAACTTGTTGCATAATGACTTACATCCAAAGGTCTCAAAACATTTTTTTCCAAATGCACAGTTGTCTTACAAATATATGTAATCATATTGCACTAGTTTATTATTTGTGATCTAAATAGGATTCATTTCCTTGGGATAAAACAAATAATAATTTAGATTATCCAATATTTTTGTTTCAAATGTTTGTTTTCTTGTAAATGGTTACAAGACCTGAGAATTTTCTAGTAGTTTCATCCATTTTGGAAGATAACTAATTAAATTCCTGGGTGACTGAGAAACTCAGATGAATGCATTAATTCCTGTATGATAAATTTTGACTTATTAACTTAAATCCACTTGAACCAGGAAAGAGAGTAAGGGGGAGTTCTTGGCCTTCTAGTATTTTCATTTGCCAGCTATGTTTAGACTTATCTACACTTTATGTACTCAGTTAGGTAAGACACCCCCCATGAAACAGACAGCTTTGAGTCATTCTTTACTCTCTGGGGTCTGACTAGAAGGTGGAGGTGCAGGATCCCACATGAATGCCTCTTCTCTCAAAATTTCCACTCTCACTTTTCAGATCTCTGAACAAACATTTTTAATTTTTTATCTGATGCTGTGCTGGCAGGGTGGCAGGTGGGTGAGGTGCCCTGGTGAGAATGTATGTCACTTGTCACCAGGCTACATGCACGCCCACATCTGCACCTGATGCCAGGGTTAGCCCTGCTGCACCCGCAATGGCTCTCACAGCAAACCCTTCCTGTGAGAAGCCTTGATCCCATTAGGATCAGGAGATCCACAACAGAATGCTTATTGGGGCCATTTCCCAGCAAAAGTGTAGTGGGACAGGCAGGTAAGAAACAGCCAAAAAACAGGTGACTGCAAAGGCAAGAGAGTATGGTGAGTATTACAGTCCTTGGTCCCAGATGCTCTGCAGGGCCCAACTCACTGTTTGCTCCTTTCCAGAAAACTGCTTGATTTATCTTCAAGAAGTCTGACCAAGGCAGGTGGACTGGAATTTAAGAAGAAAAAGAGGTGAAGCACACTCAAAATGACTGAGTTTCTGTTAGAGTCTAAGTGCTTCATACCAGTTATCTCATTCAGACTTACATAATAAATGAAACAGTTCATATAATCTTCATCTGTATGAAAATAAATAGGAAAGCAATTGAGCTTGATGACTGCCTAAAGATGGAGGTGGCAAACGAAAGGTTCTGGAGTTCAACCCCCTCCTCGATCCAGCTTGGAGGCTGGGCTCTCCCCTGTATCAGGGGCTACTCTCGTGTTTTTAGAGTTTCACAGGTAAATCCTTTGCTTCCAGTAAAAATTCAATAGGTAGAAGAGCCAAAGGTTGAGGCATAGGAAGATGACATATCTGTTCCCCAAGATGTCTCCAGGGCAAGTTGGGGTCCCCCAGGTCCACATCCTCATGATGTCTGCATCAGGTCACCATGGATTGAGCAGGCCCCGGCAGTGAGCACAATGCTAGAAACATGAGCACCCACCCCCAGGCTTGGCTGGTGTCTCTGTCCCTGCCACCTGCACTGCCCCTGTGACTCAAACCTGGGTCTGCCTTGCACCTCCATTCTGCTTCTCCTCCTCACCTTGACATCACCCCCTTAAAAGGTTTTGTTGCACTGATAGGGCAGCCGGCAGATGGGCAGCCTGGCTGGTCTCTGAAGAAAGTCTGAACAGACACTGCCTGCCTTGCCCACTGATTGGATTACTCCCCTCACTCCAGAACAAACCTCAAGGCTGAAGTTTGAATCCCTGAGCAGCCTCTGCATTTCTTGTGCAGCCATCCAGAACGTTAGCTTCCTGCCTGCTGCACTGTGTCTGTGGCAGCCCTGGATCGCACTGTGTCCCCCAGCACCACTCCCACAAAATGCTCTGCCTCTGAGTCACAGTCCCTGCCTGTCCTCTTCCATGCAGGTAGCTTCAGAAGCTGTACCCCAGGCAGGATGGCCTGAGCACACTGGGGGCCTACATTGCCTTTCCCTCTCAGGTTCCATCCACAAGAGTGTGATGTGTTCAGTTGCCTTTGTTGGCTCCCTGTGTCCATTGCTGGGGGCAAGGACATGCGGCAGAGACGGAAGATAGAGACAGTCTTGTATGATCATGTTTAGAGCCCTCGTCACAACTTGCTGCTCAAGGCAAGTGGAGAGGCCAGGACAGCACATGCAATGGCAATGAATAAATCCACATGCTCTATAAAATATTGGAAACTCGGGATGACAGCTGAGCTTCCTTGAGCTCAGGGTCAGCCTTTTTCTTCAGCTCCTTCACGTTATGTTCCTGAGCAGAAACAAACAAACGCACTTTGTAGAACGGCATGTGGGGTTAAGGAGGCCTGCATGTCTGTGGTGACAATCAAAATAACTGATAAACTCGGATGGGATGTGTCTATTAAAATAGTGGTAGCTGCCTCTCAGGACTGCCCACTGCCTGCCAAGTTAGGAACATGACCTCACATCCGTACACCAACCCTGTGAAGGGAGGGGCCGGATGCCCATTTTATAGAGACATTGTCATGAACTCCTGGAACTAAGGTCAGACTTGAGGTCTTCCCAGTTTTCAGGACTGTTTAAGCTCTGTACTCTTGGACTGCCTTGGGACCCG
The DNA here is from genome assembly GCF_000001405.40 of Homo sapiens. Lineage (NCBI taxonomy): Eukaryota > Metazoa > Chordata > Mammalia > Primates > Hominidae > Homo > Homo sapiens. The sequence goes on along the minus strand of NC_000007.14, from coordinate 46,568,517 downwards.
CCTGTAACTCTTGTACCTTCATGCCTGCACCTCACCCTGTAATGTAAGCTCTCCAGGTACATGAGCCCCACCTACCTCCCCATACAAACACACCCACATACTCCCCCACCCCAGAGGGTGTTCAAAAGCTCTATCTATCCTTCAGGGTCTGGTATAAATGTACTCTTCCTTATTCTAACCCCAGCACCTTGTTTCTTAAAGTGCAATTCAATGTTTCCCACTTCCAAAAAGCATTTATTTTTATTAGTGAGTTAATATCATCTGAGAAATAATGACTCAAGACTGTCCCTAGAAAAAGTGACCCTAGCTGGCCATCATTTGTCGTGGTATGGAGATGAGTGAGGAGAGAACATGTTGAATTGAGGAGAATACCCCAGAATGCGTCCCTAGACCTAGCTACAGAGTAGGAATGCAATAAACAAAGCCATTGTTGACTGGCTGGCTCAGCCTGTGATAGGCGAGGCTGTTTCAAGGGAGCTGCTGCACCACAGACTGAAGCCTGACCTTGATCCCTACACACCTTCCCACCTAGACCCAGGGGAGCTATCTCCTAGACTGGAGAAAGATGCATACCCCACCGGAGCTATTTCACACTGCTCACAGCTCCGGGCCAGCAAAGATGAAGAAGCGCTATAATCATTGAAACAAGGCCAGTAGCTGTCATTGTCCTATAATAACAGAGCAACACAGTTTTCTTGGCTTCATGGAAGACTGCCTATTAGGAGGTCATCTGAGGGAAGCCAGCCATCCATTATGAGCGCCATATCATATTTCCCCCCCATATTTTGTCTTAATTTTCTAAAGTTTCTTAGAGGAAAAGTGGCTTATGCTAGGCTGATGGTTTCTCTTATCCCAAAATAGTATGGGAGATTCTTTTTAAGGAATCTCATTATCGAGTTTACCTCTTGTTTCCACAGCTCCTTTTCATTCAGTCAGTCCTTCATTTATTTATTTGCCGACGTAAAAGGGCCATCAGCAAAGATCTGTGGGGTGACTCTTTCACACATAATAAACCAATCAGCCTCTTCAATGCAGTAAACATTCTGTAACAGGAATTTTTACATAATCTACGGCTTCCAAGTTTCTCTGGCTTATGGAGTTCCCCGGGGTTGTGGGGATGTAGAGATGGATGATATTTGGTCCCTAAGCCCAATGTGCTTACAGCTCAATGGAGGGGACAACTTATAACATGTGAAAAAAAACAAGGTCAGTTCTAGAGCAGAAATACAGTTAAATCTGTTGGAAGAAGCCACAAAATCTTCATGAAAAAGGTATAAGGTAATCCAGGCCATGAAGGGGATAGGATGTCACAAGTGAAAAGAAGTAGAAGGCATTATCTTTAGTGGTACCAGGAATGGTAGAAGAAGTCATAGTAGTTATAGGGGATGGACAGTTGTATTTAGCGGAAGCACAGAAGATACTTTCATTTCCATGAGATCAGAAACAAATGTTAAATATAGTTATTGATATATATACATAAATGTTCACACGTAGGCACCGAAGACTGTATTCTCTGAAGATATGTGTCTTAAACAAGGGCGTCACTCTTATCAGGCCAGGTGGGGCTCCCATTTGGAAATTACAGTAATATATTATCCATTAACACCAGAAAGAGGTAAGAGGAAACTAAGAAGCACCCCGCAAGGCTGGACCAAATTACAAGGCAGAATTGAAGGGAGACTTATAAACACCTGAACCATCTGTTTCTTAATTTGCAACATTTGGGCAGCTTTTAAAGGCACAATCCAGCATTTAAGTAATCTTCATTGTTCATTTGTTCAGCTCCCGTGTTCCAGACATTACATTTTTTATTAAATGGCAGTTTCTTAGGCTCAATTCAGATGGTAATAATTTGGAAGATCACTGACAAAGTGATGACATCCTAAGTTTTCTTAACTTGAAATCTTTGCTCCCCTCCCTAGGAATTATAGGAAAAGCTGAGTGTGTGCACCGAAGCTTATTTTTCTAAGGAGAGGATGCCAATGTCTCATGAGATAGTCAGAGGATTCTACGATCTCCCCAAAGTCAAGGATTGCTGTCTCTAAACATGTTACAAATGATAAATATAGAGCAGAATGCCTGCCCAGATAGGCCATCTTCTTAAGAAAGGAGGGGAGTGCTTTTATAATGTCAGGACTCCTATTCTTTGAAAAACTGCTTTATGGATATAATAAGTAGAGAATTGAGAATCACAGATACAGTTCACATTGAACAGGACAGGGAGCCTGAACACTCACTCAGGCTTAAGTTCTGAAGCTCATGACTTATGCTAACTTCCTGTAGGATGGTAGGTAATTCACTGATTCTGCTTGTGATTGTTTCCTTCATCTACAAGCCAAATGGCTGAAATACCTGGGCTGTAAATTATGCCCAGCAATTGAATCTCTAAAATATTCTTAAAGAGTATGTTTACGTATTTGGGCTTTATATACATACTTTTAAACTTTTACATGCTGAGGAATTTGCTCACATATTTACGTTTATCTACATGTGTTTTATATTACATGTTTACTCTCCTTGATGTCCTCAGGCCTCCTAGTCAAACACGTAACTGAACTTAAGCTCATTACCTGCTAGACTTTACGTGCAAATTGTGAATAGAGACCTAGCTCAGAATGTACTTAGTTTTTCTCCTGTTGCACAATACTTAGTCATTTTCAAAGGGCTTTATTTAAATTCTATTAATGGACTAGATTAAAATATGTTTCAAGAGGATAAAGAAAATGCATCTACATCTGATAAAATGAAATATACCCAGTGATCTCATAATTCACTTGGGGAAAAAAACACATGATGAGAAAGGAAATGTGATACTCACATGAAATACACCAGGTTACAGAGGCAGTGGCTGCCCTCTCTTTTGTCATTTGCCTAGATGCACTGTGCAAAATGTGTCTTGTCTTGATTAGGCCTAGCAAGGCTGAAATAAATCATTAAATACTGATAAGCAGAGGCTTTGTAAGTGGAAAGAGGTGTATAATTGTCCCATGATCACGCTCAACATTCCTGCCTCATTAGATACCTGAGAAATATGAGGCTTGGCTGACAGGTACTTGAGGGAACTACGCCACCTCACTCCACCCAACTAATCACATTCAGATTCTGAAACTTTCATAGCCACACCCTCTGAAAAAGCCACAACAGCTCCTTGCATGATCTGTTCTCTTCCATACCCAAGACATTTTCAAGTTGTCATATTTGAGCCCTGCTCTGTATAATTCACTATGGCAAAAGCTATTAGAGGCTAAGAGAAGAAACACACATTTATTTCTGCTCTCTTCAAGTTGCTTCCAAGAGATACAGCTGCCTCTTTCTCTCTCGCACCCCCACACCACCATGTACCTATTTATCATAGGTCAAAACAATAAACTAGACAAAAAAGTAAAGGGCAATGGAAGCTCAGAAGATGGAGAATTTGCATGCAGGCAACGGGTTAATGAAATGCATTTAAAATTTGTTTGCTTTTTAGAAGGGTAAGATTGTATATAGATACACATAAGAAAAAAATAAGACATTCCGGGTGAAAGAAGAGGTGGGCAAATATGTGGCTCTTTTAAAGAAAAGGGAAGTTTCTAGGAATCATCTATGGAAATAAAAGTGGTGAAATAGCCCGAGATTTGATTTTTGGAGTAATGCAGGAACGGGTACCTCACATATAGCCAGCAGAAATTCATCATTACACATTTGTTGTCATTCTTATTTTGTTTTTGTTTCCTCATTTGTTGTTAAAGACAATAACATTTAGAGAAGATATTTCTGGTAGCAGAATAGTGCTTGATTGTAATGGCAAGTACAGTGCAGGAAGAGATTTGAGGTCATGGAACTCTGTGGAGACCATTAATGTCATATAGTGGTTAGAGTGTCAGGAAATGAGTGGGGAAGAAAAATAAAATAATATTCATTTTTAAGTTGTCTAATGTATTTCTCTCTCCTGTTGGATTCAATTACAATTTTTTTTTATTATGCTTTAAGTTCTGGGATACAGGGGCAGAACATACAGGTTTTTACATAGGTATACACGTGCCATGGTGGTTTGCTGTAACCATCAACGCATCATCTACATTAGGTATTTCTCCTAACGCTATCCCTCCCCTTGTCCCCCACCCCCTGACAGGCCCCGGTGTGTGATGTTCCCATCCCTGCACCCATGTTTTCGTTGTTCGATTCTCACTTACGAGTGAGATCTTGTGGTGTTTGGTTTTCTGTTCCTGTGTTAGTTTGCTGAGAATGATGGTTTCCAGCTTTATCCATGTCCCTGCAAAGGACATGAACTCATCCTTTTTTATGGCTACATAGTATTCCATGGTGTATATGTCCCACATTTTCTTTATCCACTCTATCATTGATGGACATTTCAGTTGGTTCCAAGTCTTTGCTACTGTGAATAGTGCTGCAAAAAACATACGTGTGCATGTGTCTTTATAGTAGAATGATTTATAATCCTTTGGGTCAGATGGTATTTCCAGTTCTAGATCCTTGAGGAATCGCCACAATGTTTGAACTAATTTACACTCCCATCAACAGTGTAAAAGCATTCCTATTTCTCCACATCCTCTCCAGCATCTGTTGTTTCCTGACTTTTTAATGATCACCAAACTGACATGAGATGGTATCTCATTGTGGTTTTGATTTGCATTTCTCTAATGATCAGTGATGATGAGCTTTTTTTTCATATGTTTGTTGGCCGCATAAATGTCTTATTTTGAGAAGTGTCTGTTCATATCCTTTGTCCACTTTTTGATAGGTTTGTTTTTTTTCTTGTAAATTTGTTTAAGTTCTTTGTAGATTCTGGATATTAGCCCTTTGTCAGATGAATAGATTGCAAAAATTTTCTCCCATTCTGTAGGTTGCCTGTTCACTCTAATGATAGTTTCTTTTGCTGTGCAGAAGCTCTTTAGTTTAATTAGATCCCATATGCCAATTTTGGCTTTTGTTGCCATTGGTTTTTGTGTTATAGTCATGAAGTCTTTGCCCATGCCTATGTCCCGAATGGTATTGCCTAGGTTTTCTTCTAGGGTTTTTATGGTTTTAGGCCTTACTTTTAAGTATTTAATTCATCTTGAGTTAATTTCTGTATAAGTTGTAAGGAAAGGGTCCAATTTCTGTTTTCTGCACATGGGAATCCTTTCCCCATTGCTTGTTTTTGTCAGGTTTGTCAAAGATCAGATGGTTGTAGATGTGTGGCATTATTTCTGAGGCCTCTGTTCTGTTCCATTGGTCTATATATCTGTTTTGGTATCAATACCATGCTGTTTTGGTTACTGTAGCCTTGTAGTATAGTTTGAAGTCAGGTAACGGGATGCCTCCAGCTTTCTTCTTTTTACTTAGGATTGTCTTGGCTATATGGGCTTGTTTTTGGTTCCATATAAAATTTAAAGTAGGTTTTTCTAATTCTGTGAAGAAAGTCAATGGTAGCTTGAAGGGGATAGCATTGAATCTATAAATTACTTTGGGAAATATGGCCATTTTCATGATATTGGTTCTTCCTATCCATGAGCATGGAATGTTTTTCCATTTGTTGTGTCCTCTCTTATTTCCTTGAGCAGTGGTTTGTAGTTCTCCTTGAAGAGGTCCTTCACATCCCTTGTAAGTTGGATTCCTAGGTATATTATTCTCTTTGTAGCAATTGTGAATGGGAGTTCACTCATGATTTGTCTCCCTGTTTGTCTATTATTGGTGTATAGGAATGCTTGTGATTTTTGAACATTGATTTTGTATCCCGAGACTTTGCTGAAGTTGCTTATCAGCTAAAGGAGATTTTGGGCTGAGACGATGGGCTTTTCTAAGTATACAATCATGTCATCTGCAAACAGGTACAATTTGACTTCCTCTCTTCCTATTTGATTACATTTTATTTCTTTCTCTTGCCTAATTGCCCTGGCCAGAACTTCCAGTAGTATATTGAATAGGAGTGGTGAGAGAGGGCATCCTTGTCTTGTGCCAGTTTTCAAAGGGAGTGCTTCCAGCTTTTGCCCATTCAGAATGATATTGGCTGTAGGTTTGTCATAAATAGCTTTTATTATTTTGAGATATGTTCCACCAATACCTAGTTTATTGAGAGTTTTTAGCATGAAGAGGTGTTGGATTTTACCAAAGGCCTTTTCTGCATCTATTGAGATAATCCTGTGGTTTTGGTCATTAGTTCTGTTTATATGATGGATTGTTTATTGAGTTGCTTATGTTGAACCAGCCTTGCATCCCAGTTATGAAGCCAACTTGATTGGGATGGGTAAGCTTTTTGATGTGCTGCTGGATTTGGTTTGCCAGTATTTTATTGAGGATTTTCAAATCAAAGTTCATCAAGGGTATTGGCAAATTTTCTTTTTTTGTTGTGTCTCTGCCAGGTTTTGGTATCAGGATGATGCTGGCCTCATAAAATGAGTTAGGGAGGATTCTCTCTTTTTCTATTGATTGGAATACTTTCAGAAGGAATGGTAGCAGCTCCTCCTTGTACCTCTGGTAGAATTCGGTTGTGAATCTATCTGTTCCTGGGCTTTCTTTGGGTTGCCAGGCTAATAATTACTGCCTTAATTTCAAAAAATGTTAAGGGCAGCCAGAGATAGGTCAGGTTACCTACAAAGGAAAGCCCATTAGACTAACATCAGATCTCTCTGCAGAAATCCTACAAGCCAGAAGAGAGTGGGGGCCATTATTCAACATTCTTGAAGAAAAGAATTTTCAACCCAGAATTTCATATCCAGCCGAACTAAGTTTCATAAGCAAAGGAGAAATAATATCTTTCATAGAGAAGCAAATGCTGAGAGATTTTTTCACCACCAGGCCTGCCTTACTAGAGCTCCTGAAGGAAGCACTAAATATGGAAAGGAAAAACTAGTACCAGCAACTGCAAAAACACACCAAATTGTGAAGACCATGGACACTATGAAGAAACTGCATCAACCAATGGGCAAAATAACCAGTTAGCATCATAATGACAGGATCAAATTCACACATAACATTGTGACCTGGAATTAATGTAGTGGGCTAAATGTAATGTAATGGGCTAAAAAATGTAAATGGGCTAAATGCCCCAATTAAAAGACACAGACTGGCAAATTGGATAAAGAGTCAAGAACCATTGGTGTGCTGTCTTTAGGAAACCCCTCTCATGTGCAAAGACACACATATGCTCAAAATAAAAGGATGGAGGAATATTTACTAAACAAATGGAAAGCAAAAAATTTGCAGGGGTTTCAATCCCAGTCTTTGACAAAAAAAGACTTTAAACCGACAAAGATCAAAAAAGACAAAGAAGAGCATTACATAATGGTAAAGTGGTCAATGCAACAAGAAGAGCTAACTTCCCTAAATATATATGCACCCAATACAGGAGCACACAGATTCATAAAGCAAGTTCTTAGATACCTACAAAGATACTTAGACTCCCACACAACAATAGCTGGAGTCTTTAACACCCCACTGTCAATCTTAGACAGATCAATGGACAGAAAATCAACAAGGATATTTCAGGACTTCAACTCAGCTCTGGACCAAGCAGACCTAACAGACATCTACAGAACTATCCACCCCAAATCAACAGAATATACATTCTTCTCAGCACCACATCACACTTATTCTAAAATTGACCACATAATTGGAAGTAAAACACTCCTTCAGCAAATGCAAAAGAATGGAAATCATAACAAACAGTCTCTCAGACCACAGTACAATCAAATTAGAACTCAGGATTAAGAAACTCACTCAAAACTGCACAACTACATGCAAACTGAACAACCTGCTCCTGAATGAATACTGGGTAAATAATGAAATTAAGGGAGAAATAAATAAGTTATTTGAAACCAATGAGAACAAAGATACAATGTACTAGAATCTCTGGGACACAGCTAAAGCAGTGTTTAGAGGGAAGTTTATAGCACTAAATGCCCACAGGAGAAAGCAGGAAATAACTTTTAGATATTTCGACACCCTAACCCCACAATTAAAACAACTAGAGAAGCAAGAGCAAACAAATTCAAAAGCTAGCAGAAGACAAGAAATAACTAAGATCAGATTAGAACTGAAGGAGATAGAGACGTGAAAAACTCTTCAAAAAAAAATGAATGAATCAGGGAGCTGGTTTTTTGAAAAGATTAACAAAATAGACCACTAGCCAGACTAATAAAGAAGAAAAGAGAGAAGAATCAAATAGACAGAATAAAAACGGATAAAGCAGATATCACCACTGATCCCAAAGAGATACAACCAACCATCAGAGAATACTATAAATACCTCTATGCAAATAAACTAGAAAATCTACAAGAAATGGATACATTCCTGGACCCATACCCCCTCCCAAGACTAAACCAGGAAGAAGGTGAATCCCTCTATTATAATTTTTATATTCTTCTTCCTCCAGGAAGTTTTCTTTGAATTCCAGACCTAACTACCATCTTCCCCTACAATCTCTTACAAACCAACTGTATGCTAACATTGATTCCTCATTGCAGAAAAGAACCAATAATAACAGTGGAGTAATACACAAGAGTGAACATTCTGTTCCATTCTTCCTTTCTCCCCTTTACTTACGGTCTCTTTCTTTTACTAGTATGAGGGGTAGCCAAATAGGATTTGTAAACAGGTCTCCTATTTTAGAAAGAGTGGTTCATTGTTTTTTATTTAGGTTCCAGAAATGGATGGAGCTATTTGATACTGCTAGAATTAATTCCAGGTCACAATTCACATTATGAAAGGAAAGATACACAGTTGGTTAAAACATAGCACATGCCATCTGAAAACACAGAGTATGCAGATAAGTCTGCATGTAAACCTGGAATTAACTGCCTGTTATTTCCAGATAAAACCTGTGAGGCCCTCACTGGCCAGCGTGTTAATGAGACCTTCCCTTCCCTGTGTCCACACCAAATGCTCATCTCATTGAAGATGCCTACTGTGCGCTAATGATTTCCTGCATTGACCTTTAACCCCATATGCCCCAAACTCCTCTAGAAATTTTTTAGAACTGCAATATTGAAGCTCTTTTAGGAAACCCCACACACTGCAGTTTGCTTCCTATGAAAGACTTCCTGTGGATGAGCCGGGGCACTGGCGTGCCCTATAGAGCATCCTCACACAAGGACAAAAACAACTGTGTGCTGAAACTTAGAATAACCTTTCCCCATGAGTCAGAATTGACTTACACAACTTAGACATTCTCCCTGGAACACGATCAAATGTCATCTTTCTCCTCCCGTTTCTCCTCAAGAGCTGGAAGGGTTAGAGGCAGCCTGTTTCTAACAAAAACACTACCATTTAGGGGTTTGGTGGTTAACGTTAAGTCTTGCCTTCAAAAGCTTACAGAACTATGGGGAAGTAAACTCAGAAATTTATAATTAAGTATGGCATCTACTGTAATATGCATTAAACACTATCAGGTTTTCCTTCTTGTAGGTTCCTCCAAACATTATGAAGCTGTCTTGATCACTCTTGCTTGGCTTTGGAGACAGTAACCAGGAAAAAGTATAGCTTCTCTTTATGAACCCTGCAATCCCTCAAAAGATGACCACTCCCCACCCACTCCCCCCCCGCCAACACACACACTTCATTAATTGTCTTGTGACAGGGCAGAGTGACAAATGATGTAATTCTGAAAGAGGCATATTTGTGTGGTGAGACACAGGGATTTCAGGGCAAAAGAGTCTCACGTTGAAGCCCTGGATCTAACACTTACTTTTTCTATAATGTTGGGTTTTATCTCTCTGCACCTCAGCTTTCTCTGTTGTAAAATAGGCATCATAAAAATTGCCTACCTCTTAAGGTGCTGTGTACATCAAATGAGTGAAAACACATGCTTGGGACAGTGCATGGCCTGTAATAAGTCCTACCTAATTGTTAGTGGACATTCTCAGTGGACTAAAGATAACAATCAAAGATGCACAGGGCAACATATGGCTTGCACCAGACTCTTTAGAAGGTCAAAGAAAGAGCATGACCCATGGTATTCAGCCTTTGCATTTGTAGCAATACCACCGGAGTGGAGCCTCTTCCACACACAGCTTCAACTACTTCCTCTAAATTGACAGTGCTATGTCAGGTCCAGATCACTGTCATGGTCTCCTGTCCAAGGCACATACTTTCTCACTTATCAGTGACCCCTGAACACTGGATAGAAACATCAAAAACTGAACCTGTCCCATGGCCCTTTCCTTCTTCTATATTCACAAATACTCCACATTGAGTAAAGGAAGTTTGGTCCTGTTTCAATGAGTGGTCTTTCCATCTGCCCTCATCCCACATGCCAGGAATCTGGATGAGGCTGTCAGACACATCTCCTCACTTTTCACATGCATTAGTCTTCCTAGCTCTGGGCCTAAACTGTCTCATGAATTCACCTCTCTCTAATTCTCCTCTCCCAGCAGAGCCTCAACAGTACCCTAAAGTTGATCTGCAATATCTGTTGTCAAATTTATCCTGTACAAACCAACTACATCCTCACTCTCCTGGCCTGCAGAGAGAACAATAAATGACCCAGTTTCAGTCAATTAGACATGCCTGCCTTGGACTTTTCATCGAGAGAGTGATAAAAAGAAGCTGACCTATGAAGCCCAACTGAGCAGAAACAAAGGGAAGAATATTTTCAGCCCAGACAAAGGTAGCTCACTAACTTATATGTGAAGATTATTCAAGCACATACATTTGGCAGAGCAGTGACCACCGTGTAACTAAGAAAGTCTAGGGAGGTGGGAGTACTGCTCAAGATGTGTCTGGAAGGACAGGCAGAGGCTTCGTTACTAAAAAGCCTGTGTGCCTGCTTAGGTACACACATCGTCTTCAGGAAATTGTTAAATAACTGTGAGCTGGCATTGCCAAGATTTAGCACTTAATCTATAAACACTAAAAGATTTTCACATGCGCAGTTTAAAAAACTCATCCAATGGTGTGTCAGGTGAAACCTTATAAAACTGTAACAGAAACCAGCTGTGTGTGCGGACTCCCAGCACGTCCATGTTCATTTCTGGCTCAGCAGAGTGTGAAGGACGTGGTTTGGGGATAGAAAGCTGCTGGCACAGGACACCTGGGCTCCAACCAGGAAGTAAGAGAACCGAGAAGGGAAAGGCAATCCAGGGGTGGGAATCCAGCCTCCCTGGGTTCAGGCACAGTTCAATCTGAGTTTAAAGTGAATACTTGGGACATTTATTATCTTATCTGAGTAAGTTATCTGCTTCTTAAGAGTGATGAGCTCATTTTTATGGTCTTGCTTTTGACTTTCAGGCTTCCCATGGGAACTTCATAAAGAGCCCATAAATATATGTTTATCTGTGTCTCTAGCATAATCCAGATTTTTGTTGAGCCGGAAGTTACCTTAAAAATTAATTTTTATATGTCTGAATAAATAAAAACATACTGCCACTCCTATAAATAATGTACACATAGAATGGACATATTCTGCACCAGGAATTTAACTGTTAAGGCTGAGATACACACATCCATATTCAATAGACAATTGTATTTGCTATTGTGTAAGCAGAGCAGTAGAAAGTACAAATATAAATGTACTCTCTTCCTTTAAAATATAAATCGGAGTATGATGCTATTAATAGATATAATACAAAATGTCTTGTATGATAGTTGCTTTAATTTCCGAGCATGTGACACTTTCTAATCTTCATTTTAATATTTTTATGCATGTTATTGCATAACAGAATTCAGAGAGAGAATAGTTTCTCTTACCCTACTACTGATTTGTAAGTTTTGAGCCAAAACTTTCATTAAAGATAATATAATAAGAATTATACCCACACATTGTAGCAAGTGCCAATTTCCTGGTTTTGATGTTGCACTGTAGTTATGTAAAATGTAGCCAACAAGAAAACCGGGTGAAGGGGGCACGGGTCCTCCCCACACTATCCTTGCTACTTCCCATAGGAAAAATTCTGTAATTATTTTGAAATAAAATGTTATTTTAAAAAAGCACACTTGCATTTCTGAACTGACCCCATTTAGTTACGGTGTGTTATTCCTTTTATGGATTCCTGATTCTACTAGTTAATTTTTAAAAGCTATTTCTGTGTTAAACTATAAGAGAATATAGTTCCATATTTTTTAATTATTGAGTTCTGTACGGTTTTTAATATCAGATTAATAAGGCCCTCATAAAATAGGTTGCAAAGTGTTCACTCCTCTATTTCATAAGAGTTTTGAGTGGCAGTGGTGTCATTTTTTGCTTAAATATTGGATAAAATTCATCAGAGGGGCCATGTGTCCCTGGAGTGTTTAATTATTGGTGGAAAAGTGTTTGGCCAGGTACTCAATTTCTTTAATGTATCTAAGTCTATTCAGATTTAACTACTTCTTCTTGAATCAGTTTTGGTAATTTGTGTCTTTCAAATAATTTGTTCATTTCACTTAAGTTATTGAATTTGTTGACGTAAAGTTGTGTATAATATTACCTTATTTTAAAGTCAGTAGAATTTATAATTATATCTCCTTTTTCCATCTTAATAGTGTGATTTGTGTCTCTTAAGTCTCCATCATTCTATCAGAATGTAAATTTTATTGTTATTTTCTGTGAAACATCTTTCAACTCTATTTATTTTTCTAATTGTATTATTTTTCCTCTTTTCCTTAAGAGAGAAATCGAAAATAGAGACAGATAAAATAGAGAAATAAATAATAGAAAAACATAATTTCTATGAATTGCTTTCTGTTTTTATATTATTTTTTCCTTCTACTTAATTTGGGGGTATTTGTTCTTTGTAATATTAAGTTAAAAACTTAGACAACTGTAGAGCACGGTGGCCCACGCCTGTAATCCCAGCACTTTGGGAGGCTGAAGCGGGCGGATCACGAGGTCAGATGTTCAAGACCAGACTGACCAACATGGTGAAACCCCATCTCTACTAAAAAAAAAAATACAAAAATTAGCCAGTCATGGTGGCACGCGCCTATAATTCCAGCCACTCAAGAGGCTGAGGCAGGAGAATTGCTTGAACCCGGGAGGCAGAGGTTACAGTGAGCCGAGATTGCGCGATTGCACTCCAGCCTGGGTGACAGAGTGAGACTCCATCTCAAAAAAAAACACAAAAAACAAAAAACAAGCAAACAAACAAACAAACAAAAAGAGTAGACTACTAATTTTATATTGTTTTTCTTTTCTAACATAACTGTTTAAAGCTATACATTTCTTTTAAAAACTGTAAGATGTATACCCCGGTCTTTTTAAAATTATTATTCATTAAAGAATCTATTCTTTTGATAGTGATTTGCTTCTTTGGCCAACATTATTTAATTTCTAATTATTTGAGGATTCTCCAGATATCATTCTATTATTTCTTATTAATTCTGCTGTGATCAGCAAATATCTCTGTATTATTTGAATCTTGTTATATTTATTGTGACTCGTCTCAAAGACTAGAATATTGTCTATTTTAGTAAATGTTTGCAAACATTTGAAAACCATGTATACCCTGCTGTTGCTGAATGCAACAATTAGATAATAGAAATTAGAAATAGAAATCTTAATTAGGTCAAGTTCATTGATAATGTTGTTCAAGGCACCTATATCTTTTCTCATCACCTCCTATTCACCCCATGGGTGAAAAAGAGACACCTCTCTCTAAACAGCATGAGATGGCCAAACACAGCACACTCAGCACCAGACAAGTGAGAAGCATGGCTCATGAGTCACATGTGCTGCCTGCATAAAGAGAGAGTACCACATACCACACAGGGCCACAGGGGTTGTGCTCTGTGAGAGAGGGAACAACCAGGGACCACAGGAGGCCAGGTTTGTAGTAAGAAGAGAGGGGGTGACACCTCATTTCTGTGGGAGAATGTGATCGACTTGTGTGGGCTGGCAGGGAGATGAAACCCAACAGGCTGAGGACCTGATGAATTGCAGGTGATCCAGTTTATAGGAACTGGACAGTTGAGGACCCTTTCCTACTGAGTGGAGGGTTTCTGGTGAGAGCAAGAGAACTCATGGTTAGAATCTGGGGCTTTGTGAGGCTCAAAGATGCTAGGGCACCTTTTTGAATTTTTTTGGTCTTTGCTCTTTTTTTTTTTTTCTCTCAATTAGTCTATCAATTGCTGAGAGAGGAGTTTTGAAATCTCCAATCATAATTTCAGATTTGCCTTTTCCTTTGATCTTCATCAATTTATATTCCATGTATTGTAAATCTTCTTGTTGAGCTTGTACACATTTAGGATTGTTATATCTTCTTTTGTATGCCATTGGCAGAGAGTTAGACACATATTCCAGTGGAACAGAATCGAGGATTAAGAAATAGTCCAACACAAATACATCCAATGGGTTTTTGACATAGGTGCAAAAGCATCTTTTCAGCAGATGGTGATGGGCCAACTGAATATTCCTAGGCAAAAGGAAAAAAAGAAGCCTCAACATTGACTTCATACCTCATGCCAAAATTAATTCAAAATGGATCACAAACTTAAATGTAAAATGTAAAACTACATATAAATTAATTATTGATACATTCGGACATAAATCTGCTGTTGTATTATTTGTTTCCCATTTGTCTTCTCTTTCTCATTCTTCTGTCCCTCTTTTCTCAACTTCCTCTGGGTTATTTGTACATATTTTAGAATTCCAATTTGATTTACTTAGTGTGTGATGAGTATAGTATTTGGAAGAGTTTTCTTAGTGGTTGTTCTAGGGATTTCCGTACACATATGTCATGAGTAGCACCAGGTCAGACATAACCAGGTCCACGCACATTTGTATCTTTCCCTAAGGTAAGATTTTTATTGGTATTATTTCAGTCACAAAAGCCACGAGCTAGAAGGAGTTCACAAGGAGGCAATTCTTCTTAGGACTACCCATTCACTAGGTAGTTAAAGCTGCAGGCACACAGGCTCATGTGATCCACAATCAGTCAACATTGCAAACCATATGTAATAGTATACTTAATAAATATATAAATGCTACAGATTAAACATACCACATCAAACAAAATAACATTTAAAATCAAGAGAAAATGGGATATAATAATGGGGTTAATAAACCGGTCTAAGGAGGGTGACATGGACAAGGAGAGTGTCTCAGCTGATCCAATGGATGTTAACGTCTTGCAGGAAGAGTCTTTGTTTGGGGCAGCACCTTCAGTGGCAGATGCTAGGTGCTGATCATGAGTGACAGCAGGACAGTGTCTTAACATGGCCGTCTCAAGCTGGTGAAGTCCTGCTCTTTTGATGGCCACAGAGCCCTCTGGTGAAGAATGGCAGTCCTCTGGCTATGTCCACCTCTGGTTGGGTGCAATCTCTATGGATTAGGTAAACATCTGGTCCTGTTGGCATGATGCCTTGTGAAATGTAAGGTGGAGTCTTTTTCTAAGATGGAGTCAGTTATGTCAAGAGTTCTCTATACAACATACATAACTTATCACAGTCTAATGGTTTCAAATTTTTATGACCTTGAGTGAAGAAATCTTCCTTCCCTTTAGGTCCTTCATCTCCTTTATAACATAATTGTCTTAAATATTTCCTCTACCTACATTAAGCATCACATCAGGTGGTATTATAATTTTTGCTTCAATCATCAAGTACGATTTGAGAAACTTATGAGAATTAGGAGAGTCTATTATATTCACCCTATTTTACACATTCTAACCTATACGTGTGTTTTTTCCTCTCTGATGTTTTCAAGTAATGCATCATTTGTCTATGGACGCTTGCATGGGTTTTTAATTTGTCTTCAGTTCTCAGACATTTAGTTATGATGTGTCTTTCTTGCATGTTTTATTTTGGTTTATCTTGATAGAGGTTTTCTCACCCTGAGTCTCTCGCCAGGTGTGGGAAGTTTTCAGCCATTATTTCTTTGAATGCCTTGTAGTCTCACTGTCTTTTACTATTCTTCTGAAATGCTCATCAAATAAACTTTAGCATTTAAAAAAAATTGTCCTACAGGTCCCTGAAACTTTGGTTTCTTTCCTCAGTGTATTTTCTCTTTGTCATTCAGATTAGGTAATTTTAACTATCTGTCCTCTAGTTCACCGACTCTATCCTCCGTCATCTCCAGTCTATTATTGAGCTCATTCTGGGAGTTTGTTTTTTAATTTCTGTGATTTTATTTTTCGGTTCTAAAATGGCACTTGTTTTTTATGACCTATTTCTTTGTTGAGATTTCTATTTTTTATTTGTTCCATAAGAACTCATAATTGCTTGTTAAAATATTTTTATTTTGGCCACTTTAAGATCCTTTCAGATAATTTCAACATCTGATTCATCTTTATGCTGGTCTCTTTTCTCATTTATATTGTGATGTCCCTGGTTCTTCAAATGACAAGTAACTTTTAATTATATCCTGACATTTGGCTGCTTCTTTTTCTTCTAATTTTGAAACAACAGATCCTATTTATTCTTTCTCTTTTATTGGGCAATCTGCATGATGAGATGTGGCATGAGGGCTGGGTACATATATGTTCAGTTTCCTTTTGGGCCCTGCCAATGCCATCTCAACACAGTGGGCCCCTCAATGCATATGTGTGGGATGAATGCTCAGGTTCACCCTGGCTCTGCTGATACTTTCCTAGCGGAACTGTAGGAGTGACCCACACTGTCTCTGTTCCTTTGAGTAGGGGTGTGAGATTCACTCTGTCCTGGCCTTTGCTGACACTCAGGGAAAGGAACTAGAAAACTGGACTGCCAGGTGAGTCTACCTCCCACCACCATGTCCACCTTGTTCAATCTGGTGGGAACTGGGACTCAGCTAGTCATTGGCTCCTGCTCACAGTAAGGGAAGGGGGACTACCTCACTTTACATCACCTCATTCTGACTCACTGATGCCAGGTGAGAGTGGAGTTATTATAGTTATTACAGTCATGGCCACGGGTCTGGGAAAATATGGTAGGACCATAAGGAGTTTTAATTAGTACTACTTCTGAAATTTAATTTGTCAGTATGCATCAGTGTTATCTAAATACTTACATATTTTGCTCATTGTGTTTCTCAAAATAGATCTTAATACATAACCCTAAATAGTAATGATGTGATATTCCCAAAGATGGCTATTATAGAATAAATTAAAATGAAAATGGGACCTATATAATCTTACAAACAATTTAAATTAATTAATCTATAAAAGCAAATCTAAAGTCATTAAAATAAAAAATGTACAGTAACATGAAAAATATTCATAATAGAATGTTAATTACAGAAACAAATGCAAAATTGTGGATAAATTACAATTTCTGGCAAATAAAAATATGCATGCTTCTATTTGACTACTTTTGGACTGAAGCCAACAATTTTCCCCAGCTTTATTAAGGTATAATTAGCAACTAAAAATCGTATGTATTTACGGTGTACAACATGATGCATTGACATATCCATTCTAAAATGATTGCTACAATCAAGTGAATTAACACATCCATTATCTTACATATTTATCATTTTTCAAACCAGCAATTTCTTAAAATTCAACCTAATAAGTTAAGGTATTGATTATAAGACATTTAAGTGACTGGCATAAGTAGAAATATCAGTCAAGATAAGACAGGTTAAATACGCTGTGTTCTAACAAACTCCCTGGGGGTTACAAAATGAAAGGTTTATTTCTTGCTCTTTCCACAAGCCCATTGTAGGCTAGGCGAGGATTTCTGCTCCGCATTGGATACACGCAGAGACACAGGGGCAAGGAAGCTTTATTTCTGTACCTCCAAGAGCTTGCAGGAGAAAGAAGATGCCACAAAATGCATTAGCCCTTGATCCTTCAGCCAGGAAGTAAAAATGAACTGCACTTTTCTCTGTACCAAGCTGAACTGAAGCCTCATTCTTTCTACACAAATCATAAAGTAGAATAAAAATGAAGCAAGTATTTTGAAGAAGACCACTTTGCTGATATTTTTCTATAAACATTTTTACTTTCCTACTGATAAGCAGGCTAGGAAACACAGCCTCCGGCTACAGATAATCTCTCTTTTCTCTGTCAAAGATTCTTAAATGATTTTTAAGGAACCTTATTCCAGTTTAACAAAGCATGTCTAAAAAGCAGTTACCAGACCAAACCCATGATTTGATCCTCTCTGAAACAATAATCGGTCAGGGCCTTATAAGTAGCATTGACAATTTCCACTGAAATTCTTCCTGAGCTGCACAAGCTTCTAACACTCTTAAGAAGTGTGGTGTATAAATAATGTCCTCATTCCCAGCAATTCACATTTATTATCCTAAGGTGAAAATATGGTTATTAAACCAATGTGCTTTGTACCTTGTTTAAGCTTGCACCAATTTACTCTGATTATGATGATGAGAAAGTTGAGTCTATGTTAGTATTTTAGATCAGTGGAAAGTTGTTTTTTTTTTTAATTTCAGGGCAAGAAAATATTAACTTAGCTGTTGAGAAATGACATGCTCAAACATTGCCTAATTTGAAGAGTTCAAACTTGTTGAAACTTATTTTATTGTATGCCTTTTGGAACCAAAAGTGAGTTGAATAATGCTTTTGGCAACAACATGAGCAGTAAGGTGGGTACAGTCCTGACCTCTGCTCACTGGAATCTTATATCAGAAGCCTCAGTGTACATCTCGTTTTCTTGAGTCAGCACAATTTGAGGTTTAAGAGAAAATAAAATGTAGCTGCTTCTTTTATTCTTTTTGGAATGTGGGAGATCCTCAGTTTCTATATTCTTGAAGGTTTTGGTGTCACGGAAGGGGACAAAGAAGCAAGAAATAAAGGTTTGCCCAGAAACTCAGATCAACATATGTCTGCATTAGGAGATTGTCTTGGGGTAGTTATCAGTATGACACCAGAGGCAAAGACACTAGAAGCTGTTGGAATTAAAAGGAGAACTTCTCATGAGCAATATCCTAATAATACAAAGAAATGGACAGATATGATAAGTAATTTACAATTGATTAAGCTATCCTAGGAAAGAGGTAGAGTGAAATGATTTTTGTTGATTGTAATTTCTCTGCCAAAACCAGTTACAATTTAGCCATGTTATATTACTTAATCTTCCCAAACATCACGTGATATAAGCATTATTATCCCTCTATACAGTTGAAAGAACTAGGTTAAAGGTCTTAAATAACTTTTCCTAGTTTATACAAGGAAAGTTAATAGATCTGGAATTTGAACATAGGGCTCTCTGACATCAAAGTTTATATTTAATATATAAACAGAGAGATAGACAGATGATAGATACATACATACATACATACACACCTGCATACATACTTTCCTGATGATATATGGCTCATGGATTATAAAGGAAAATGATAAATTAAGAGTGGATCTGACATGTTAGTTTTGTATATGGTGTGAGGTAAGGAGTTTTCTTCCTGATGAATATTCAGCTGAGCCCTGCAATATTTTTCAAGTTAAAATCATGCTTTGTCATATAATGTATTTTCATATAGGTTTCATTACTATTTCTAGATATTTATTTCCATTCTACTTCATATGTCTGGAGATATGTCTATAACATACTCTTTGATTACTCTGTATTTATATTTTAGTGACCATAGGGGGAAGATCATCTATTATTCCTCATATTGTTTCAGTTGTATGTCAGGCTCTTCTTCATAGAGGCTAATATCATTGTATTTCATTTAAAAAATAATACTCAAACTAAAATTGTGAACCTATTTCAATTTATATAAAATTTCATTTATATATTCATTTTGAAATAGAAGTTTCTGAATCTTTTTTTATAAGAGAATACTAGGTCTTTTCATGTATTCATTTCTCAATTATTTTCATCTAACAAGAAATATAAGTTTATATTTTTATTTTTTAGGTATATCTTTTCTGCTAAAAGTATTCCTAAGGATTTTATGGCTTTTGAAAGTTTTGTTGGCTATCAAAATAAGAAATTATAATTCCATGTTTATCTCTGGATGTTGAACTAAGTAATTCTAATAAAAATGTTAAATAATTAAAGCCATAGAAGAGTCAGTACTTATAAAATTATATGCTTCTCATGTGTAGTTTATTATACATCAATTATACCTTAATAACTATATAACAAGAAAAGTTCAAAGTATTTTTATCCTAAATGTGTGTGAAAATATTTCAAACCAAGAAAGAAACTTCAAAACTATTGTTTAAAAAAAATTCACATATTTTACTCTGTAGAATTTAAAATATGACAAATTATGCCAGAGAAAATCAATAACAAATGATGGAGTTTAAAAAATATTTAGACACATAGATACATAGATTGATAAAAGATTAATACAGAGATTGATAAAAGATTAATATGTAAAATATGCAAAGAACATATATGAATTGATTTTTAAAGCAAACAACTAAATAGGGTTATGGACGCAGAATAAAATTAGAAAAATAAAAATACAATAACAGATCTTAATGCCCAATGTATATAAAGGTATGTTATTAGTTACTGATTTTAATTGAATGCAGATTAAAATTATGATGGAATATTATTTTATATTCTTCTGTTTGGCAAAATATTTTTGAAATTATATCTATTGAGTATATAAATTAAAAGCATATTCTCTATTAGCAGAGGAGTGATAGATAGTGACAACCTTTTGGAAACATGATCTATCATACCACAGAAATTAAAGAAATATATTAGTTTTGGCAATCTGTTTCCCAGAATTAAAAGCTCTACTGTATAAATAGTGCTAGATATTATAAATAGATAATTATATAGCTATTATCCATGTGTGCTGGTGTGTGTATATATAGTTTCTATATATATATACACACACTTGTATATGTGTGTGTGTATATATATTATATATGTATATATGTAATCACTAGTGTGGTGGTAAAACTCTGGGAACATATAAATATACATCAGTAGAGAAGTATTTAAATAAACTATGAAACATGTATGCAATTGAATGTCATATGCCAATTAAAAGGAGTTATATATATATATATAAACTGACTTTTGTATATTTAAATAAACTACACATAATAAACTACACAATTTGATAACTTCTGAGACATATGTGTACCCATGAAACCAACAACACATTCTGGATAATGAACATATCTTTTACTACTGAAAATGTCCTCATGTCCCTGTGTAATTTCTCCATCTTGCCCTTCCAAAGCCCCTTCCATCCCCAGGGAACCACTACTTTCTCCTTTTTGTAGATTATTTCCAATTTTTCTGGAATTCTATACAAATAGAATCGTATTTACTTTTTTTGTGTTGCTTCTTTCATCATATTTTGAGATTTATTCATTTGGCTTCTATCAGAGTTCTTTTTATTGCTGAGTAGTATTCCATTGTGTGGACACAACCCAATTTGTTTATCCATTCACTTGATGAACATTTGGTTGCTTTGACTTTTGAACTATTACAAAATTAGCTACTTTGAACATTCCTGTACATGTCTTTGCATGAACATATACTTTCATTTCCTTGGAAAAATACCTACAAATGAGAAGACTATCATATAGTCAGTGGATGTTTAACTTTATAGGAAGCTGTTAAACTGTTTTCCAATGTGATTGTACCAATTTATATTTCCACAGACTGTGGATTAGAGTTTCAGTTCCTCCACATTATTGTCAGCACCCTTGTAGTCATTGTTTCCAATTTTGATCATTCTAGTAAGTATATAATTGTGATTTTTCTTTATATTTCCATAATGACTAATGATATTGAGCATCTCTTTCATGTGCTTATTTGTCATCTATTTAGTACCTTCTTCAGTATCTGTTCTAATTTTTTGTCCATTTTTTAATTGGGTTGTTTGTTACCTTATTACTGGGTTTTAGAGTTCTGAATATATTCTTTGTTTTTAAATAAACACAAGACAATGAAAAAGCTGTATATGAACATATATTCATTTGATGAAGAATATTATGGAAGGATACACATCTTGCTGTTAACATTGTATATCTGGTGATTTGGAGATATTGATGCATGTGATGAGGAATGAGAGAGGGGTAATGCCATAAAAAAGTAAAATACGTCCAAGACAAAAAGAAAGTATTATATGAAGATGGTGATTTAAACATATAAAGATGTGCATGAATAAATGATCACCAAAATGTTTACAGTATTTATTTCAAGATGGTCTAATTTCAAGTGATTTTTATCTCTTTATACTTCGATCAGCCGTATTATCATTTTTAAACCTGTATAATTAAAACACTAATTTTCATTGTTAACTAAACAGAATATCAAGGAAATTAAAAGTCTGAGTCACTGGGAGGATAGTGGTGATTTGAGGGAGAACCATGAATTTGGTTTGGGCCACCTGTATGGCATGAGAAAAGACAAAATCTTTTGTGGACTTCACAAGTGAATATTATTCATATTGTATTTCATTGCTGTAAAGGAGAGCTTGGGTCAAAAGAAAGCTTATAGATAAAATGACCATAGAAGCACTAAATTGTCCCTTAATCTTCCTAATCATGGATGTAGTCATCTATCTTATAACTAAATTTTTAATAAATTGACGACCACTCTGAGGTTTTAAAAGTGTTTCACCTTGGTGAACTTTGGGACTCAGATTTTGGATCTACCACTCTAATCAGATCTTTCATTTGCATAACTGGGATAAATGCTTGCATTCAGATGACTCATCACCAGCCTCTTTAGTGACTCATTTGTTTGATTAGTGAAAAAGCTCAAAAGAATTTTTTTTCAACACCATGGTGATAACAAGTTTTAAGAAGTTAAATAAATACCAAAATGCAACCATGGTTGTTGGGCATTTTCCTACATTTAACTATGTAATAGAAAACTTGACATAACTACAACATCCAAAAATTCTAGATAGTCATAACTGACAATGAACTCAGAGGTCAACCTGCTCAACCCTTATAATGAGAATTCCACAGATACTTATTGACCACCTATCATGTGCCAGGCACTACATATCAAAACCTCTAGAATAAAGTTAAAGCAAAATTTAAAAGGATGTTTATAGATTTGAATGTCCGTATACAAATAAGTAAAATATATACCATTTATAACTTCAATTATGTTAAATACCAAGGAATAAGTCTAACAAAGTAGAAACAAGATCTCTAGAAAAAAAATACATAAAACATTACTGGAATGAATTAAAGAATATCTAAATATTATGTTTACACTTAGAAAGACACAACATTGAAAAGATGTTAAGTTTCTTCAAATTAATGTGTAGATTTAGTGAGGTAACAATAAACATCTTTGCAGGATGTGTGTGTATGTGTGTGAGCATGTGTGTGTGTGTGTGCATGTGAGTGTGCACGTGTGTGCATTGGTATGTGTGTGTGAAAGAGAGAGGGAGGGAGGGAGAGAGAGAGGAGAGAGAAAGAGAGACAGAGAGACATAATGAGATGATTCTATAATTGATATAGTATTATATTGTATACAGCCAAGAATGACAAAGATCTTCTTGTAAAGGAAGTAGGTTTTGCATCAGCTGACATTCACAATTATTTGATAATTACATTATTAAGATTTTGTGGTGTTGATAAAAGGATGGAAGAATAGATCAATGGAATAAATGAAGAGCCCAGAAACAGTCCACACATATAGAGTAAGCTAGCAAACTGGCCATATAGATTACAAACTTCCCACTGTCAATGTCCATTCCATTTCTACGGGGTATCAGGGTGTCGACTTCATTCTGACTACTTCCTGCTGGCTGCAGGCCTTGCTAGGTGCCTGAGGAATGGAACTTACTTTCTTGGAGTTTGAAATATTTCTGTGTTCCTGGGATCACAGGGGTAACATGTCAAAGCATCATTGGATGAGGGGGTAAGATCTGGGAAAAGTGATCCTGTAACCCTATGTATGTTGTATAGCAACAGCATAACCCACAGTAAAGAAGTATGGCCTATTCCTAGAAACATAGCCAGAATGATGAGTAGTTTTTTTTTTTTTTTTTTCACCAGGAGGGTCCTGACTCAAACAAAAAAGAGAACCACTGGTTTAGTAACATCATAGGTTTGGGCATTGCATTAATTTGTTCATTCATGTCCTGGAGGGCAGAGATGTTTTCCAATTTATTTTGAATATACACCCAACATTCAGGGTTTCTTGTGTGTTTACTGTGGTCTCTAAGATGATAATCTAAACATTGCAAGAAAAGGATGACTCATACTTTCTTTGACATTCCTGCAATCGTCATCATTTTTGTTCTGTTTCGTTTTCAGTCAGGGGATAGACAAGTAATAACTATAAAATATATGACCCTGATATCAATAAGTAAGTCAATAAGTTTGTTTCCCACTGTTAATTGTACTCAGAGCTCCTGTGGAGATATCACAACAGGTTGATTAAACACACATTTTTAACAGGTTGCAGGGGGAGCTATGAATATTTACGGAGGTGGTCCTGACACATGTGTATTGAATAAACATCTGTATAACATATGGCCCATGCTTATTTTGGGGTGGAGACTTAACGTCTAAATATATTAAAATTAGGTCTTGTACATCAATAGGTCTATTTAGGACACAAATAGATCTAATTACAAAAGGGCTTAATTTCTGTAAACCAGCCAGAATTAGGCCATGGTCTGTGGTCTTTTTATCTGGATAAAGTCACTGAAATCAGTCTTTTGTCTAATTAAAGCTGCAGTTATAGCTGGCGGAATAGGGGCTGGGGTCAGTTAGTCAGCATCTAGAAGAGATGCCATTTGTTTTAACGTTGCTTATCTTGGGGCCAGTGCTTGTTTGGCTGCTTGAGAAGAAGATAAACCTTGTGGCAGTTAGAACAGAGTATACTTTTTAAGCCTAGGAGTGTGTGACTTAACCCTTGCCTGGCATGGTCTTAGGTCCTGGTTATAATTTGGTATGTTATTGCCACAAAGAGTCTGTCTTGTCAGTCTTATGGTCTCTATTTAAATGTTAATGCTGCTCAGTTGTGCCTAAAGTTTAAATGGGGAAGGGTATAACAAGGCACATTCAACCCTCCCCTTCCTTTCATGGCCTGAACTAATTTTTCAGGATTTTTTTTCAGGGGATTTCCTTGGTCAAAAAGGAGGGGTTCATTTAGTCAACGGGGGCTTAAGATTTTATCTTTTCCGTGGTTGTTTCCCTGTTTTGGGTCAAGATATACCAAAAGCACTATCAATGGCCTAGCTTTTATTTTATTCCATATTGATGCTGGGGTGGTGTGCTACCTAACCCAAGTCTCTCATGTCCCTCAGGGAGACCCCTGTGGCCAAGGGGCTTAGAGTCAAAAGACTTGTAGCCAATTAATAGTTTCAGGCCAGATGAGAATGGAGGTGAGCAGGCACTCATTAATTCTCAGAGCCCTTCTAAGTAATATGAAAGCCAAAAATCAAAAGCCAAAAAGCAAAGTTATAAAATTAACTTATCATCTATCATCTATAGGTTCTACGAGTTGAGCTACTGTAATCTTGGTTCATAGAAATTAGCTATACAAAGCACAGCATTTTGTTAAAACCATTTAACTAAGGAATTTAGAGACTTTTGCTGTGCCATAATGCTTTTTGTGGTCTTTTCAGTAATTTGTTTTAAGGTGGCTGATATATATATATATATATCATATATATATATCATATAGATATCATATAGATATATAGATATCATATATATGATATATATCATATAGATATCATATATATATATATGTATAGTATATGTATTTCCTGGGACAAGAAATTCTTTATGGTTGGGATGGATGGAAAGGGACCATATAATGACCAAGGAGGCAAAGTCCCTTGGTTTGCCAGCTGTTTAGGAATCTGTGTGCCCATTCTTGATTTAGGGGGTCTGAAGTAATTTTCTCCTTCAAAATCAGCCTTTGCAATCTCACATATCCGCCTTTTCCATTATAGTCCTTGAGCCTGGAGGGATTAAATAGTTTTGAATTCTGAAGGTAAAATACAACATAAAGAATCAGCAATGTAAACAGAAAGGTCATAATCCCTGCCTAGTCTTAGAAATGACAGGAAAGGGGAGGCTGAGGCAGGAGAATGGCGTGAACCCAGGAGGCGGAGCTTGCAGTGAGCAGAGATCACACCACTGCACTCCAGCCTGGGCAACAGAGTGAGACTCGGTCTCAAAAAAAAAAAGAAATGACAGGAAAGGAAGCTCACAGGTAGCTAAACATATAAATTACTTAGTATCAAGGCACAGAATAAATTATATTTATTCAAATAGAGGCAAAATTATGAAATGAGTCTTAATGTTTTTGAACAGAGTCCTGTCCCTGTGTCCTCATGAAAGCAGTTTACTTTGATTGTCACCTTTGCTTGGGTCTAAGACAAGGTTTGGTTAACTTGAGTTTGGCGTCAGATAATGGCAGGAGTTGGTGCCTTCTTTAGATGAGATATGTGTACCCAGCAGTCAAAGCCTGTAACTCAACAGCACAAGATTAGTTAATAGTCCCTGATAAGGATCTTTACAAGAGGCTGAAGGTGGTGATACTGGAGTCCATGACTTGACTGCAAGCTGTAAAAAGATTCTACAACCTTGCAGTGATTAGCTTTTATAGCTTTAATAAGTCCCCAGTAAATAAGGCTAGGTCAAATACTTAATTTAGAATTTTGATTTTGAGGACATTTGTCAAAGATGTTAAAAGTCTCAAAACATTTGATCAAAATAGAATCACAGGTCATTGCAAAATAAGTTACTCATTTCACCAAAGTGATAAAAGACTTTAAAGGCAATACAGAAGGTTACATGGATGTGAAAATTTTAATCCTCTTAAATCTTGGTTTTTCTAAGTAATCAAAAATCAAATAAAGACAACATAGCAATTATCTTGATAAAATATAAAATCTTGGTTTTTTTCTTTGTTTTTATTTTTTTTAGTCAGTTACCAAAAAGGTAAAGAAAAATCTTCTGCAGTGTGGTTGTTTTTCCTTGTGAGAAGTCCATTTAGGTAACCTGGTAGTCAAACCTGCTAAAAGAAGTACTTGGATTTAATCAAACACAGGGAGAGTGTGTTCAAGTTTATGAGTAAAGCAAAGAAATATATGACTCTTAGTAATTCCATGAGAAGCCTCTTAATTATATTGAACAATTTAGACATGAGATGCTGGGGTGAGCAGATTGCTTGGGCTCAGGAGTTCGAAACCACCCCAGAAAACATGGCAAAACCTCATCTCTATAAAAAAAAAATACAAAAATCAGCGAGGCGTGGTGGCATGCACCTGCAGTCCCAGTTACTTGGGAGGCTGAGGTAGGAGGATCACTTGAGCCTGTGAGGTAGAGGTTACAGTAAGTTGAGATCATGCCACTGCACTCCAGCCTGGATGAGAGAGTGAGACTGTCTCAAAAATAAAAAAGAAAAAGAAAAATTTAGACATACTAAGAAAAGCCAAGAGTACAGAATTAAGTTATACTGCAGGAAAATATTGCTTTTCTGGACACTTTAAGATAAAACATTTTATTATCAGACCACAAAACAGTAAAAACTAAAGGAAAATAAATTACAGAAGCTGAAGAAAAAGTTGAAGGACAGAGTTACTATCTCAGCCCTTCTCAAGGAGAGAAAAAGCTGAAAGCAGCAAAGGAACTTCTGAGATATGAATCTGAAAGGTTTTAAAAAGAGACAGTCTATAGAATTAAAAAGCAAAACCTCTTGTAATTTTATTAAGAGCAACTTAATTCCTTAAGAAAACTTTGTTTTAATACAAGGGACCAATCTTCAGAAAGACTATTGTATAGATAGATAGATAGAGCAATCAACAGATAGATCAATAGATAAATTTTAAAATTATAGCCAAGTTAATTTTAGAAATGTTTTTCATAAATAACTTTTTAAGTCGATAGTTTTAATTTATCTTCAGATAACTTTTGAATTAGACAAACTTATTTTAAATAAGAACATAATGCATAAAATTTTTATAATTAATTTTGTATTAAAACATGTTTTTTGTTAACCATTTTTAAAGCCTGGGAACATCAGATGTTCACCAAAGTAGAATCTTAAAGTTAAACACATGAGCGTTTTGCTAATCACTCAGAACATGTAGCTGTTTTTCTTAATAATATTAAATTAGCTTTATTTTTGTCATGGGTTTGTAGCTATGAGCTTTTTAATCATCCAAGATATGGCCTCACAAGCTCTTAGGTGGAATAGAAATTGAGCCACCCATTCTCAGGGTAGAGAACAGAAGAGCACAAACACAGAGAGATCAAAGCAAACAAAGGAAGTCCTCTCAAGCAAATTCCTATAGAGGGAGACTGGAAAGTTAATAAATTGTAATTCAAAGCAATGGGTACCACAAACGAACTATGTTAGGTCCAAATGGCACAAAGCTCAAAAGGCAGACAGGATTTCTGGTAAGCACACCAGTTCAGCTTCTGCAGTTCTGAGGCCTGTCGGCTTCCCAATCCCCATTTTCTTCACACCAGTGCAGTGTTGAAGGCAGCTGATACCACAGTGGGGAGACAAGGGGACTCCCTCAGAAAAAGAGTTCTCGGCAGCTGTTGGGTCATTCCTAGAATCCCAGCCATCAGGTCAGCTGGCCAGGAGCAGCAATCATGAGCAGTTTTTGCTTTGCCCAACAGCATGAACAGGTAAGCCTTGGCATGCTGCCGCATCCAAATGCTCCTTCTGTTGGATACTGGGCAGGCTAGATAGCCTGAGGCATGTAGCCCCATGCTGGGCACCTGGCTATTGTAAGCAAACTCAGGATTGGCTGCTCACTGCTTGAAAAGCCACATACAGGACAACCAAAGCTGGGTGGAAGCAAAGCAGCTTTATTCAAGTGCTAGCCACTTAGAAGACGGCCAGAATCAAGTCTCAAAAAGCTATCTTGAATTCTCAGGTGGGCTAAAGGAGCCTTAAAGGGAAAGGTAGCACGGAAACAATGTGCAGGAATGGTGTGAAGTGTAGGTTTGCTTGTCATTTTTTGATGATAGACTTGAGTAATGGACCATCCAGAGACCTGGTTGGTTTTATCTCACTAGGGATCCAGTTATGGATGAATTGTGCATTGATTTCTTTTGCAAAGGGAGAAAATTGCTATCAACATCTCTGCTTCATGCCTGGATTTTTCCAAGATTAGCCTTTAGAATTCTCAAGCAAACAGGTAGTTAGATATATGTGCGGCAAGAAATAAAGTGAGAGAGGTGATACATTTGGAGTACGCTGGCAAACTGGCTATGCCAGTTACATAAGTGGTTATTAAATGAATGAAGGCATGAATGAATGAAGTTACCCAACATTTAGGCTTCTCCTACATTAAAATAAAATATATATATATATATATATATATATTATATGTATATATTTTATTTTAATCCTACATTAAAATAAAATATATATATATATATATTATATGTATATATTTTATTTTAATTAGAGAGCTTTGAAATCCTTTTTTTTTAGCGTAAACACATAGACAATATATTTAGGCTTGATTTCTTTCTAGAATAAAAACTATCATCGATTTCCTAAAATATGGCAAAATGCTAATTGAAAAATAGTCCCAACATTATTTCCTATTTAAAATTACTTAAATATCTTAAATATTTTAATCACTTACTTAGCTATTCCATTTTCCTTATGTAAATTTGAAATAGCTTTGAATAAAAACATACTACAATTTTTAGACAATTATACATAAGTAAAGGTAAAATGGGATAAAATGTAACTAGTGGCTACTAATTTTTGAATGAACATTAGTACATGGCATTATTGTTGCAACTTCACATTTTCAAAGAATTCCACAAGGTAGACATTTTGCTGCCAATTTATACCCCAGAAAATTAAGGCTTGCCAGGCTTCGCAACTGTACACCAATTACAAGTGGCAAACTGCTATAGGGTAGTGTCCTGCCCTTTCTACCACAGGCACCCTCTCCCCACATCATGAGGAAGAATCAGCAACACACATGAGATGCAGACCACAAAATTTCACTGAGCTTCAATGCAGACAGGAAAAAGAGGGGAAAAAAACGCTTATTATATAGTATTTCCCCAAGAATGTTTTATAGAACTCTAAACCTGAAAAGTTGTTTTGTATTTCAAAAGAAAGAGTTTTCTTGGCTAAAAAAAGTTGTCCTCAGAGCCTGCATTTTCCAGAACTTCACAACGTACATCAGAGTGCTAAAGGCTTGGTGCTGCTTTCCAGTTACATCACAATTAACTGTATTTATCCAGGTTTTCCCAAATGTATTTAACCACAGCGCCTTTTGAAAAACAAAACAAGGGGCGGGCGTGGTGGCTCATGTCTGTAACCCCAGCACTTTGAAAGGCCGAGGTGGGTGGATCATGAGGTCAGGAGTTCGAGACCAGCCTGGCCAACATGGTGAAGCCCCATCTCTACTAAAGATACAAAAAATTAGCTGGGTATGGTGGCAGGTGCCTGTAATCCCAGCTACTCTGGAGGCTGAGGCAGGAGAATTGCTTGAATCCGGGAGGCGAAGGTTACAGTGAGCCGAGATCACGCCATTGCACTCCAGCCTGGGTGACAGGGCGAGACTCTGTCTCAAAAAACAAAACAAAACATCTTAAATCTCTCACAGAACTAAAAATAAATTAAGCAAATTTAATTAAATGCTGGCCAAGTAGGAGGTGTCACACCAGGTCACTAGTAGAAAAAACTTTTCCTGGCAATGAGTTCTGGGTGGATTTTGAATGGTTCCATAAATAAAGTGCATTAGATAATGTATATAGTAGAAATTTTATTTAAAAGAATGCAAAAATATGCTGCGACATATTGTTAAATCTACATGTCATAAATTCTTAAATCATAACTCAGTGGAGACAGGTTTAAGAGGACCAAAGTAGCATTAGTCAGATCTATAGTTTTGGAGTATACTGACTTTTAAATTCCATTTGTCAATTAGAGAACAATATTTTCTTCCCAGACTACAGAGCATGATATACTTGGCATATGTGAATTTCCATTCAAATGGAGCCTGCCGGGCATCTGCTGATTCACTTTGGTTTAATGATACCCCATTGGTTCAAGGGGGAAAATGTTTATGGAAATATTCCCTTCTTACCATCTTTCATCAAAGTTCACTGGGCTCCAGAACAAGCTGCCATCCAAAGACTTCTAAAACAGAAAAGTATCATGTGTGGTTTGTACTCGTTTCAGAGACGTGATGATGGCATTCTCTTTGAAGTACATATGAAGTTGTCAATTAGCTGGAGATGAGTTTTGCAGAACATGTTTCTGGATTATCCAGTCCAAAAACATCTTCAAAAATATTTTAGTTATTTTGATGGATTCAAAATACTTCCAGTATCTTTTCTAATTCCACACCAGTTTTCTGACTCAGCCCTTCCACTTGGTAGAAGAGAATGTAGTGAAAACTGAAGCATGTTTGAATGCTGTGAGTTTCTAATTTCGAAAATAGCTATTCCCCTGCAGAGATCTCCTTCACATTTCCCACAAGGAAGTTTGAGACTCTGGCTTGGCACAGCACACCACTGTGCATGAACGTCCTGAAATGGCATGTGCCTGAGATTCTGTTAATCTACCATATCCATACAGATGGGTGTTGTTGAACTGTCTTGGTGAGAGACAGGACTAGCTGGATTTCCTAGGTCGACTAAGAATCCCCAAGCCTCGCGGGGAAGATGACCGCTTCCACCTTTAAACACAGGGCTTGCAATTTAGCTCACACCTGACCAATCAGATGGTAGAGAGAGCTCACTAAAATGCTAATTAGGCAAAAACAGGAGGTAAAGAAATAGCCAATCATCTATCGCCTGAGAACACAGCAGGAGGGACAATACAATGATCGGGATATAAACCCAGGCACTGGAGCCAGCAACGGCTACCCTCTTTGGGTCCCCTCCCTTTGTATAGGAGTTCTGTCTTCACTCTGTTAAATCTTGCAACTGCACTCTCTTCTGGTCCATGTTTGTTACGGCTCGAGCTGAGCTTTCACTCGCCATCCACCACTGCTGTTTGCTGCCGCCACAGACCCGCCGCTGACTTCCCTCCCTTTGGCAGGGTGTCCTCTCTGCTCCTGATCCAGCGAGGTGCCCATTGCCGCTCCTGATCGGGCTAAAGGCTTGCCAATGTTCCTGCGCTGCTAAGTGCTGCGTTCGTCCTAATCGAGCTGAACAGTAGTCACTGGGTTCCACGGTTCTCTTCCATGACCCACGGCTTCTAACAGAGCTATAACACTCACCCCGTGGCCCAAGATTCCATTCCTTGGAATCTGTGAGGCCAAGAACCCCAGGTCAGAGAACACGAGGCTTGCCACCATCTTGGAAGCGGCCCAACACCATCTTGGGAGCTCTGGGAGCAAGGATACCCAGTAACGTTGGGATATATCTAGGCGTTGTTCAACATAGAGCACAAGTGCTGAAACTCCCCCTTTAGCTGGAGCTGAGCAGGTTCTGCACAAATTATTTTTGGTACAAGTGAAAGAGTGAAGGTCAGTTATTGGGTTATATTAGTTTGTCCTCACATTGCTATAAAGAAATACCTGGATCTGGGTAATTTACAAAGAGAAGAGGCTTAACTGGCTCACAGTCCTGCAGGCTGTACAGGAAGCATTACGGCATCTGCTCCGCTTCTGGGGAGGCCTCAGGAAACTTACAATCATGACAGAATGCAAAGGGGGAGCAGGCAAGCCACGTGGTTGGGGCAGGAGCAAGAGGAAGAGAGGAAGGTGCGGCATATTTTTAAATGACCAGATCTCATGAGAGTTTCACTCATTGTCATGAGGACGGCACCAAGGGGATGGTGCTAAATCATTCATGAGAAATCCACTGCTGTGGCAGATGTCCAGTTTCTGTGAAAAATAAGTCAAGGCTTCATCTTTCAAAGACTGGCTTGAGTTCATTCATTTTTTCGTACATTCTACAAACATTTATTCAGCACTTACTGCATGCCATGTACCGGGTTAGGCACTGGAAATACAACTGATGAATGAGAAAGCTGGCCCTTAATTTCAAAAAGTTTACAGGCTAGTGGAAGTACAGTCAGGCAAACTGGCAATTTTAGTCCAGGATGACATATTTTAATCTCTAGACAAGATGATGGACTGAGGTGGCTTTCAAGGGGAAAGGAAATCTAATGTGGGAAATTGAAGCTTGAAGAATGAGCAGAAGAAAGCCCAGGACAAAGACGACCATGTGCGTAGACAGATGGGGGTGGGGAAAAGGGGAGATGTGGACACAGACACACATGCAGAGAACACCATGGACAGCTGAAGGTAGAGACATGAATGATGTTTCTGCAAGCCATGGAACACCAAAGATTGCCCAAAAACCCACCAGTAGCTAGGAGACAGGCCTGGAGCAGATTCTGTCCTCAGGGCCTCAGAAGGGAGCCAATTCTGCTCACACCCTGATTTCAGACTTGTTGCTTCCAGAACCGGGAAAGAATAAATTTCTGTGATGTCATGCAGGCTGTGATACTTTGTTATGCAGCCCCAGCACACTAATACAGTTGTTAAATGCATGTGGTTCTTATTCTTCTGTCTAAATGTTTTTCCACTCTTTCTTTTGTGTATGCAATGCCCACCCTTTCTTAATCTGTTGGAAAATTCCTCTTCATCTCCAAGATCCAGCACAGCATCTCTTCCCTGAAGCACTCACCAGCCCACCCCACACAGAGCCAGGCTCTCTCTTCTGTGTTCCCAGTGGACTTAGTACAGCCTCTGTGAATAGCACTCCACAGACACCCTCTGTTGTCATGATTGCTGTCTTTGTCACTTAAGTGATCTCCTGGGGGGTAGGAGACAAAGCTTGTTTTCTCTATCCCTAGGCTTGATCTTAGAGCATGATGAAGTGTTGACCCCAGGAAATGTGCATTAGATAAATGATTTGGAAATTCATGAGATTGTTTTCTCTTCCTTTTCCATAACATATTGACCAGGAGATTTTCAAAGGGCACAAAGATCATCTCCTATAACAGGCCATAAAATGCACTGTTTCCCTGTGGAGGTCACTGGCGGGTCATGATGCCTCCCTGGGAACTTTATTATTTCAGTTGAGATCAGACGTCACTGATGAGCGAGTGGAATGTGAATGCGTGTGTTGCTTCTGGTTCGCTGCCACTGCCTCACTCCCTGCTCACTTGCAGTTTAATTATATATTTTTCTCCCTCAACTTCAATGAAACAAAAAGACAAACACAAGCACTTAAGGGAGGCAATTGCTGATGGTGATATTATAATTGGCTAAAAGAACAATTTGTTTCTTTAGGAAAGACTATGCATAAGGGAGATTTTGAAGAAAAATTGGTAGAGTTTGGTAAATAATTGTATATAAATTCCAGATGGGGTCAGGTCTGTCTCAATGTGTTCAACTACTGGTGCTTTCAAGAATATTGGTATGGTACCCATACAGAAGACACCACGGCATGCACATCTCTTCCAGAGAAGTCCTGGTCCAGCTTCCTGAATAATCAGCCTAGCTGTCTCTGATGCTTCAGCCACACAAGGCCACCCAGCTGCTCTGGGCTTTTCCTCTTGCTGCATGCCCCTTTGCTTAATACCCTTGCCTTCTTGGCTATCTGAGAACTACCTACGTATCACACACTCTCTCACCCAGCCCTAAATGTCACCTCCTTTTGCTACATTTCCCTCTTGCTCATCTTTCCTGAGTAGAATCCTCCCTTGCCAGCCTCCCGTGCTAGCATGCCATGTCATACACCAGGCTACAGGTGGACTGTTCACCCACTTCTTTCTCCATCTCACCCTCCAAAGTTCTGAAAGAAGGGAGAATAGGCAAAAGAGACAAATATAATTTAAAAATAAAAAAACCAGCTTATTGCAGATAACGCTGATGGACAAAACCACTAGTTTTCTTGCTTCCTTCCCACTAGAGAGAGTACACATAGTCAATCTCAGAATAACTTCCTCCAAGCGGCTGAGCCTTGGTTTACTGCTAAGAAGGTAGGAGTGAAAAGATCAACAGGTCCACCTAGAAGTCAGGACATCCAGAAATTCTGGGGAGATTTTGCTTTCCCACAAGATAAGCCATTTCTCAACCTTCTCTCACAAGAATGAGATGCTGCATGAGGGACAGAAGAAAGACGCTTCCATTCTGGTGTGGGGTACATAGGCTCTTAGCCCTTTAAAGGTTTGCTGAAAATCACTGACATGAGGCAGATTGATTAATCGGAGAAAAGGCATACAAATGTATTCAGTGTGTACATACAGGAGCCATCAGAAGGAAGATTCAACTTCTGAATGAGTTACAGAAGCTTATATTCCATCTTAAGGTTACAGAAAGAACAGTGGCTCAGAGCATGGCCAAAACCAAGTTCAGTGGTAAATCAGGTTTAGTGGCAAGACAGGTTATGAGAGGGAGTAAGGAAGAGGCCTGGCCAGCAAAGGTGGATTTACTGTGCAGATGAAGCTTCCTGAGAGAGGATAGATGGTAAATGTTTCTTTTTAGACTTTTAAAGATGTCAGATGTCTCAGTCTCTCTAGATCTGGGTAGTGCCTAGAAAGGGGAGGCCTGGCTGCATTAACAGAGATTCTCTACGGATGAAATTTTCCCCCACCTCAGTCTGCTGGCCCTGTAGCAGCCATTTCAAAATATATCAAAAAGGGATATTTGGGGTAAAATATTTTTATTTCCTTCACTGGCAATTTGAGAGGGAAGAGTTCTAGTTTTATAAAAAAGGGCAGAAGGGCAGGGTGAGATAAGCTCTTTCTTATAGCTTAGTTGTTATTGTCTATTTTCCCCCAAGCTTATAAACTCCCCAAGGATGAAGACAATATCTGTTTTACTCATGGATGCATTAACTTAATTCTGAATAAGCATTTCAATAATTCTTTGTTAAATGAACATGTGAATAGGAGCCAATGGTCAGAAGTGCCCAAACATGCCCTCCAGAAAGAGAGTGTGGAGGGACAGGTTCAGAGAGATGAGGAAGAACATAGCAAGAATCAGTGGCATTTACCATCCCAGTGGCATTTACTCATGAGACAGTAAGTGAGTCAGGATATCTTGGAGCTGACAAGGGTTGTGCCTGATTCTAGAGCCTGTGGAAGTGAGACAAGAATAATACAGGATAGTTGCAGGAGAATAGAAAATTCCAGGCCACAGTTTCCCAGGACTAGCAAAAGGAAACTGTTAAAATAGCTTCAGAAGCTCGGGGCTCATCAGACCTTGAAAAACCAGGGTGTGGACCAAGCCGGCTAAAACTGGACCCAACAGGGCATTGGATTTGATCTAGGTTTCTCCTAGGACCTCATGATATGTTCAGTAACATAATTACACACCAACCATGCCATTATAGTTCTGGGAACACACATATTTGGTATAAGAATGGATGGGACAACAGTTCTGAGAAATTTCCACTTTTTTCCAGGAATCTTCATGAATATTTGACCCCTTGGTTACAGAAACCCACAAAGACAGCAGCCCCAAAGTCCCTTGTGAGCAACTTTCTTGAGTACATCTGCCCTCTCCTTTCTTGAGTGTGTACTTTTCACTTTGTGAAACATTTCCATACTTCTACTAATTTCTGATCCATTATTGAATTCCTTATGATGGTGGTGTTAAAAGACTGGACACCAGCCAGGGTTGAGGTCCATCAGCATTTGGGGACTCCCCTAGCTCACCAGTATCACAAGGGCTAAGCTGAGTGAAAGAGAAAGGTCTTGGGATGTACATATCTCCAATGTACCTAACTCAGTTACATCCTGTTAGGGTCCTTACATATGCACCATGCCTGGATCCATTCCATGTGTTGGAAACGGCCTCGAGAGGCAAATTGTTTTGGTCATTATCCTCTAGCTTTCTGAAGGAATAAGTACAAGTATGAGTTCTCCCTGGGCTCCTCAGCTAGGATAGACACCAATAATATCTAAGGAGCTTATTACAAAATGTGTGGCTTGACCTCCTCTCAGGCAGGACCTGCAGATGAGGACCTTCGGGCCACCAAGGAGGAGGGGTCCTGCTTTTGGGCTTCCTGAGGGTCTGTGACACAGGGGAGTGCTATCCCCACATCCCTTCCTGTGTCAAGGACACTTACAGACTGCAGGATTCTTTCTTTTAAAAGTTGATTGTCATTTCTTTTAGAGACTTATTGTCAATATAAGCTGCTGTCTTCCTGCTTCTCCCTGTAATCCTCAGTATCCTCTAACATAGGGAAACTAATGTCATATTTGCCTACCTGATTATGAGACTGGAAGGAGATCATGTATTGGTAATCACCATGGGAATGCAAATGGTTATTCAAGGTTTCTGTATACAAAAACTACATTTTTAGAAAGGGGAAAGAGTGCACCAGTGATACACACTTGTTCTATTCTATAAAATTTCTCATCAAAATCATCTAAACATGAGTTTCACTGTACTATTTTGTGGCATGATAAAGCAGACTTTCCCCTCCAAAGGCCTCAGCAACAGGTCAAGTCAGGTCCAGAGGAGAAAAGAGAAGAGCGTGGGTTCAAGTTTTAACTCTGCTGTAACTCTCTGTGAGGCACTGGCCAAGCTCATGATTCGTCTGCTTCTCCACAACTGTACATCTCAGGGAGGAGGGAAAGGAAGTCATAGTGAACTGGGCCAGTGGTGTTCAGGGACTTACCAAGAAACCTGGAATGCCTGGAGAAATAAGGGACAGGGGAAGGAGTTTGGTGAGACTTCAACCCAAGCTCTGAAGCAAGAAAGCCCTGGAAGCTCTATCCTTATTCGTTTTGTATATTGGCTCCTAGACAAGGTTCTGTTTATATCAAATGTTCTGGCTGAAACTATCACCAACAGTTTCAAACCGTTCAAGAAGATGTAGATGATCTCTAGGAGGTACATTAGTCTCTTAGATGCAACAGAAGCCAAATTTAAATCAGCTCAGACAGAAAAAGTGATTTGTTATCTCGAAGTTTCCATGGACAAAAAATCTAGGCACAGCATGGCTCACTGCTTCTCTGCACAAGGTCAAAACCAAAGGTGTTGGCTGCATCACATTCCCTTTTGGACGCTTTGGCAAGAATCCACTTCCAAGCTTATTCAGGCCGTTGCTGATTTCAGTCTCCTGTGGCTGTAGGACTGAGGTTCCCACATTCCTGGCTGTTAGCTAGGAGCTTCTTCCAGCTCCTTAGCCCTTAGCCACCCACATTCCTCATCACACTGGCCCTTCTATCTTCAAATGGGAAACGTAAGTGAGCTATCTCTCTCACTTTTCCTGCCACATCAGTTGGCTTCCAGCCAGAGAAAATACTTTTCTCATAAGGGCATAGGAGATAAGATTGGACCCACCTGGGTAATCCAGGATACTCTCCCTATTTGAAGTTACCTTAGTAACTTGTACAAAGTCCCTTTGCCATGTATTATATCATATTCATATTCACGTTCCAGAGACCCAGATGTAGACATCTCTGGAGGGCTATTTGCCTACCACAAGATCATACTAAACTTATGCTCAACATTCACTAGGGTGGCACTTGGGATCTAGAATAACTCAGCTTTATGGAACTATAAATAGCATTGATTGCCAGGCCACTGTTTAGCTGTAATATCTATTCTGTTCAAGATAACAGGCAAGACCTTCCAAGGATGGAAAGCTTAACTGATAGCAAGAAAGTCTGCAGCATGCCTACCAGGGCTGCCGCTTTCTGTTATCTTCCCACTCTCCAAGGGAACAATGACAGTGAAAAAAATCACGGTTGATGTCTGGGTGTGGTGGATCATGCCTGTAATCCCAGCACTTTGTGAAGCCAAGATGGGTGAATCACCTGAGGTCAGCAGTTTGAGACCAGCCTGACCAACATGGAGAAACCCCATCTCTACTAAAAATACAAAATTAACCAGGCATGGTTGCTCATACCTGTAATCCCAGCTACTCAGGAGGCTGAGGCAGGAGAATCGCTTGAACCCAGAAGGCGGAAGTTGCTGTGAGCCGAGATCGCAACATTGCACTCCAGCCTGGGTAACGAGAGTGAAACTCCATCTCAAAAAAAAAAAAATAAAAAATAAAAAACCAAAAAAAACAGTTGATTAACAGGATTCCTGGCAACATGCTAAACATGTCAAGAAACTGGGAAAAAATATGAAATAAGATAAATAATCATAACCATCAGGACCGAAAGAAAGATAAGGGACACTCCAGCCAGTAGAAACTGAGAAAAAAACATTCAAATCTGGGGGATGAGTCCTAGTTAACACTGTTACCAGAAAGCGGTCCCAATTCAGACTCCAAGAGAGGGTTCTTGGATCTCGCATATGAAAGAATTTACAATGAGTTCACAGAGTAAAGTGAAAGCAAGTTTATTAGAAAAGTAAAGGAATAAAATAAGAGCTGCTCCATAGGCAGAAAAGGGTGTACCCAAAAGTAAGATACCGAATGCATCCATCCTAGGTGCAATGCTTGTTTATGTAGAAGACAACAACAACAAATGGGACAACCCTTGTGCTCCACTACAAGGGTCTGTGATGAAGGATTGGTAATCTTTGTAACTTCTATTTTTTGCAAGAATTGATATTATCTTTAAAGTGAAACTTATTCTTAAACTAGGAATGCTTTTGTTCTTAAGGTATCAGGGCATCAGGATATTTCCCAGGTCTGTTAAGTTCTGCGTCTGTTTATTATTATTATTAATCTGTTCCCCTAATCTTAAATGTCTTGTGACTAAGAATGCCTAACTTCCTGGGAATGCAGCTCAGCAGGTCTCAGCCTCATTTTACCCATCCTCTATTCAAGATGGAGTTTCTGTGGTTCAAATGCCTCTGACATATTTTTCTTTTTCCCTTTTACAAGGGGATCTTTAATTCTAAGGGTTGCAGAGGGATGAATATCCATTTTCCGTAAACTCTTCAGGCTGAATAGGGGTGATGATATTGTTGCCTAACTATTAGGGTTTTTTGTATTCAGGGTAGAGAGGAGTTCAGTCAGAAAGCATCCAGATGGTGAGGGCCATCAATAACTCTGAATCCTGACAAAATGTGATAACTGGAAGATTAATAAGTGTCCAATTTAAGAAAACATTGAGTAAGCCTATCTTGCATTCCTACACAAAGAGTGCAAGAGCAATATATTCCACCACAGTAAAGCAAAATAAGTAAAATAATCCCAAGTGAACTAAATAAGAAGGCTTTCCATAAACTAGGCAATTGTTAGAACCAAGCTGATATGGAGTGAAGCCAATTCCAATACATGCCCAAAGCACTTGATCCAGATTTTTATGTTACATGTTCCTTTTGTTTCTTCTGAGTAGCAGCCAGAGATCACTGGTTGTTTCACAGGAATAAGCAGGATCAATCTAAATTGTAGAAAAAAGCTCAGAAACAACTGACAAGACAAGACTAGAATGTAATAACAGGTGCAGTTTTTGAAACATTTTTTTCTCTCTCCCCAGTCCCCATTTTTATTAAAAACAAATCATGATAGGACTGATTTGTTTGCAAAATAAATTTTAGTCTTATTATACTTAGGTTATTTGTATAAAGTGCAGCAAGAATAATTATTTGCCATATAGGCTCCTTTATAAATTGTCTTTGATGGAACTTTATTCCATAAGGAATCTCAGATTAGACATTTAAAAGCCTTGAACCCATCCATGGGTTTATCTGTGCCTGCAAATACTTGTAAGAGTTAAGTAAGTTTCTGTCCTCTCAAGGTCCCAAGTTAACTTGGGGCTGATGGGCTTGTCAGAAAGTGACACTCTTGCTGGGAGTGGTGGCTCCTGCCTGTAATCCCAGCACTTTGGGAGGTTGAGGCGGGTGGATCATTTGAGGTCAGGAGTTGGAGACCAGCCTGGCCAATATGGTGAATCCCCATTTCTACTAAAAATACAAAAAACAGCCAGGTGATAGTGGCTCATGCCTGTAACCCCAGCTACTCAGGAGGCTGAGGCAGGAGAATTGCTTGAGCCTGAGAGGTGGAGGTTGTGGTGAGCTGAAATGAAGCCACTGTACTCCAGTCTGAGTGACAGAGTGAGAAAACCCTGCAAAGGGACTGTGTAGATAAGATATGAGGCCAATTTTCCAAAGGAGCTGTTTTTGGCTCTATAAGTTAACTTTGATTCCTTAAAGCAGTCTGTTTGTATTTGAAAGCATGTCATTCCAGTCAAAGCTTTGCTAAAATAGTCAGTTTCTCCAGTTGTGTCCTCTTACAAAATAAAACAGATTCTTACTGCACTATGCAAATAACTATATTGTTATCAGTTGAGAATACTCACAAATAGTTTCCAGACTCTGGAGAAATTAGGTACAGAGAAATAAATTTGCTCCAAATTTCATTTATGGGACTCAATTGTTAAAAGTTGTAAGAACTCAAAAGAAAAGTTTTCTTGACTCTGAAAAACAAAACCAAATGGATTAGCAACTTTTTAAGCAAAAAGTCATCCATGCTATTACATCCTGTTTTGCTTGATATTTATGAAGATGTTTTCCAAGAGAGTCTTGGAAGTTCTTTCCTCTCTATTTTAATGGCACACTTTCTAAAGTTATCAGAGACCTGTATTTAAGAGTACTTGTCAGAGTCCTGTAGCTGATTATAAATCACCTTTGAGAGAGGATCAAAACAAGACAGCAATTGTCTGTAGATGATAAAATGTCTTAGGGAAGCCATGGTTAAAGACACAATTGACTTTTGATTTCTTCTGTGGGAATTTTGTTTTTTCCTGTGGTGTACAACAATTTTACATAATTATCATTATTACTGATAACATACACTAATATCAGAATTATATAACTTTCCCATAATATTGGAACACATACCAATAATGTATTTCTATAAATACAGCCCAAAGAAAGCCCAACACCATTTTGTATTTGACAGTGCATTCTGTATAATTTTAACATGCCAAATAAGCTAAGTATGTCATTTTTGGACTTTTGGGCACCTAAGATCTTAAGGGTTAATCAAGTCAGAAAAAGACATAACTTAGAATTTGATTTTGGAAAGTTTGTCAACTTGATTATCAAAGGTTTAAAACACTTGATACTCAAAAATAAAATCCCAGGTCACCCTAAGTCATTTATTTATTCAAAATGGTAACTCAAAGATTTTAGAAAGGCCTTTACTCACTGATAGAAGGAAGATTCAGCTTTCCAAACAATTTCTTTTTTTTCTTTTCTATTTTCTGTAGCGTATTCAAAAGCCAAACAAAAATCTTTCTTTTTTTGTATTACGTAAAAATATACTTCAAGAGAGAAAGCCAAATTTCACCTTTTGCATTAGTGTACAATTAAGGTCAAATTCTATCCTTAATGAGACCTATAGACGAAGTATCCAGGCTTAATCAGTTTGGCCATAAGGTAAGATTCTCTTAAACCTTTTACAATCCTTTACATTTTTTTTGCTAAGGAACAGATCAATGAACACCATGTTGTGTTGATGTTCAATTTGCAGAACAAATCAATAGTATCCTTTTAACTTTAGAGAATATATTCATACATATAATTTCTTTTATAAGAGTAATCTTTCATGAACCACTCAAACCTTTGGCTTTATCCTGTCTAACCTAAAACAATCCTTTAACCTTCTAAACCAGGCAAAAGAAAAAAAAAACCTACATTCTTACACTTATTTTTTTTTCACAGAAAACACATTCTAGTTTTCTTATACACCATCATGTAAAACTGTTCTTTAGTAGTCTCGGTCACGTACGTTACAATGATAACTCTTAGCAACTTTCATTTTTGGTGAAAAACCTGGTAGGTAAGCTATTTCAATTATGTACCAGGCATGGAGCCAAGGATACCAGACGGAAGTACAAATACTCTTTTCAGCATAGCCAGGGGGCGTGGCTAACTCCACATGTCCCCAAGCCTTCTTTAGAATCCAACAGTTCCCAATGAGGTAAGTTGAAAAATTATCAAGTCAAAGATACAGTTTATGTAGTTTTAGTAAAAACAGTATCTGTCCTGCCTAATTTAGACCAAATGTGTAAGTTTTGAACACATTTTTATTTTACCAATAATGTTTAAAACTCTTTATTTATTAAATATCACTAAAGTCACGTGAATTAAGAAGCATTAAAGTTTTTATTGTTTTGACAAAATATTTGATTTAAGCACTTATTTTTCTTTAAGCAAATTAATTAGAGCTCATTTATATAAACATCAAACACACAACACATATAAATAAACAGACAGAAGAAAATCCAGTAGTTGTAAGATTTTTAATTTGCCAGTTTTAAGTTTCTTAGTTGGATTACCGGCTTCAGTGTGGAGCCCTACAAGGAACAGGGCCAGGAAAGCATGCAGTTTTTAGGGCCCAATAAGAAGACACAACTGGAAGGCAAAACAGATCCCCCAAATTAAGGGTATCATTTTATAACAGGTCCTAGATCCCAACCAAAAAAGAGGAAATCAGCCCATCCCTCAATGGAGTCTTATCACAGTGGGGGGTGGAGATTTTTTCATGCCTTCTAGGTGGCCAAGAGCATGTTCCTCTGATTCAAATGTGCAAAGAGCAGAGTATCCCCCATAACT
This sequence comes from Homo sapiens, assembly GCF_000001405.40. Lineage (NCBI taxonomy): Eukaryota > Metazoa > Chordata > Mammalia > Primates > Hominidae > Homo > Homo sapiens. The sequence continues at coordinate 46,525,352 of NC_000007.14, read as the reverse complement.
GCCATTAGTCATCCTGAAACGTATATTTCCTACCTAGTTATTACACAGCAGAGCTGAAAGCTTTCTCATAATCCAAAGTAATTTCTGATATTCCCAAAAGACAAAAATGTCAGGTAATGCAATGCAAAACAAAACACAGCCTTCTATTTCGAGAGGGATCTACCTGCTTTCAATTCCCTGGGTTCCATGTGAAAAACAGAGGTATTTCCCCAAACAGGATCTGTGGTGCCTCTTCTGTTTTTCCCTAGGAGACCCAGGGTGTTAGAAATCATCTTAAGTCCTCTTACGTGGGCATCAAGAGTGGCATGAAAACAAACTGGAGAAAAGTTATTCAGTCGACCAAGTAAAAAAATAACAAACTTTTTATTTAGAAAAATAAAATCCAAGAAGATAAAAAAAAAACACAGAGGCCTCTTAAATATATGTATAGCTGGCATATTTGCTATTAGTTGAGCTGACTTTTAACCATAGTATTCTTTTAAAAAATTCTTTTAAAGCTCTTGTTACCTGACTCTAGCCAGGACAAACAGCTAATATTTCTGGCTGTTGGACTTTACCAAAGGTAACCTCCCAGGTGAGACAAATAAGCCTTAACTAAGATTATTTAACCATAGGTATATTAAGTATTTTCAAAGAGGTAGTTAGCATTTTTTACAAGATCTAGAACTTCCAAAGGTAGCTCAGAGAAAGGGACATTCAAGACAGGAAGTCAGAAGTTGTTCAGGGAGGGGAAAAGAATCAATAAATTGCAAAGGTCACACAAATATCAAACCATAAAGGACTCATTCCCTAAGCTGGGAATTGAACCCAGACTGTCATTGTGAAAAGACAGAAACCTTAACTACTGAGCTACAGCACTGGGTAGTTTCTATTGTTCTTCCCAAAAGGAGTCTAGAGCAGTCAGTTTTGAGCTTTCCAAAGTTTTTAATTGCTCAAGATAATTTTTAGGGCTATGACATGAACCTCCAAATTCCTGTCTTCTGGATGGCACAGACCAAAAGAAAAGTATCCCCGTATGGTCATAAGGTTAAGCACTCAAGGACATAAAACAAAAGAGAGAAAAATCTCATCCAGGTTTTGTTTCTGGGATCTGAAGCAGTTTGTAACTAACCAATTTGCTAAGCCAGCTTGAAGAGAGGACTTACAGTGGTTTTAAGTCCACACTGTATCCATAGTAGCCCCTCTATGACAGAACAACACAGAAAGACAAATTCATAGCACAAGGTACACCACATTCACTACGGCCTAAGACTAGCCTCATAATTATTATTTTTTCCCATTAATCAAAACTTTTCAGAGGAGACAGTGATTTTTACTATTCATTCAACCAGTTTGCACAGAAAGACAGAGGCCAGAAGCCTGAATGGTAAGAAATTCTTACCCTTTTACCTGCATGCCAGGTTTCTGGTTTCCCTTCTCTGAGTGCTTTGATGGCCCTGCTTGCTGTGCCATAGCTATGGGGGCCAAGCCATGTTATAAAAGAAAATCATCATTTTCCATTTCATAAAACCACAGGCAAAAGCCTCACAATCAAGATGCTGCCCAACAGGCTGCATGGGGGGAACTGAATTAACAACTTCCATTCTGGCTGAAGCAAAATATATGTGACAAAACATAGACCCTAGCCACCCTGCTCAGCACCCAATATCAACCTGGCAAGGTTCAAATGTGCCCCCGTTGGGTCCTGTCATCTTTGATCCACTCAAAATGGGGTGGAATGATCTCTGATCAGGAGTTTCAAAATGTGGTCTCTGGGCAAGCTGGAAGAGCGGATAGTCACCCTGAGTGACAGAAAAGATGGAAAAGGGAAAGGAGAGAAAGAGGGGGGAGGAAAGGGGAGGAAGAAAAGCATTGCCTGTGGCAGGGTTGGGAAGGAGAGAAGCTCAGGGAGACCAAAGAAAGACCCACCCATTGCAGCAGCACTGAATCAAAGTTTAAGTGGCCACTTGTCAGTCATAAAGGGACGTTTTCCAGCAGTTCCATTAGCTCTCAAGTTTCCCCCTTTGGAGGAGGAAAGCTCCCCATGTCCCCTGAACTGGCATATGCCTAATACTGTTACCCACAGCCATCAGCAGAGTGCAAGGCAGATTAATCCAAAGAGAACCGTGGTTAACATATCAGAGCACCAAATCTGTTTTTAACCAAATGGGGCCTTACCGAGGAGGACCTCTGAGCCCCTCTGTCTTAGGACTCTAACCTTCCTAAGTTGGTCCTCTAATCCAAGTTCAGACAACGGCCTTGCGCTTTACTAAGAGGCACCTTTAAGCCCCTATTTATTAAGAGGAACTCTAACCTTCCAAAATTGGGCTCGTAACACAATTCTATCATTTACCCATGACAAAATACCCCACCACTTACACAAAGCCAGCCAATTGGTGCTGCAGTCTATTTCTTTTGGGTCAGGGGTCTCTACATTGTCATCTCTTTGTGGTTTGTCATGGAAGGTATTACTGGAAAGGAGTCCTGATCCACACCCCAAGAGAGGGTTCTTGGATGTCACACAAGAAAGAATTCAGGGCGAGTCCACAGAATAAGGTGAAAGCAATTTTATCTGGAAAGCAAAAGAAAAAAGAATAGCTGCTCCATAGCATAGGCAGAGCATAGGGCCTCATTTCAAGCAGCCGTTATTCAAGATGGAGTGACTCTGGTTCCAATACCTCTCACAACAGCACAGGGGAGCAGAGTGAAACGTGGGGGATCTGGTGTTGAGTGCCCACGTGAAACAGAAGGCACGAGGGGCCACCAAGCACTGAGACTCCTGAAAGGTGAATGAGAAAGTCTCCTTGAACAGGAGGGAAGTGAAACTCCATCTGCCAGCCTGTGGTAGCAAGGCTTGTAAACCCAGTTGTGGCCCCTCCTCTGTGCACGCTCCCTTCATTTGGATTCCTGACATCCGCCCTCCCTGGGGTCTTTCTGCTCCCTGTTGCCTGGGGCACCTGGTCTCTGCACGTGAACTACATCCAGGGCTCAGGGCTCAGCCTACTCCTGTCTTTCCTTTCCTTGCCTCCTTGGTAACTTCATGGAACCACATGGCTTTAAATATTAGTTATCTGTTGATTATCGGTTTATATCTCAGCCCCAAATCTTTCCCAGTAAACTGCATTTTCTTTCACCCAAAGCCCTTCTTTTTGCCATTTTAATGTTTCCTGCGTGTCTCACACATGACCTCCCAGAGTTGAAGCCCTGTTTGTTCTACACAAATCTGCTCCTGTTGTCTGCCTTTCTCAGTGAACCTCAACTTCAACCAGGCCCTGGGGCGTCATTTCTCTTGCACCTCATTTCAGGCCTGTCAGCAAATCACACTGGCCATCATTCAAGTGACAACCTTTGATAAACTCATCACTTTTACCACCCTCTGTTCAGGTCACCACCAGCATCAGTGAAGAGCATCCTCAGGGTGTCTCCGTTTTTGTCCCAGTCCTTTGAGGATCTGTTATCACCACAGACAGCAAGTTAGTGCTTATAAATAGGTTACATTATGCCCTCTGCCTCTTAGCCCTCCCACGGCTTCCCAAACTCAAGGGAGAGCCAGTCCACAGTCACTCAGGGAGCCCCCTTTCTGCATCATCATGCGTCCCAGGGTCATCTCCTGCTGCTCCCTCCTCCCCCAAGCACTTTGCTCTGGTCCCACAGACTCACGTCTTCTGGACCCCAAAATCTGTGGGCTGCTTCCTATGCCTAGAGCCCATTTACTGCTCTTCCTTAGGCTCTTGCTTAAATACCCAATTACCTAGGAGGATTTACCTTCATATCATATCTTAAATTTGGCATGAATACATTAGACTATAAATAAATAATTAAAACATCTCCCTTGCTTTAACTTCTGTATTCCTCGTGTCACTTATCTGACAGACAATACAATTAATTTACTTCTTTTGTTTTTTACTTTATTTTGTTTTGCACCACCAATAGAATATGAGCTCTGTAAATGCAAAAATGTTTACTGTTTCAGTCACAACTTGAGTCTCCACATTTAGGTTAGTGTCTGGCACAGGGTCACAGTTCAATAAACATTTGTTGAATGAATAAATGAATGACAGTGAGTACTGTACCTAACAAGATAGTGCTGAGGTTTCTTAAAAGTGAGTGGAGACCTAAGTCCTGAGAGTAACATATATAAAAGAAAACTACTTAAATGCACATAGAGACATATCCTACTAAAACTGCAGAATGTTAAAGGAAAAGGTTTTCTATTATTTAGTAGGCACTAGAGATTTGAATAAGTTTATTATCATTAATTTTTTTGTTTTTTTAGAGACAGGATCTCTCTCTCTCTCACCCAGGCTGGAGTATAGTGGTGCCATCATAGCTCACCGTAACCTTGAACTCCTGGGCTCAAGTGATCCTCCCACTTCAGTCTCTCAAGTAGCTAGGACTACTGAAGACCATCAACATGCACAGTTAACTTTTTATATTTTGTAGAAATGGGATCTTGCTATATGGCCCAGGCTGCTCTCTAACTTCTGGCCTCAAGCAGTTCTCCTGCTTCAGCCTCCCGAGGTGCTGGAATTACAGGCATAAGACACTGTGCCTGACTTAAAAGTGAGTAAATTTAAATACTGACTCATTTATATATATTAAAATGTTAAGCAACTACTGAAGGAATATATAACCAAAACAAGTTCAAAAATAAAATAAAGAAAACTTGATCTACCAGTTAAAGTCAGAGATGGAAAAAAATCTAACAAAGGAAAATATGACAAAAATAAAACAAAAATGGAAAAAAAGTAAAAATAAATTCAAATACAATAAAATTCACAACAACAGTTAACAGGTGAAGCATGACTTCTAAATTTCCAGTTCTCAGCTTGGATTGTAAGCTCCTGTCATGATTATTAAAATATTAAAGCACATGGATGCTGACAGAATACATAAAAAAGCTATAAGGAGAAAACACCAATCTGAAAAATATGATGTAGTATATTAACACTGTACTAATAAAGAATGTAAGGATAAAGAACCAATGGGTTCAAATGAATAAATGAATAGGGAAATATGATAATCCTGAAAATACTTGTAACTGAGAAGAGAGGCTTAATATATAAAAAGCAAAATCTAATATGCAAAAGGCTAAACTGACACACAATTAAGTATCTCCATTAATTACAAATAAAGAAGCAAAAAAACTTGATATAATAAACACCCAATAATTAGAAAAAATAAGAGAAAACACAATATATTTAGAAAAACTGACAAAACTTGAGTCCACAGAGCAAGTTTCATCTAATATTATTATTAACATCTCACAGGAAATAACGAAATGAAGTTAAATATGACAAAGATCTACAAAATTGAAAAAAGAGTGGTTTGAGAAAGTATGGAACATTTAGACCTGATGGAAAATAAAAACATCAAACATATAAATTTGGAGAAAGCTGCTAAAGCAGAACTAGGAATGAAACTTACAGCTTAAATAACTGTATTTAAGGAGCTCAAAATGTAATAAACTAGCAATGCTAATCAAGTGTTTTAAAACCCAAAAGAGAGTAGACACAAATAAAATTTTTTAAAATATGAAAAAATGGCTGGGTGCAGTAGCTCACACCTGTAATCCTAGCACTTTGGGAGGCCAAGGTGGGAGGGTCACTTGAGGTCAGGAGTTCATAACCAACATGGTGAAACCCCGTCTCTACTAAAAATACAAAAAAAAATTAGCTGTGCATGGTGGCAGGAGCGTGTAATCTCAGCTACTTGGAAGGTTGAGGCAGAAGAATCACTTGAACCTGGGAGGCAGAGGCTGCAGTGAGTCAAGATCGTGCCACTGCACTACAGCCTGGGCAATAGAGTGAGACTCTGTCTCAATAAATAAATAAATAAATAAATAAATATAAAATGTAGACAAGATTGTAAACAACTAAGAATATAACAATACTACAAAAACACAAGAGCTGAAGCACAATTTAATAGGATTAAATATAGAAGAGCCAAGGCACAATTTAATAAGATTAAATATAGAATTGGACAAGTATTATGACTATAATATTTGTTTATCCATAGTTTAGTTACATTATGACTATGGATAAACCCAAGATTTTTTAAAATACAAGAAAATACTATGAACAGCTACACCAATAAATTAAAAAATAAATGAAAAATTCATTCTATAGCTTAGAAAAAATCATTCTATAGCAACAAAACTGACTCAGAATAAGAAACTAAAAAGGACTTATAATCAATAAATATTGAGTATTTACTCTACATGGGTATACACACACATACTATCACTGAGAAATTAAGACCTTTGCTGATCCAAGTACTTAGGAAAGTTTTCCTAAATTACTAGGGATTCAAATCCTATTTTATACCAAGTGTTCTAGGGCATAGAAATGAAGAAAAACCTTCTAATCTATTTTATCATGATTATATAGCATTGATATCTCCAACAAGAAAATAATATAAAAGCATTCTGAATAAATGTTTGTTTGCCCAATTCTTCAATTTATGTAAAATCAGCAAATTATTACCAGTTAGGTTTACCATTTATAAATTATTTAACATTTATAAATTCATTGGTATAATTTACCATTGACAAACAGGAGAATAATCGTGACCATCTCAACTGAGACAGAAAAAATATTTAATGAAATCCAATATTTCTTTCCATCAAAGGAGCACAGAAAATTTCTGTATTATCTGTAGAAACCTTAACAAACGTCATACATATTGATGACTTGCTAGATGCATTCCTTTCACAGCCAGGAAGCAGATAAAAGTCCTACTATCATAATGTCTGCTTACATTGTACAGGACATCCTACAGAGAAAACTGAGATGAGAAAAGCAATAAGAAATGTAAGGACAGAATGGAAACTTGTCATTATCTGCCAATAAGATGAATATCTACATAGAAAATCCAAGGGAATCTACAATTCATCAGGTCTACTTAGACTGTTCAGCAAGTTTCCTGGCTGTTAAATCAATACAAAAAGTTGTTAGCATGCCCTTACACCAGCCTTAAACGATAATTTGAGAAATGTCTCAAATATATTCATTTTGTCATCTGGGTATTCATCTGTCCCAGTTTTGTGCCAATTTTGGTATTGTTTATTTGTGGATTTAAAAAAATATATAGTTTTATTTTTTAATTTCCAAGAGCTCTTTTTTTCCTGTCTGCTCTGATCATTCCTTTCCTGAATATCCACTGAAAATTAAGACTTTTACTGAGTTAGGGCCAGATGCAGTGGCTCATGCCTGTAATCCCAGCGCTTTGAGAGGCCGAAGCAGGAGGATTGCTTGAGCCCAGGAGTCTGAGACCAGCCTGCGCAAGATGGAGAGACACTATTTATACAAAAAATAAAAATAAAAATAAATTAGCTGGGCATGGTGGTGCGCGCCTAGAGTTCCAGCTCTTAGGAGGCAAAGGTGGGAGAATCCCTTGATCTCAGGAAGTCAAGACTGCAGTGAGCTTATGATCGCACCACTTCATTCCAGCCTGGGCAAGATCTCATCTCTGTCTCTCTTTTTTAAGACTCCTAACTGAGTTTGGATATAAACATATCATTAAAATTGATGTGAATATCTGTTGTAGCCAATTTCAGGAGAAAAGACAGATTCACATCTCACATATTTCCTACCTGTATTTTTCAGTTCCAATCCCTCAGAATCCCTCAGCTTTCTCATGCCTTGTGTCTGAGAAGGTTGACCTGAACAATCTCTAGGACCTTCCCACCCTCCAAAACAAAAGTTAAAAAAATAAACAACAAAACATCCCCAGGAGAAATTCAGCTACGATCAGTGCCACAATAAAAGTCCTGAGAAGTGCGAAGTGTGGGATGGTGAGTCGTATCTCTTTTTCTGGTAACTTTTTTTGTAGTGCAAGACTAGAGGAGTCCTGAGAATGGGGATAAATTCAGACAAGCTCTATGAAGTACAAGTGCCACACATGTCTTGAAAATGATGACAACAGATTGGGGTAAACCCCATGATGTGACCCTCGCAATCCTGTGTAGAGCGAGATGTGGTATTTTTTTTTATTGGATGTAAGTCCTGGCTTCCGGTAGGTAGCAATGTAGCTATTGACTTGATGATTTTTTTCCCCCACTTTAGTACCATTAGTGAGGGAAATTAGGATAACTTTGCAGGACAGGACCCACAGGAAAATTGCCCCTGGGCTGTCTCAACTCCCTTGCTTTCTCTCAAACTCTAGTTTGGAGGAAACTTGACCTACCCACGGAACATCACACTCTTCTTTACTTTGATGATATCAGGCTCACTGAACCTGATGGGCACAGGTAACCATACCCCAGAGGCCTGAATTGTGTATGTCGGTACCTAGGATAGGAGATCAACCCTGCAGAAGCTTAGAGATGTGGTGGCATTTATTCTAGAGTGAGTTGTTTCTATGGATTGCACCCCTTTGCTCCAAGACGACAGACTCTGAGATGAAGACTCACCTGCAGGCAGCTCACTGTATTGAACTCTTCTGATCAACACTTTGTGAGGAAGAAAGAAAAACAGGACATGGTAGGGTGCGATTCAGCCTCCCAAAGGGCTTAGCCAATCATATGGATAGGTCTGCAAGATGATGTGGGCCTTCAGAGTTGTCCTGGGGCAAGAAGACCTGGCCTTTTATATCCTGTACTGACCTGGTGTTGGACACAGGTTGACTCTAGGAGAAGGATGTGACTTTGTGTGACCTTGGAGAAAGCCTGCAACCATTCTTTCTGCTAAAAGCCTTCCTAGCTTGGTGGGTTTCTTTAGATTTTAGAGGCAACAAATGCCATATATGTATATATATATTCCTGTTTTTGCCCATTTAAGTGTAATTGCAGGACTGTCAGTTTTGAGCAAGGTGAGGGATCAAGAAAAGTTTCTGAGGCAGATCCAGGCAGCCACCCTGCCATGTACACCTTATGACCCAGCAAAGCCACAAGAAGTGTTTATGGAAAATAATATACTCTTGTCTAGGGAGCCCTCAGAAAGCCTTGTTAGGAGAGTCACAGCACAGCCCCTGAGAGTTTGGTGATGAGCCATACCTGCATTTCCCTGCACTGTAAAAGCAGTGCCTGGCTTGTTCCAAGCCTGCTGGAGACTGAATAATTTATTACAGGACACTATGTAGCCATGTAACCCTAATTTTCTGTGATGAACTATTTGCTTCCTGATGCTCCAAACCTTAAAGCTAGATTTGTATTAAAATATTACATGATAAAATGGAAGTGATAAAAAATTAGATGAGGCCTGAACAGGGACAGAAAGGCCAACTAAACACACAAAAAAAGCAAGTGGCTCTGATGTCCATGGCAACCTGATTGTACTGCTTCACTGCTTTTTCCTCCCACACCTGCGGTCTAATGAGGAATTCCCCATGACCAGTTAATGGAAGAGAATGAAATTTGATCTCATCCACAGACAGACCTGCACAGGACAGAAACACCAACCCTGAGAGGGTGGACACCATGCCACAGCCTCACAGAGGTAGCTCTGCAGACAGGGAAGATACATCCTGGGAGTAGGCTGAGCACTGGGTGATGTTCCTGGTTTTATGAGAGGATGAATGGTTAGGGATATAGCTCTACATTAATTCCCATGTTCTAGTTTATCCTTCTTAGCTGTGTCATTTGTTTCTCATTATATTAGTCCCTTCTCTTGCTGCTATAAAGAAATCCCTGAGACTGGGTAATTTATAAGAAACGAGGTCTATTTGGCTCACAATTCTGCAGGCTGTACAGGAAGCATGGTTGCATCAGCTTCTGGAGAGGCCTCAGGGAGCTTTTACTCATGGCAGGTGGCAAGGTAGGAACAGGCGTCTTACATAGCAGGAGCAGGACCAAGGGATAGAAAGGAGAGGTGCTACACAGTTTTAAACAACCAGATCTCATGAGAAATCACTATTGTGGCAACAGCACCAAGGCTGGATGATGTTAAACCATGAGAAACCACCACAATCATCCAATCACCTCCCAACAGGCCCCATGAGAATCCGCCACAATCATCCAATCACCTCCCAACAGGCCCCACCTCCAGCACTGGGGATTACATTTCAACATAAGATTTTGTTGGGGACAGAGACCCAAACCATATAACCCATACTTGTCCTATATGAACACCCTGGCAATTCCTCAAATTTTAGGTTTCAGGAGGCAAGGCCAGATTGACATCACTCTGCAAGTAGTTGATGAGACTTTGTACATTCCCCATGTGGGGGGCAACAGGAGTGGTCTGTTATTTACCCTCCAAATTTTCTTTCTACTCTTCTCCAATCTGCTTCCTGCAGCAGAAGCCCAAGCTGTATAAATTTCATCAAAGAGCCCCTATGCCCCTGGCTCCTGGCTGGATTTGGCCAATCCTAACAGGACATGGGATGGGGAACAGTGAGTAAGTCTGGGTTTATAAACCTCTGTCTTCTCCCTGTGAAGATACCTCCAGCTAGGTGTGTCCTTAGCAAAGGTTACTGCCCCGGTATGTGGACTGTGCTGTAAAACACTCTCTCTGGGGACCAGTCACTTCTTCCCTGCACCTCTGGCCTAGAAGTGGTTACAGCTCTGCTGCTACTAAGGTTCAGGATGCTACACCATCCCTTGTGGTTCTCCTATGCCCACACTCTTGTTAAATATTCCTTTGTTGAAACTTTCCCTGAATCAAATGGCTATTATTAAAAAGTCAAAAAATAACAGATGCTGGTGAAGTTGCAGAAAAAAAGGAACACTTATACACTGTTGGTGGGAGTGTAAATTAGTTCATCCACTGTGGAAAGTAGCGTGGTAATTTCTCAAAGAGCTAAAAACAGAACTAACATTCAACCCAGCAATCCCACTACTAGGTATATACCCAAAGGAATATAAATCATTCTACCATAAAGACACATGCATGTATATGTTTACTGCAACACTATTCACACTAGCAAAACCATGGAATCAACCTAAATGGCTGCTAATGGTAGACTGGATAAGGAAAATGTGGTACATATACACCATGGAATACTATGTAGCTATAAAAAAAGGATGAGATCTTGTCTTTTGCAGAAACATGGATGGAGTTGGGGATCTTACCCTCAGCAAACTAACACAAGAACAGAAAGTCAAATACTGCATGTCCTCATTTATAAGCTGGAGCTAAATAATGAGAACATATGAATACATAGAGGGGAACAACATAAACTGGGGCTTACTTGAGAGAGGAAGGAGAGGATCAGAAAACATAACTGTTGGGTACTATACTTAGTACCTGAGTGATGAAATAACCTGTACACCAAGTTCCTGTGACATGAGTTTGCCTATGTAACAAACCTGTACGTGTACCCCTGAACCTAGCATAAAAGTTAAAAACAAAAGCCCTCCCTGAATTACTCCTTTTCTCTGTTCATTTTCTTTCCTATGAGGATATAGCTCTCAGACATTACTAAAACTGAAAAGACATTGCCATTGGTGATGATCAGTTAACATTACATGAGCATCTGAGGAAGAGACAGAGGACTTATACAGGAGGAAGCTGATGATTAGCTCCTTGTTCAAGAGCTGGCCTCTGACAGAGGAGTGGGATTGGTACATGTGGAGAAGCACTAGTGTGCTCCAGATAGAAATAATGATGTCAACAATGGAGATGGATGTGTTTGGGGCATGTGCCATGACAATGGAGACTGGTGATTGACTGTGGTGTATGGTCTGAAAAGAAGGAAGAGAGAAAACACAACTGGATCTGTGAGGGGAGGGCTAGGGAATTAATCACTTGGATACTGGACAGTAATTGAAGATGTGACAAGACACAGCAGGGCTCCAGGCTGCAGAGAGAGACAAGTGATTAGAATGCAGCCAGGGAAGGTGAGAATTAATGTGAGTCAAGCCTTAGGCATCAACGGTGAGGATGTGGAGGAATGAGGGTCTGCAGTTCCGACTGTGGCTGGGGTCCGAGGCATTGAGAAGAAATAGTGTGTGATGTGAGTTCCTGTGCAACATGTGTGATCTGCTGAGGTCTCACCTGGAATTCAAGGCAGCCCTTATCCCATCTACATCAGGATTCAGCTACACTTGCTGAAGTGACCCGTGTGCAACCCTGAAATTCTGGAGTAAACAGTCATAAATTACGATTTGTCCTTTTCTTCAACTCCCAACATCAGGAAGCACCCTGCATCATTGCAATAAGAAGTGTAGAATGACTAAGAAAAATAAATCTGGCAGACCCCAGGGTGCTAGCAAGGTGGTTCCTGGATGGGGCCTGAGAGGAGAGGGGAGAAACCTTTGAAGTCAAATGAAATAATGTACTTGGGTGAAAGTAAATCATCCTGGCAAAGCCTGATTGTATAATCTTTATTTAGTTGACGTAGCTCAGATAAGCAAGTCTTTCATTCCCCCACCAAATGTGTAAACTTTACTTAAGCTTACAACCAACACCCAGTTGCATCTGCTGCTGCTGCTCCCTTGCTCTTGCAACACTCCAGGTCCTGACCTTCTTTTTCTAGGCAAATACGTGTGATCCCACATGGTCCATATGGCCTCAAATGTCATTCTATCCATGTTGTTATGTGAGTTTATCATCAACAAGTACTTTTTTAAAGTACGTGCGTGGTTTTTCCATTGTGAAAGGCAACAAGTTTGAAATCTGAAATCTGAGACCCAGAAATATTGAAGAGCAGAAGGAGGAAGCTAGCAGAACACAGGTAGGGTGGTAGGGAAGAATTACTCAAAGGAGAAAAAGCAGCTTTATCAAATTTAGAGTAATGTTTACAGTGTGAGTCTGTGTTTTTTAGTAAGATAAGTGAACAACAGCAACAAACCCTCTGAATCTGTTTCATCTATCTGTGTACATGGAAACTAAACTAGAAGCAGAGTTGAAAATTACCAACTTTTTCTGTGAGCCTTTTCATCATCTGGCCATATAGTTCTACTCCTAATTAGTAGTGATCTTTTATATTCAGTTTGATGCTTTATCCTCACAACCACCATTTATTTTTATAGGACAGAACCTCTCATTCCTATTTTGAAGATAGGGAAACTGAGGCCCAAAGAGCTAACATGAATTTCCCAAAGTCACAGATTTTTATTACCTTCCCTTATTGTTATTTTCTGTAGCTTAAATGCCCTTGTAAGCCTCATGAGGAGACAGGGCTTCAAAGTCCACTGTGGAGAATTGAGGAAAGGAGACAGTCAGCCTGCTGGTTGAGTGTCCTGGCACTGGAGCCACAGGGACTTCCATTAGAGCTCCAGCTCCACTCACATACCATGGGACTTTGGGCAAATTATTTGTTTTCCTTGTCTTTGTTTCCATGTCTGTGACCTGTGGGCAACAATATTGCCAGCATCAATGTGTAGTTGTGAAGCTGAATGGAAAATGCATGTTGCACACCTCCAATGTGCCTGGCACACAGTAAACCCTCAATCAGGTGCTAACTGGTAAAGGAATGTGTTACTATCACCTCTATAAATAAAGATTCAGAGACTGCCTGCCAACACAGGCTGAACTCGATGGCACATCACGTGGGTATATGGTCCATTAATAATAATTCTCATCTTAGGAATAAGATATTTTAGAGTGAAAAGACATGGAAACACTCAAATGCAGATAATACAATGGCAACCAAAACAAATGCCACTAGCAATGGCACTTCTGTTGTAGTCAGACTTTGCCATATAATGGGAACAGTTAAAACTGTATATTAAAGCTGACCAAGTGTACTCAGTTATGGTTAGAACATCCTATTTCTGATGCCAATTCTTTCAAGCACCTCTTATGGACTCTGTTGACAGGGGAGAGATTTCTACCCTAGGGTCATGTATGAACACACAAAACCCTAAAATGGATAGATGAGGTCGACATTAGTGTGTAGTCCCATATACTCACAGTCTGAAGGTGGACACTGCCTGTCACATAGGGCCACAGGGTGGCTCTTGGGAACATGGTGAACAAACAGGGTCTGGGGGAGGATGACTTTGTAGTAACAAGAGGGTGAGGTGTCCCCTGGTTTCTATGGGAGGATGTGTTTGGCTTGTTTGCTTGTTTGAAAAATTATGAAGGCTGGCAGGAAACTGGAACCTGCTGCTCAGGGATAAGAAGGAACTGTTTCTGGTCTCTGTGATAGGAAGCTTTGTTTGTTATGAAGGCCTTACCTGTGGGAGCAAAATGGGATCCATTCATTCTCCTAACTCTAGGAGAGCCAAGAGTTAGACCATCAAACTTCTCCTGGTTTCACCAAATATCAAAACACACATAATACTATGCCTTACATTTAGAACTTTTGCCACACCTGAACAATGAGTAAAATCCCTCCTCAACCAAGGCACACTATCACATTTCAGACTGTAGAGGTGAAGAGAAGATCCTATGAAATCTTATTCAAGTATAAAGGATTAGAAAACCTTTAGACTTTTTAATAACATTGTTAGTATCCAGAAATTTATGGAGAGATGCTCTCAACATTATAAAATAAACTGACTTTTGATGTAGAAATCGACAAACAGTGGTAGTAACAAGTGTGAAAATAGAATAAAAACATTTTAAGACATAGAAGTCTTCAGGAATATACTTCTCATTCATTCTTTCTCAGGAAGTTTCTAGAGGCTGTCTTTCACCAAAACATGGTATTAGACAAAAAATGAAAATATGCAAAATAGAGAAAGCAGATATTCAACTCAAAAAGAAGTGAAATAATTTTCCAGCTTGCTGGCAAAAGGAAATCTTTAAACCTCCTCTGATTATCAGTTGCAGAGAGCAGCTAATTCAAGTTAGAGATGGAGGGCTCCAGAAGAGATTTTCCAGCAAGATAGGAGAAGGACGAAAGTCACAGAGGAAAAGAAAATAACTGCTAAAGCTGAACATGGTGAAAGAATGCTTAAATAATTATGGTAATGTTTGTGTTAAGTAAATAATGATTCTATTGAAAATTAATCAACTAAACAACAGTAAAACAACCCAAATAAACATTAACATCAAAAGCATAGTAAAGTTCTGCAGAAAAGATCAATTTAAATATATTATTAGGCCTAGCTGTAAATTTTTGTTTAACAAAATAATGTAAACACTTAGTATTTACCTAACAAATATTATGTTTAATGCCTAGGGAAGTAAACTGAAAAAGGTGTGACATAAGAACAGGGAGGATGATAAAGAACATTAAATCTTTGTACTTAGTAGGACTGAAATATATGCTAGTTAAAACTGCATAAGAATACCAATACAGCTATATAGTTTAGAGACATGACATTAAATATGAAAAGGATTGCTAAAGAAGTTCATAGTGGTTACCTCTGTGGAGCATAAGACATTCGGAAAAGGAAATAGAGACTTGTTTTCATTAAAAAAAAAAAAAGCCTTGTAGAATTACCTGACTATTTAATCATTGTGTATTCACCACCTCAATTAAAGATAAAAACACATATTTTTGTTTCTAAAGAAGGGCATTTAGTAACATTCAATGTCATTGATGATAAAATTTCTGAGATTTATTAATAAAAGGAGGCTCTCTAATCTGACAAAATTCTATCTTATCACTAGCTATAGAAAGCATTGTATTAAAAAAATTATATTTATTTTATTTTCTATTAAAAATTATATTTATTTTTTGCATTATTATAATAATAGGTGTAATATAATAACAAAACAGGGATTATTTCTATTATCATTAATGATCAGCATAATTCAAGGTGTATTGAGCAATACAATTAAAAATACAAAGACATAGAAAAACTATGCTTGGAGGAAAAGAGTTAAAACAGTAATTATTTTCTGGTAATATATGGAGAATATCAAATCAATAGAAAAAAGTATTAGAAGTCATAAGGGAGTTCAACAAAGTTACTGAACAAAATACTATATTATAAAAATCAAAATGCCACTCCAAAACTGTGCTAGCTTAAGATAAAATATAATAGAAAATGATATACCACTCATAATTGCAAATAAAAACTACACATAACAATATAACAAAAAATTCACAAAAAGGAACATTTAAAAATTCTAATTATGTTTTTAAAATGAATTAATAGGTGTACCATGTTCATGGATGTAACAATCACCTCATAAAGGGATCAGTTCTCCAGATTGTTTTATCATTTAATGAAATTAAATTTAAAATGATAGATTTAGTGTATGCATTTGATCAACTGACTCTGAAATTTACATACAAGAATAACATCCTAAGAATTGATAAGACAAAGTTCAAAAAGCAAAGCAGTAAGAAATAATCACCATACTTCATATTAATAAATACTATAAAGTCATAGTAATGAACAGAGTACTGTACTATTGTAAGAACAAACAGACTAGTATCACATTTTAAGAGACCACAGTAACATATCTATGGATTAATAGAGACTTGGTGATAATAGAGTTGACATCATAAATACGTTTTTAAAGAACATATTATACAGAAAGTGGGGCTGCAATATTGGTCATGTATGTAGTGAAGAAAACGAGAGTGTAACTTCCCAAAATACAAAGGATTGTTTAGCTGGAGACAGTTAAGGTACAGAGAAGCTCTCTGCTTCCCTCTCTGTGCAAAAGCAGGACAAAGATTTACAAAGACAAAAGGTCTTTCCACTCTCCTCCCCATTTTTTTTCACTTAAAGACAGAATATAAATTTTCCCGTACTGTAGACAGCCTTAATCAGCCCAGAAATGGAGCCAGAGGAGTCTGTGAGCAGAATTTATT
Source organism: Homo sapiens (assembly GCF_000001405.40). Lineage (NCBI taxonomy): Eukaryota > Metazoa > Chordata > Mammalia > Primates > Hominidae > Homo > Homo sapiens. The sequence continues at coordinate 46,508,771 of NC_000007.14, read as the reverse complement.
CCATTAGTGTCTGCCCATAAATTTACCTTCCTACAGTTTTTCTGCCTTTGGAAGCCTGGGACTGCTTTTCTTTTTGTCCCATTGCTTCTCTTAAATTTATTACCCTTTGTTGAAGATCTTAGATAAACTGAAACTCTAAGCAGATACCTTGAGTTATGTTTCTCCAACTTGGTATGTACTGCACGTGTCAATAAACTTGCTTGTTTTACTCTTGTTAATCTGTCTTCTGTTGCAGGAGTCTGTCCAAATTATGAATTAAGGAGGGTTGAGAAAAAATATAATTTCTCCCCTTCGGTAGAAAAAATAAAAATAGCTACCTGTCACACATCATGTACAAATTTGATCTCTAGGTGGGTTCAACACTTAATTGAGAATGGTAAATTTCCTACATATACATATATATGTACAACTTTTATACGTACATATATGCATATATATTCACATATTTAGATATACATGCACATCCATTCATTTATATACTGTATATATACAACATATATACACACATATGTATACTACATGAGTACACAAACACACATATGTATATACTATGTGGGTATGTGTGTGTGTATAATTATTTCTATGCAGAGTGTGAAGTGACATTTTATTTTGGCTTCAATTTCATTTATTTGATTATCAGTGAGATAGAATGTCACTTGATTTACTTGTTTGTGGTAGGCAGAACTCTAAATTAAACCCCAAATTTATGGCCCATGTTGTGTATACACAATCTCCCAGTTAATTACTGCTACCCAGATGTTACTGTAATGAGACTTTGCATACTTAATTAAAATCCCAAATAAGTTACATTTAAAAAGGTGCTGACTTAATCAGGTGAGACCTTAAAAGGGACTAGGTTCTTTATGGCAACGGCGATTCAACACATGAGAGGATAATGCATAAAAGTGTTTCTCCTCTCCTGGAAAGATCCATGTGTCAAGGAGTGTGGGCAGCGTTTGGGAGCTGAGACCAGTTCCCAGCTCAGTCAGTAAGAAAGCAGGGATCTCAGTTCAACCATCGCAAGGAACTGGATTTGGCCAGCCATCTGAATGAGCTTGAAAGAGGATTCTTCCCCAGAGCATCCAGAAAGGGACACAGTCTGGCCAGTGCCTTGATTTTAGCCTTACAAAGATCTAAACAAAGAACACAGCCAACCATACAAAGATGTCTTATCTACAGGACTTTGTGCTAATAAATGAGAGTTGTTCTAAGCCACTAAGTTTGTGGCAATTTGTTATGCATCAGTAGAAAACAGAACATTTGGGGTTTTACATGAATAATTTGTTGATAAATATTTTTGTCCATCTTGAGAGGAGGTTCTTATTGATTTTTAAAAAATATTTATATTACAGATATTAATAAGAATGTGACATATATATTCTTTCAGCCTATCACCATTTGTTTTCTTTTTTAAAAAATATTTTATTTTTTATTTTTTTGGGTACATAGTAAGTATATATACTTATGGGGTACGTGAGATATTTTGATACAAGTATGCAAGGTGAAATAATCACATCATGGAGAATGGGATATCCATCCCCTCAAGCATTTATCCTTTGTGTTGCCAGTTACACTCTTTTAGTGATTTGAAAGTGTACGATTGTTATTAACTAAAGTCACCTGTTGTGGTATCAAATAGTAAGTCCTATTTACTCTTTCTATTTTTTTTGTACCCATTAACCATCAACAGCTCACCCTGAGCCCCTCCATTACTTTTCTCAGCCTCTGTTAACTATCCTTCTACTCTCTATCTCCAAGAGTTCAATTGTTTTGATTTTTAGATACCACAAATAAGTGAGAACATGTGAGGCTTGTCTTTCTGTGCCTGGCTTATTTCACTTAACATACTGATCTCCAGTTCCATTCATGTTATTGCAAATGATAGAATCTTATTTCTTTCTGTGACTGAATAGTAACTCCATTGTGTATATGTACCACATTTTCTTTATTCATTCATTCATCTATTGATGGACATCCAAATCTTGGCTACTGTGAACAGTGCTGCAACAACATAAGAGTGCAGATATTTATTTGATATACTGATTTCCTTTCTTTTGAGTATATACCCAGAGGTGGGATTGCTAGATTATATGGTAGCTCTATTTTTAGTCTTTTGAGGAACCTCCAGACCGTTCTCCATAGTGATGGTAAATTATATTCCCACCAACAGTGTATGAGTGTTCCCTTTTCTTCACATCCTTGCCAACATTTGATATTACCTGTCTTTTGGAAAGAAGCCATTTTAATCGGGGTGAGATAATATCTCATTGTAGTTTTGATTTGCATTCCTCTGACTATCAATGATGATGATCACCTTTTCGTATGCCTGTTTGCCATTTGTATATATTCTTTAGAGAAATATTCAAATATTTTGCCCATTTTCATCATATTATTAGATTTTTTTCCTATAGAGTTATTTGATCTCCTTATATATTCTGGTTATTAATCCCTTGTCAGAAGACTAGTTTGCAAATATTCTGTGGGTTTTCTCTTCACTTTTTTGATTGTTTTCTTTGCTGTACAGAAACTTTTAACTTTATGTGATCCCGTTTGTCCATTTTTGCTTTGGTTGCCTGTGCTTTTGGGTATTGTTCAAGAAATTTTTGTTCAGACTAATGTCCTGTATATTTTTTCCAAGTTTTCTTGTAGTAATTTAGTAGTTTGATGTATTAGATTTCATTACTTAATCCATGTTGGTTTTATTTTTGTATGTGGTGGGAGATAGGGGTCTAGTTTCATTCTTCTGCATATGGATATCCAGTTTTCTTAGCACCATTTACTGAAGACACTGTCTTTTCCCCAATGTATGATCTTGGCACCTTTGTCAAAAATGAGTTCACTACAGGTGTGTGGGTTTGTTTCTGAGTTCTCTATTCTGTTCCATTGGTCTATGTGTCTGTTTTTATGCCAGTACCATGACGTTTTGTTTATTATAGCTCTGTAGTAGAATTTGAAGTCAGGTAATGTGATTCCTCCAGCCTTGTCCTTTTTACTTAGGATAGCTTTGGCTCTTCCGTGTCTTTTGTGGTTCCATATAAACTTTAGGATTGTTAAATTTACACAATTTTTCTGTGAATAATGTCATTGGTATTTTTATAGGAATTGCTTGAATCTGTAGGTTGCTTTGGGTAGTATGAACAATTTAACACTATTTATTCTTCCAACCCATGAATATGGAATATGTTCCCAGTTTTTGTGTCCTTTCCAATTTCTTTCCTCAGTGTTTCATAGTTTGCATTATACAGAACTTCCACTTCTTTGGTTAATTCTTAAGTATTTAATTTTATTTATGTCTATTGTAAATTAGGCAATATTTTTTCCAGTTGCTCTGTTGGCATTAGAAATGCTACTGATTTTTGTATGTTGACTTTGTATCCTGCAACTTTACTGAATTTTTAAGTTCTCATAGTTTTTTGGTAGAGTCTGTAGGTTTCTCCAAATATAATATGATATAATCTGCAAACAAAGATAATTTGAATTCTTCCAAGGAAAGGCTTTCAGTTTTTTCCCATTCAGTTTGATACTAGCTGTGGATCTGTTGTATATGGCTTTTATTATGTTTAGGTATATTCCTTGTATACCCAGTTTTTTTAGAGTTTTTATCATGAAGTGGTGTGGCATTTTATCAAAATGCTTTTTCAGTATCAATTGAAATGATCATATGGTTTTTATTCTTCATTCTGTTGGTATAATGTATCACATTAATTGATTTGCATATGTTGAACCATCCTTGCATCCCAGGGGTAAATCCCACTTGGTCATGATGAGTGATCTTTCTAATGTACTGTTAAATCCAGTTTGCCAGTATTTTATTGAGGATTTTTGCATCAATGTTCATCAGCAAAATTGGCCTGTAGCTAGCTTGCTTTCTTTCTCTTTCTTTCTTTCTTTCTTTCTTTCTTTCTTTCTTTCTTTCTTTCTTTCTTTCTTTCTTTTTTTCTTTTTCTTTCTTTCTTTCTTTCTCTTTCTTTCTTTCTCTCTTTCTTTCTCTTTTCCTTTCTTTCTCCCTCTGTTTCTCCCTCTTTGTTCCTCCCTCCTTCCCTCCTTCCCTTCCTTCCTTCCTTCCTTCCTTCCTTACTTCCTTCCTCCCTTCCTCCCTTCCTCCCTTCCTCTCCTCCTTCTTTCTTTCCCACCTTCCTTCTTTTTGTGTCTTTGTCTGCTTTTGCTATCAGGATGATCCTGGTCTCATAGAATTCATTTGGAATTATTCTCTCCTTGTTTATTTTTTGAAATAGTTTGAGTAGGATTAGTATTAGTTCATCCTTAAATGTTTGGTAGAATTCAGCAGTGAAGCCATCAGGTCCTGGATTTTTCTGGTCTCTGTACTTATGTGCCACATGCCTCTTTCTCTGTCACCCATTGTGACCCACAGCAAATCACACACCAAGTCTGATGGCACTGGGCTGGAGAAAGTATGATCATCTTATGATCCTACAATATCCTGAATTGGCAAAGGCTTTACTACAGTTTCACCTGCTGACTTTTTGTTTCTTAATACAATGCAACAATATTTATTTGTATACACACACTATATCCCCCACACAACTCACAGGATTGAGTATGGTGCATATGTACATACTGGGAGGATATATTTGTGGAGTCATTAACTTTCCTCAACCAAGGCCCGGGAACACACAAACATTTTTGGAGACAACTAAGAGAGTGGCCACCTATGTCCTAAAATCTTGTTGGCTATACCAAATCTAGTTTTTTGATCCTTTCAATAAAAGACATTTTGGAACTTAAGAAAATTAGTGTCAATTATAATACAAATTAGTTAAGATTACCATCTTGCCAAGATTTTCTTGAACAATAAAATGAATTTGCTACTTCAAATATGGTCACTGCATTCCTTCATGGCTTTTATTTTCATTGAATGAGAAAGAACAGGTAATTCTGAGATGATCAGAGCTCTTTGTTCCAAAAGCTAAGTCATCTGTCTTTCTCAAGACATTCTTACTATAATAATTATTTTCCTAGAAGTACTGTACATGTAATAGAATTATTGTATGTTCTTTCAACTCTCTTACCCTAGGCATACAGAGATAAATTTGAAGTGGATTGTGGGACACTTGCAACACAGATGAAAGAAGCAACACTCTGTTCTGAGGAAGTGGTCATTGGAGTTTTCTATGTGAAGTGTATGCTCTTCCTTGGCTCCATCATTTAGCATGGTAAGAAAAGCCATGGCAAATCAATTATCTTATAACAGAGCAAAATTGTAGTAGAGATGTATTTGGAGACCAGCCGGAGGATGTGTTGGTGTGATAGTTAATACTGAGTGTCAACTTGATTGGCTTGAAGGATGCAAAGTATTGATCCTTGGTGTGTCTGTGAAGGTGTTGAGAAAAAAGATTAACATTTGAGTCAGTGGGCTAGGAAAGGTAGACCTATCCTTAATCTGGGTGGGCGCCATCTAATCAGCTACCAGTGAGGCTAGGATATAAAGCAGACAAAAAACCATGAAAAGACTAGACTGGCTTAGCTTCCCAGCCTACGTCTTTCTCCTGTACTGGACACTTCCTGCCCTTAAACATCAGACTTCAAGTTCTTCGGCTTTGGGACTTGGACTGGCTTCCTTGCTTCTCAGCTTGCAGATGGACTATTGTGGTACCTTGTGATTGTGTGAGTTTAATACTCCTTAATAAACTCCATACATATACATATATATAATGGATATATATGGAGCTTATTAAGGATATATATATATGGAGTTTATTAAGGAATATGTGTATATATATAGGTGTATGTATGTGTGTGTGTATATATATATCCCCTGTCAGTTCTATCCCTCTAGAGAACCCTGACTAATACAGTTGATTTCCTTTTTTTTCCTGTAGGCTACTGATGTTTTATTTATGGATTTGGATGAGTTTATATATGGCATTGTATATTAAAATAAAATTTTAGGACAAGAAAAAAAATTAAACTACCACAGAGTATAGTGTCCTGAGTTGTGTAATCTTAGGCAGTTTGTCTTTTGGACATAAATGTTCACACCTTCAGACAAAGCAAAACAAAATAGATATTATTCTATCTTTAATAGTAGAGATGTTTAAAATATTTCTTGTTTTCCAATTCTGCCTGCCTTGGAATCAAAACAAGAACTCAAGCCACCCTTTCCCTTTGCTAACTTGGCAGACAATTCATCTAATCTTCCTCAATTGCCTTCATTTAAAGAATGTATAGAGTAGCACATCTTGAAAGCATTATTGTGAGAATCGAATTATATGATGCACACATATAAACTGTGTGTCATTAGTATTAAGAAATATAATTTAGGCATTTGAAAGATGATACTTGTTCATTTTTAAATTTTGCCTGAAAAGAGAAAATTTGATTAAGCTATGCCAAATAAACATTTTCAAATTCAACATTTTTTTTCAATAATTTCAGTTTTTAAATTCATTTCACTTAGGATTTTCTCTCTTTGGCTTAAATCCGTAGTAATATCTATGTTTTAAAGTATCTAGACATTAGATAAATGAACATCTGGTAGGGGTCATGTGTCCTTTTTCCTCACCCAACAGTGACTTCTTCTGCCAGTTCTTTCATCATTGGCGTTCATTCGTATCATTATCTACTAAAATGGCTCAGTCCCAGTTTCCTCTGAAAATTCGTGCTTGTGGATTTGCTGGTGGACTGAAGTTGTTCAAGGATTTACATTTACTATTACTTATTGTGTGTGCAGATATTGTACTATTCTGCCCCAGTGTGCAGTAATTTCAATACATTTTAATGCATGAGACCACACATGTAACTCAAATTCAAAAGAAAATCATTTCATTTGATGAAAATCTCTCTGTTGATTATTTGCAGAACCCAGAATGAGATTTGGTCATCCTGACCAGAGAACCCAACTACACTTTGTATCTACTTTGAGAATAGCTCACATAGTTATTTTCTTAGCAAACACATCTGCAAAAGTATCAAATATACAATGTTGAGAAATTTCACAAAGTGAAAATTTCTCAAATTTCACAAAGGTGCCCAGACTGGCCACTTACCCCAGGGTATAAGTTTTTTAATTGAAGTTTATTCAACCAAGTTTTATTACCACGGGTTGGGGAAAAGCATGTCATTTGAAGGTTAGAGCTCAAGATGGGAGTGTCTTGATAAAATTATTAATATATTATAGTATCTCTTTGGTATCGTCTCCAAGTCACCATTGTTATCAGAAAGGTTAACCGTATAATGTTGATTACTTTTCTTCTCCTCTATTATTGGATGCTTCCTTTAGCTTTCTTTTTACTTTTGTCACAAATTATGGGCTTTTTTATGCTTTACCTTAAAGCAAATTTTTTTAAATTATACTTTAAGTTCTGGGATACATGTGCAGAATGTGAATGTTTGTTACATAGGTATACATGTGTCATGGTGGTTTTCTGCACCAATCAACCTGTCATCTACATTAGGTATTCCTCCTAATGCTATCCCTCCCGTAGCCACCCACCCTTGATAGACCCTGGTATGTAATGTTCCCCTCCCTGTGTCCATGTGTTCTCATTGTTCAACTCCCATTTATGAGTGAGAACATGCAGTGTTTGGTTTTCTGTTCCTGTGTTAGTTTGCTGAGAATGATGGTTTCCAGCTTCACCCATGTCCCTGCAAAGGACATGAACTCACCCTTTTTTATGGCTGCATAGTATTCTGTGGTGTGTATGTGCCACATTTTCTTTAACCAGTCTATCATTGATGGGGATTTGGGTTGGTTCCAAGTCTTTGCTATTGTGAACAGTGCTGCAATAAACGTATGTGTGCATGTGTCTTTATAGTAGCATGATTTATAATCCTTTGGGTATATACCCAGTAATGGGATTGCTGGGTCAAACAGTATTTCTGGTTCTAGAGCCTTGAGGAATCACTACACTGTCTTTCACAGTGGTTAAACTAATGTATACTCCCACCAACAATGTAAAAGCATTCCTATTTCTCCACATCCTCTCCAGCATCTGCTGTTTCCTGACTTTTTAATGATTGCCATTCTCACTGGCATGATACAGTATCTCATTGTAGTTTTGATTTGCATTTCTCTAATGACAGTGATGTTGATCGTTTTTCATATGTTTTTTGGCCAAATAAATGTCTTATTTTGAGAAGTGTCTATTCATATCTTTGCCCTTTTTTGATGGGGTAGTTTGTTTTCATATCTTTGCCCTTTTATGATGGGGTAGTTTGTTTTTTCTTGCACATTTGTTTAAGTTCCTTGTAGATTCTGGATATTAGCCCTTTGCCAGATGGATAGATTGCAAAAGTTTTCTCCCATTCTGTAAGTTGCCTGTTCACTCCAATGATAGTTTCTTTTGCTGGGAAGAAGGTTTAATTAGATCTCATTTGCCAATTTTGGCTTTTGTTGCCATTGCTTTTGGTGTTACAGTCATGAAGTCTTTGCCCATCCCTATGTACTGAATAGTATTTCCTAGGTTTTCTTCTAGGGTTTTTATGGTTTTAGGTCTTATGTTTAAGTCTGTAACCCATCTTGAGTTAATTTTTGTATAAGGTGTAAAGAAGGGGCCAAGTTTTAGTTTTCTGCCTATGGCTAGCCAGCTATCCCAACACCATTTATTAAATAGGGAATCCTTTCCCCCTTGCTTGTTTTTGTCAGGTTTGTCAAAGATCAGATAGTTGTAGATGTGTGACATTATTTCTGAGGCCTCTGTTCTGTTCCACTGGCCTATATATCTGTTTTGGTACCAGTACCGTGCTGTTTTGGTTACTGTAGCATTGTAGTATAGTTTGAAGTCAGGTAGCATGATGCCTCCAGCTTTGGTCTTTTTGCTTAGGATTGTCTTGGCTCTGCAAGCTCTTTTTTAGTTCTGTATGAAATTTACAGTAGTTTTTTATAATTTTGTGAAGAAAGTCAATGGTATCTTGATGGGGATAGCATTGAGTCAATAAATTACTTTGGGCAGTATGGCCATTTTCATGATATTGATTCTTCCTATCCATGACCATGGAATGTTTTCCATTTGTTTGTGTCTTCTCTTACTACCTTGAGCAGTGATTTGTAGTTCTCTTGAAGAGGTCCGTCACATCTTTATTTTTAGCCTACATGTGTCTTTGCATGTGAGATGGGTCTCCTGAATACAGCACACTGATGGTTCTTGACTCCATTCAATTTACCAGTCTGTGTCTTTTAATTGGGGCATTTAGCCCATTTACATTTAAGGTTAATATTGTTATGTGTGAATTTGATCCTGTCATTATGATGCTAGCTGGTTATTTTGCCCATTAGTTGATGCAGTTTCTTCATAGTGTCCATGGTCTTTACAATTTGGTATATTTTTGCAGTAGCTGGTACTGGTTTTTCCTTTCCATATTTAGTGCTTCCTGCAGGAGCTCTAGTAAGGCAGGCCTGGTGGTAACAAAATCCCTCAGCGTTTGTTTCTCTGTAAAGGATTTTATTTCTCCTTTGCTTATGAAGCTTAGTTTGGCTGGATATGAAATTCTGGGTTGAAAATTCTTTTCTTTAAGAATGTTGAATATTGGCCCCCACTCTCTTCTGCTAGTAGGGTTTCTGCAGAGAGATCCGCTGTTAGTCTGATGGGCTTCCTTTTGTGGGTAACTAGACCTTTCTCTCTGGCTGCCCTTAACATTTTTTCCTTCATTTTAAACTTGGTAAATCTGATGATTATGTGTCTTGGGGTTGCTCTTCTCCAGGAGTATACTCGTGGTGTTCTTTGTGTTTCCTGAATTTGAATGTTTGCTTGTCTTGCTAGGTTGGGGATGTTCTCCTGGATAATATCCTGAAGAGTGTTTTCCAACTTGGTTCCATTCTCCCTGTCTCTTTCAGGTACACCAATCAAACGTAGGTTTGGTATTTTCATATAGTCTCATATTTCTTGGAGGCTTTGTTTATTCTTTTTCATTCTTTTTTCTCTAATCTTGTCTTCATGCTTTATTTTATTAAGTTGATCTTCAATCTCTGTTATCTTTTCTTCTGCTTGATCGATTTGGCTCTTGATACTTGTGTATGCTTCTCGAAGTTCTCGTGCTGTGTTTTTCAGCGCCATCAGGTCATTTATGTTCTTTTCTAAACTGATTATTCTAGTTAGCAATTCCTCTAACCTTTTTTCAAGGTTCTTAGATTCTTTGCATTGGGTTAGAACATGCTCCTTTAGCTTGGAGGAGTTTGTTATTACCCACCTTCTGAAGCCTATTTCTGTCAATTTGGCAAACTCATTCTCCATCCAGTTTTGTTCCCCTGCTGGCAAGGAGTTGTGATCCTTTGGAGGAAAGAGGTCTTCTGGTTTTTTTGAATTTTCAGCCTTTTTGTGCTGGTTTTTTCTTATCTTCATGGATTTATCAACCTTTGGCCTTTGATGTTGGTGACTTCGGATGGGGTTTCTGTGTGGACGTCCTTGTTGTTGATGTTGATGCTATTCCTTTCTGTTTCTTAGTTTTCCTTCTAACATTCAGGCCCCTCTGCTGTAGGTCTGCTGGAGTTTGCTTTTGTTTCAGACCACTTGTAATCATGTATATAAAAACATATTTGTAGATTTTGTCAATGCTTCTACTAACCTTTTTCTCCTGATTTTCTTTGATATCACTTTTTGATTTTGTTACCACTTTTCTAACTTATCTACTTTCAATTGTTGGTAGAGCAGTGGTTTTTTTAGAGTGATTTGATCAGTATGATAGTCAACATATTGATTATAGTGGTATGCAATCAATTGCATTAAAAAAATCAGGTAAGAACCAAAAACATTTGCTTTTCCTATTTTTTCCATTGACTCAATCACTGTGGATAGTCTCATTTTGTGTTTTATAATTGTGAACTGTGAGCTCATCTTCAACAAGGCTGTATCCATGGGAATCCTCTACTTGAAGATATTTTGTTCTAGTGATATTTTGCATTATCTTTTAAAAGATTTCCCAGGTATATCACAGTTCTAAGAGCAATTTTATGTTAATTACTGAGTTTAGGGTTTCTGGAACATAGGTATGCTATTTGATTTTTTTAAAAAATAGCTTTATAAATATATAATTTACATACCATAACATTTGTCTATTTAGAGAGCAGAGTTCAATGTGTTCAGCATATTTTCAGCTGTACAATCATCGCCATAATCTAATTTGAGAAAATTTTTATTATATGAAAAATAAATTTAGTACCCATTATCAGCATCTTTGTGTGTTTGGGATGCTGTAATAATATACTGTAAACTGGGTGGCTTACAAATAACAGAAATTTATTTCTCACAGTTCTATATGCCGAGAAGTGCAAGATCAAGATGCCAGCAGATTAGGTGTCTGGTGATGACCTGCTCTTCTGTTCATAGATGGCACTTTCTCACTACATTTTCACATGGTAAGGCGATGACTGAGTTACCTCAGGCCTCTTTATAATTGTACTAATCCTATACATGAGGGTTCTACCCTCATGAACTAATCACCTCCTGAAGACCTCACCTCCTAATACCATCAGCTTTGGAGTTAGGATTTCAACATACAAATTTTAGGGGACACAGTCATTCAGACCACAGCAAGTAGCTATTTCTTAACAATTCTGCAACACTTTCCAAGCCCAAGGAAACTACTTATCTACTTTCTGCATCTGTAGATTTAACTATTACAAACTTTCATATGAAGAAAATCATATAATATGCAGTCTTTTGTGACAGGCTTTTCTTTTTATTAACATAACGTTTTGAAGTTCATCCACGTTGAAACATGTCAGTATTCCTTTTTATTTTAAAATAATAATTTATTGTAAAAATATACCACATTTTGTTTTTCTTTTCATCAGTTGATAGACATTTAACTTTTTGGCTATTAATAATACTCTTATGAATTAGAACCTTCATGTGCAATTTTTGCATGGATATATGTTTTCATTTTATGTGAATATCTACCTAGGAATAGACTTTCCAGGTCATGTGATAGCTCCATGCTTAACATTTTGAGATAATCCCCAATTGCTTTTCAAAGAGAATGCATATTTCTATTTCAATTAGCAATAAATGTGCTTCAATTATCCACATTCTTATCAATACTTGTCTTTTTGTTAAAAATCTTATTCTTTTTTTAAATTTTTTTAAAACTTTTACATTCAGGGGTACAACTGCATGTTTGTTACATAGGTAAACTGTGTTATGGGGGTTTGTTATACACATTATTTCAGCACCCAGGTACTAAGCCTAGAATCCATTAATCATTTTCTCTTCATCCTCTTACTCTTCACACTCTCCACCCTTGAAAAGATCCCAGTGTGTGTTCTTCCCTTATAGAGCAGTTTTAGGTTGACAACAAATTTTAGAGAAAAGGACAGTGATTTCCCATAATTCCCTTCCCCCACACATTCACAGCCTCCCTCATTATCAACATCCCCTGGCAGAGCAGTATGCTTGTTACAATTAATGAATCTACATTGACAAATCATCACTCAGGATCCAGAGTCCTAATGTAAAAAATAGTTTCCATTAGGGTTCTTTCTTGATGTTGCACATGCTACAAGTTTAGACAAATGTATAATGGCATGTATCAACCACTATAGTATCATATAGACTAGCTTCATTGCCCTAAAAATCCTCTGTGCTCCTATTTATCCCTCTCTCTCCCAACCCGACAATCACTGATCCTTTTACTGTCTCCATAGTCTTGCCTTTCCAGAATGTTATATACTTGGAATAATACAGACTAACTTATTTCATTTAGTAATATGCATTGGAGTTTCTTCCTCATCTTTTCATGCCTTGATAACTCATTTCTGTTTAGTGCTGAATAATATTCCATTACCTTGATATACCACAGATCATTTATCCACTCCCCTACTAAAGATCATTTGGTTGTTTCCAGGTCTTGTCAATTTGGAATAAAGCTGCTATAAACATTTATGTGCAAGTTTTTGTGTGGATGTAGTCTTCATCTCATTTGGGTAAATGCTGAGAAGTGTAATTGCTGTATTATCTGATAAAAGCATGTTTAGTTTTGTAAGAAATTGCCAAACTGTCTTCTAAAGGGACTTTTCTATTTTACATTCCCACCAGTAATGAATAAGAGTTTCTGTTAGTCTACAGCCTTTCTAGCATTTGATACTATCAGTGTTCTGGATTTGGGCCATTTCAATAGGTGTGTAATTATATTTTGTCCTTGTATTAATTTATATTTCCCTCTTGTCTTTTTAGAAATTGTATCCATCTTATAAGGATATCAAGTGATATTGTGGTTTTGATTTGCATTTAGGTAATGTCTAATAATGTGATGTTGAGCATATTTTCATGTCTTTATTGGCCATTTGTATATCTTTTTTGGAGAAATGCCTATTTAGATTATTTGCCCATTTTCAACTTTATTGGCCATTTGTATATCTTTTTTGGAGAAATGTCTATTTAGATTATTTGCCCATTTTCAAATGAGTCATTGGTCTATTTATTGTTGAGTTGCAAGTTCTTTATATAGTCTCCATACATGTTCTTTTTCAGAAATATAATTTGCAAATAGTTTTTTCCATTTTGTGGGTTGTTCTTTCACTTTCTTGGTGGCATCTTTTGCAGCAAAATAGTTTTCAATTGGAAGTCCAATTTATCTATGTTTTATTCCTTGTGCTTTTGCTATCATATATTTAAAAATCAATGTCTAAACCAAGGTTATGAAGATTTACTCCTATTATTTCCTCTAAACATTCTATAGTTTTAGATCTTACATTTTTGTCTTTGATATGTTTGAGTAATTTTTACAATGATGTAGCGAAGGTGTCCTATTTTATTCTTTTGCACGTGCATATTCAGTTGCCCCAACACTATTTGCTGAAAAGATTATTCTTTCCCCTTTTATTTTCCTTGTCACCTTTGTTGAAAGTCAGTTCATCATAAATGCAAGAGATTTTTTTTCCTGAACCCTTAATTCTATCCCACTGATGATGCAATTATTCTTATTCTAGTGCCACTCTCTTTTTTATAACTTTGTGTTGCATATTAAATGAAACAAAACAAACAAAAGTCTGCCCCCTCTAGTACCACTTTCCTAACTACTATAGCTTTGTAACAAGTTTTAGGACTAGGAATTGTGAGTCCTCCAAATTTGTTCTTCTTTTTAAAGATTGTTTTGGCTACTCTGCGTCCTGTGTTTTTCCATGTGAATTTTAGAAACAGTTTGGAAATCATTGCAAAAAAAACCCCACAACAAGTCATCAGGAATTCGGTAGAGGTTGTGTTCAATCTGTAGATTCGTTTAGAAAGAATTGCCATCTAAACAATATTAAATATGCTGATACATGAACATGGAATGCTTTTCTACTTTATTTATATCTTCTTTAATTTTCCTTAATTTCCTTTAATAATCTCTTATACTATTGTTTTTAATTCCAAACATTATGTACAGGATCACACAATTGAATGTTTTGATAGCTGCCAATCACCCATTACAAATGTTCAGGTAAAACAGACATATTACTTTACTTTTTTGCTATCTGCCTGTACCAATGACCCAAATTTTTCAAAGTCATGGAATATAGCCCCTGGCAGTTTCTGCCTTTAGAAAAGGCATCCTTCCAAACCCTTCACATTACATTGGCCCAGTGTGAACATCCTCTCTCCAGTAATCCCAAGCCTGGCTCATGATTCATACTCCCTGTCTCTGTTTCTTCTCAAAAGAACCTCAGCATTAGTTTACTGTCTTGTCTTTAATTCCTTTTTTTTTTTTTTTTGCATCTAGAGATTTCTTTTCCTTCCTTGCAAGATCAGATATTCATGTAAAATTGTGGTAGTATATCTTATTCTTGATTTCTAGATGTTTGTGGTGAAAGTATTTCACTTTGCCTAAGCTTCTATAATGGACAAACTGGAAGTGTCTTGCCACGTACATCTTACCAGGTCTGTTTATACAAAATCCCTAGATGATACTAAACCATTATTTCTCCATAAACCATGCTATTTCTGTTATAAGAGGGTAAAAAGTCATTTTCCTCTTAAGTATTTTCAAACCAATTTGTTTTTAAATACAGTTTAAGCATAGTCTCAAGAAAAAGTGTTAGTTCATACCCTTTCAAATGAAATCCAACATCTCCCACTTTTTTAAGAACATTGCTTTTCCAGCTTTCTTCCAGCATGTCTCAGATATTTAGGTATTAAGTTCTATTTAGGGGTATCCTCTTTGATTGAGTGAAAGTATGGAAATCTGAACTAATTATTAAGAATTCAGAGAGATGACCATTTGATCAGAATAGATAAACGTAACAAACTACAAACACAAATAAACCAGAATACACTGCAACAAAACAAACAAAAATGGAAATTCAGGGAATATTATTAAATTAGCAAGTAAGAAAAAAATACGTCGTAAAATAATTTTTTCTTCACTCTATCTCTATTTTACAAATGAAGAAACAAAGACTGAAGAGAAATAATTTGCCTAAGGCCATCTAGTGGGTGAATGGCAGAAGCCAGATTCTAACCCATCCGGTTTGATTTCATAGCCATAGCTCATTAGTTGTCTGGCTCCCATTGGGATATGAACAAAATAAACCACCATTCCCATTACGATCCTCACAGCCTTGTTCCCCAAAGTGCTCATTTTCATCTTATATTTCTTCTTCCATTTTCTAGACATCATTGGCATTCTAGTTTTCCAAATCAGAAATGTTATGATCCTCATTGCTCTTTTACCTTACATATGCAATTTGTCAGAAAAGCACCGATTCTTCTCCTTGTTTCCTTCTTGGTAATTAATGTTTTTGTTTCACCTTATGTGTACTGTGGTGTTCCTGGCTCCATCACCTCTCACCTTCTGGGAGACTTGTGCTGTCTATAATAGTTCCACCTGAGAGCCCGACCTATCCTTTGCATCTCTCTTCAAACCAGTGCCTAGCGGTTCCAGGGATCTTTTTCTAGAACACTGATGATAATCTCACTCCATCTCTAGCAATTACTTCCAGTGCTAAGAAAGTGTTTCTCAAATTCACTTTAGTGAAGAACCAGTTGATTTTGTTTTTGTTTTTTAATTAATTATCAGACTGGTATGACGTTCTTGTCTGCCTGACACAGCTCATGCCATTGGAGACTGCCCATTTGAGTTCCACAGCACTAAAATCTGTCTGTAATCTGATGAGTCATGTTCATTGATTGTGCACCTGAACATCACAGCAAGGTCAGATTGCTAAGTTTCCAACATAAATTCTCCTAGATTCTCAAGGCTAGTAGTTATTTCATGACAGTCTGGCACTGGCCTTGCAGTTACACTGTGAGTAGAACCAGTTTGGTGACTTCTATGGACTGAATGTTTTTATCCTCCAATAATTTATATGTTAAAATCCTAAACCCCAAGGGGGATATATTAGGAAGTAGGTTTGTGGGAGGTGATTAGGACATGAGAGTGGAGCCTCACAAATTGTATTAGTGTTTTTATAAAAGAGACCCTAGATGCAGTGAGCCGAGATTGCGCCATTGCACTCCAGCCTGGGCAACTGAGTGAGACTCCCTCAAAAAAAAAAAAAAGAGGCCCTAGAGAGTTCCCCTACTTCTTCTACCCTACAAAGGCACAACCAGAAGTCCCCATTTATGAATCAGGAAGTAACCACTCATCGGACAGCAATCTGCTGATACCTTGATATCAGAGTGTCAGCTTCCAGAACTGTGAGAGATCAATGTCCCTCCTTCATAAGTCACCCAGTCTATGGTGTTTTGTTTTGTTGCCTAAATGGACTCAAACAGTTATTACAGCAAGAACTTATGTAAGATTTAGATGTGAATCCTTTATTGGCTTCAGAAAAAATGGAGTGAATTGGAGTAAGTCACTTGGTTCACTTCCTTTTTTTTGAGATGAAGTCTCTCTCTGTTGCACAGGCTGGAGTGCAATGGAACTGTCTCGGCTCACTGCAATCTCCGCCTCCCGGGTTCAAGCGATTCTCCTGTCTCAGCTTCCCACGTAGCTGGAATTACAGGCCCCCGCCACCACATCTGGCTAATTTTTGTACTTTCAGTAGAGATGGGGTTTCACCATGTTGGCCAGGCTGGTCTCGAACTGCTGACCTCATGATCTGCCCATCTTGGCCTCCCAAAGTGCTGGGATTACAGGCATGAGCCACTGTACCCAGCCGTCACTTGGTTTACTTCTCTAAAAAAAAAATGTTTTTTAGAGATCGTCAGAGAGTTGCTGTGACCATCAGAGAAGATAAAATTACAACATGATGTCTAGCACATAAATTAATCACAGCCAGTGATATTTCTATTTCTGACTTAAATTCAGACTCCTTATCCTTTTCCCACAAAGTCCTTATTGTCTGGCTTTTGCCTAACCATTCAGCTTCCTTTCCTGGATTTTTACCACAGGCTCTAGGCTTGACTTTTGCCACATCATGGCTATTCTTTGGCTGAAATATTCTTCCACATCTCCAGTCATTAACTCTCCCTTAGGAATGATCTCTAGCCACATCTTTTCTTTGTCTGAGGAAGCTGTGCATCCTCTTTGCTGGGTGCTCTTTATGATGGAGTACTTACTGCATTGTATGTGTTCACTTGCATACCTTACGATAAAATCACAGATGAAAATTCATCTTCAGTGCCCATGTCTACCAGACACACACTAGAAGCTCAGTGAATTAAAGAACTGATAAATGAATGATTGAGTAAATGAATAAATGGCCAGCTCATTTGAATGGAGTTCAAAAAGTTGACAAATGACTTCTCTAGCTAAATATATAATTGATGATTTTTTTCTTACTAAAATTACTGAGACTATGGAAGCTGTCATTTCTAATTTTTAAGCTTTTTGCACCTTATGCTTACCTATGTTCATTGATATGCATACAGTTACATCAAAGAGAGATTTTAATTGGAATCTAATGCACAACATGAAATCTAACGGATGCAAAATCAGAATTAACCACACACGATGAAGCTATTGATTGAATAAAGGCTTTTGTTGTTTTGCATTTCTCAATATGTAAAACTGGAAATAATTATAGAGCAATTCAGCAGGAGTGATGGGGAAACTAGGTTATTTCCACTATAATCAGTGGAGCTGTTGACAGAGGCAGCCCTTGTCTTTCATTCCTGAGGCCCTCAGTTTCCCTGACTCAGAGCCTCCCTGATGCTGGCATGGGACTCTCCTTGAGATCAGTGTTTTCCTCTTTACCACCTACTGATCTGTCCATTAAGTAAGGCACAGAGTTTCCAAGTCAAGCCATGCTCAGGTTCATAGTGACTCTGGATGATTAAGTTAGCTTAAGGGCCAAATAAGTGCTTGTGGGATAACCTTGGAAATATTCCCACTTCCTACATTGACATTGTGGGGACATGTACTACTAGGGGAAGAAAACAAAAAGCAAACAAAACAATGATGAAAAAACCCCTTTACTTGGTCACACGTCACATCACAATTTGAAATTTGAATTATATATATTTCAAGAAGTAACATAAGGTATTTACTTTCATTTTACTAGAATATTGAACTTATGTCTTTCTTTTCTAAAATTCATAACTTAATTTTAAACTATTTTTTTCAGAATATCTGAAGTGAGGTTTACTAGTGTCCATTTTTATTTTGAGAATTATGTTTGTTCTTCTTTGAAATTGGTTGTTGAACCAATGTGTTCTCTGGTTTTTTTATAACTAGTACTCGTTCTAAAGGAACAAGCAAAGATTATTTTAGAAATTAAATAAGTGGTGAGGAAAGTCAAGAATGTTAATGCTATTCGGATTTGTGGTTAGATCACAGACTTTCTTCAGGAATCAAAATGTCTTCCCTCTATCCTTGTTTGAAAGAGACGTTTTTTATTTCATCAGAGGACTTCTACAGCTAAGAAATACAGTCACATGAACACAATGGGAACAAATTTAAATTTTTTCTTAATTAAAAAATGTTGAGAACTTGAGAAATTGTTCTAATATGATGGATGAGAGTATTCATCAATCACCAGAAGGTAGATTTAGAGGTACGTTCAGAGCACAACCAGCTCAAAGAATTGGAAAGGCCCAAGTAATAATTGTCACTAAAATATAGGAGCAATACACACACAAAGAGTATTCTATTCATTCTCAGAAATCTATAAAATTGAAGAATTCATAAGCAATTTTTACAGAAAACAAAACTTGTAATTGCAGTTTACGTAAAACTAATTTATACAGCAGTTTTATAAAAGCAATGATTTATATATATGACATATTTTGGATTTGAACAATTTGAGTTTGAAGACCATTGGGCCATTTCATTTTTGCCTGCCAGTTAATAATCTGAGATTAACAGAAGTTAGTTAGTGCTGAACAGTTGCAGTATGCAAGTTCCTTGAAGAATTCACACTGAATGTAAATAGGAAGAACCACAGTTTTGCAGGAAATTCAGGGCTGATCAGATTGCAGGCCTCATTCTGGAGACAGGCTAGTTTTGGATCAAAATTACAAAAAAAAAAAAAAAAAGTAAAGAAAGAAAAAATTTTCTCTGAAATAAACTCCAACCCTTCCAAACTCACTTTTATTAACATTTAAATAGCCTAGATGTTAGTTTAATTTTTAAAGTAATAAAAAGACCATTATTTTCTGTCAGTGATTTATGATTCTGGCAAGAATTTCAATCTTAAGTATCCCAAGTCTGCTATTTACATAAAATGATACTATTTGTTTTACTTTTATTTTTATTTTAGACCAAGGCAATAGATCTTGGTTTTAAGAAAAACTTGGTTTGGTGAAATAATGAAAGAAATAATAAACATCTGTAATTAAAAAACAAAATACCAAAACAAAAACAAGCTGATTAGTGTCCAGGTCCCCAAAACTTAAGTTTATTTCACTTACTTTTTCTCAGAGACAATATGAAAAAGAGAATCACCTGATCCTATTTTACTTCCTTCATTTAGTACAAGGTCTGGGATGGAAAGATCCAAGTTGATGTTTTGGCTTACCCCTTCCTGAGTGTTTTGACCAAGTTATTTCTCTGGGGAGAAGCCAGAAAATTTATCAACCTCATAGTTCTATGAAGAGAGAAGACTGTGAGAATGACTATTAATCTTTTAGAAACTTGAAAGCACGTTCTGATAGGTGTTGTTGTTGTTGTTACTCTTTTCATCCTGGCCAACATCTTAGTAAAACCAGTACTGGGCATCTCTCATAAATCAAGAAGAATTTTCCAAAAACAGAATGTTGGAGGCTATGATCTGTGAGTTGAGAAGCTTTACATGGGTCCCTGGCAAAATTTAGAACGGGATCTTCATGTGGTTTTGTTTGGGACAGAAAATATATATTAAAGTGATACCAGCAGCTTGCACAAATTAACTCTTAGAGAGACAGGAAAGTACTACTGTGCTTTCTAAACCAGCAGATAAAAGGACTGTCACAGATGTTGAATCATTCATTTTACAGGTTTTTAAACACAGAATTTTGGAACATCTCAGGGGTAAAATGGGCAGGATGCTAGCTCCGTTATTTGCTTTTATGTATGTTGAGATATTAAACCATACAATGATGACAATGGTGATGATAGTGAAAGGAAGGGGGCCATGCCAACACACTGTAGCTCTGCCATGGCTCAGTTCCCACTTGAAATGTTCTGTCATTGGAGAAGATAATCATATTGCTAAATTTAAGGTGACAGAATGATGAGAGATCCAGTAAGATGATCCCAGCTTCAAATGTCAAAATCATTAAAATTGAGAGATTAAAGAAAGAATAGAAATACTCGCAATTAAGTCTAATAAAGCTAAAGGTGAAGTTTCTTCTTAATATTTTAAAATTCCAAAGCACATATTTTCTACATGTAAGCAGATAATCAATCAATATTTCAATATTTTTCTTTCTTTCTTTTTTTTTTTTTTTTTGAGACAAAGTCTTGCTGTCACCCAGGCTGAAGTGCAGTGGTATGATCTCTGCTCACTGCAGCCTCTGCCTCCTGGGTTCAAACAATTATCCTGCCTCAGCCTACTGAGTAGCTGGGATTACAGGCATGTGTGCCACCACACCCAGCCAATTTTTGTAATTTTACTAGAGATGGAGTTTCACCATGTTTTCCAGGATGGTCTCGAACTCCTGACCTCAACTGATCCACCTGCCCCAGCCTCCCAAAGTGCTGGGATTACAGGTGTGAGCCACCATACCTGGCCATCAATCAATATTTCTTAAATTAATACATAAATAAATGCATGAGTGGGCAGAAGGATAGATGAATTTCACATTCTGTGTGAAGAAGAGTTTACTTGACAGTAATTTATACTTAAAAATACAAATGCAGGAGTCATGAAATCAAAGCTGGGGTTCCCTCACAAACCATCTAGTGTCTCTATGGGAGTTCTTCCACTGGGAGAACTGAGGTAAGGTGCCCATGGCCTCCCAGCCAGTAAAGAACACATCTGAGCTCAAAGAGGTGCTGTTTGCCTTTACACCCGGCAGGTAAGAAGAGCAGAGTCAAAGACAAAAGGAGGAATGAGGGAGCCTTGAAAGATTAAATTTCAGAATTAGTCATGACTGGCTACTGATGGTCATGTTCCCTTCCATGCATATCACTTGCTTTTACTGTTTGAAAATTCTCCACATGTATCACCTCATCTCCGAGTCCAAAGATAACCTGAATAGGTGATCTGGACATCAGTTAAAAGGTAAGGAGATGAACATCTTTCTTTATGGACATTTGGATCTTAATATGTTTGTAAAGCATGCAAACATCTTTTAAGCTCTGTGTTCTGCACCCTTGAGAAGATGTCTGTATTGCAGTGGTTCTGAAACTGTGGTAGCCACATCAGCAGCATCAGCAGCTCCTGGGTGCTGGTGAGTAACACGAGTTTTCAGGCCCCACCCGAGACCTAGTGAGTCAGAACCTCAGGACTGGGCCCAGCAGCCTGCGTTGTGTCAAGACTTCCAGCTCATTCTAAGGCACACTCAAGTCAGAGAACCACTGTTGTGTTATTGGTGCAAACATCCCAACAGAGAAAGTTAGACATACAATTTATGAAGACGTGGAAGAATAAGAGATGTCAAGGTATCTGTAAAGGAAGAATAAAATCTTATTTAGATTGTTAAAGCCCAGCAAATATGTAGTGTTTAATTGACATCCAGGAAGGTTGAGTCATTTGTCAAAGTTCACACAGCCTCCTAGGAGTTTAAATCATTATGAGTTTAAAAAGACATTTAGAATGACTACTGAGAATAAAAATGAAAAAGGACAACAAAAAATATTAAATAGGAAGCGATTCCAAATGCTAGGAATTGCTAAAAGAAGCTAGAGAGGAATTTATCTGTCAAAGCAATGCAGTTTGCTTTTTTCCACCCTGCAGTACTAAATCATGCTTTTAATTCAATAATGGCATGTAAGAATAAGCTCATTAAATGAGTTAAACTTTTGTGACCCTGAAAACTAGTTTTCTGCATGTTGAATCTGTTGAGAGCACAGCTGAGACCCATCTTCTACCATCTCTGTTGACATTTTTATCAGGTAAGAGGTCACTATGGTAATTATAGAAGAGAAAAATATAAACAAGTGCATATTTATTGTATTTCAGATTTTATCTTCTGTGTCTTCTATCCTCATAGGATGCAACTATCTTTCACACTGATAAGAGTGGCCTTCCTCCATGTTCACTCTGTCAAATGCCTTGTCACTTCATGTTGGATGATAATGTCTATGTCCATGTGAATGAAAGATTCAGACAGGCACAGATTTCAAACTCTCAGCAATTAAGAACAAATAAATTTTGTAAGTAAGAAATCGAAATTTTTTAAAAGCTTAACATTTGTTTCACTTATTTAGAAAATATGATTTTAAGCATTTACACCCTTTTTTTAAACATTAAAAATTGCGATGAGACACACCAATGTATGAGCCTGTTTATCACGTGGCCACATAAACTCAGGAATGGAGGAAATGTGATTGATGTAAATTTATAGTAAGTGGTTAGTGACTCAGGTGGTAGGTTGATAAAAAACTACTCAGAAAAGGCAGAATGGACCTCAGGCTAACAAGGCTGGATTGTATATGTTTAAATATCTTTAAAGATAATGCATTGGCCAAAGAGTCAGGGAATTGCCATGAACACAGAGAAAAGACAGTAGTTGTGGCAGAGGCAGATAAGACAATTGACCCATGGACAGCAATTGCTACTTTGCAAAAACCACAGCTGTACTGCCCTGACCACGCTTTTTAGATTACCTGCTCTCATTTTTTTCTGATCCTGTATCTCATAAAGCCTTGCTTTTGCCAGTTTTCCAAATATGGGAAAAAAATGCCTGGTCAAACCACTGTGCATTCCAACCTGCAGGAGGATTTTTGTTTATCTTTGTGAATTAGTAACACTGGCATTGCTGTTGAGTTCATTTATTCATCCAAGTATTTCCTTAGAAAGGAGCTTCCTGGGTTTCTGAGATAGTGAGCTCCCTGGTAGGGGAGAAAGATAGCATGCAGGTGTTACTATGACTTACTTTGGAAAGCGACCCAGTGGGACACAGCCCAGGGCAATGATCTACCTGTCAAGGAGGAGGTAGTGGCACCAACTGCACTTTGGAGAAAATGACACCCTTGAGCTGGTTCTAAAATGACAAATACAGTTTGGCCAGCTTTGTGTTTTTGTTTTATTTTGCCTTAAAGGAGTAATAGGAAAGGACTTTGAGGCAGAGAAGGGGACAGAAAAGCAACCCTCTAAGTAGAGTGCCCCATGCGGGGGGTGGTGTTGGGAGAGGAAGTGTTTCCACTAGTAGCCTTCGAGTTGTGATGTGGAAACTTCCACCTGCAGTGCCCAGGGCAGGGCAGAGAAGTCAGGCTTCAGGGAACACTAGGCTCTATTCCACAGGCAGATGTCAGGAAGGAGGAAGTGAAGAGTCAGCAGAGCACTTCACTTGCTGGTAGCAGGTGGAATATGGATCGAGAGACAGCCAATGGATTGAGAGGTGGAACATGGATTGGTTGAAACAAACAATAGAAATATTGTGTGATCCACAAAGGCAATTTTAAAATTCTTTAATAGCCACAAGAAACAAGTGAAATAAATGTGATAATGTAATTTATTTAACACAATACATTCAAACTTTTGTCATTTAAAATGTCATCAGTACACAAATTTATTAATGATAGTTTACACTTACTCTTCTTGTACTTGGTGTTTGAAACCTTGCATGTATTTTACACATAAAGCATATTTTTATTTACAGATGCTAAACTCATCACAATTACTCGATCTGTGTTTAGATTTCATTAAATTTAAAGTTGAAGAGTACATTCACATGCCGGAGTTTTTCAGAGATTCTGAAAGGGTTTTTTTCTCTCTCTTTTGTTTTTTTGTTTTTCTGTTTTGAGATAGAGTCTGGCTCTGTTGCCCATGCTGGAGTGAGGCAGTGTGATCTTGGCTCACTGCAACTGCCACCTCCTGGGCTCAAGTCATCCTTCCACCTCAGCCTCCCGAGTAGCTGTGACCACAGGCACATGCCACCATGCCCAGGTAATTTTCTGTGTTTTTGATTGAGACAGGGTTTCACTATGTTGCCCAGGCTGGTCTCAAACTCCTGAGCTCAAGCAATCCAACTGCCTCGGCTTCCCAAACTGCTGGGATTACAGGCATGAGCCACCATGCTCAACCAGAGATTCTTAAGTTTTCTAACAACTGAATTCAGTATCTATATTTTCTTGATTTAATGCAATTAAATACTACTAAAACTTCAGATAACTGGTTACACCAGTCACATTTCAAGTGCTCAGTAGCAACATATGGCCATTGGCTAGTGTATTGGACAACTCAGGGATAGAGCAAAGAGACTTGGAGGATAGGATCCATTTGGAAGATTTATGTTGTAGTCACAGAAATTATGACAACAGTTTAAGCAAGGTTAATCATAGAAGAATGAATATGAGATGGAATATTGGAGAACTATTAGAAGGCATAATGGACAAACTTAGTAAGAGAGAAAGGGAGTAGTCAGGCAAGTCCCCAGGGAGCTGGTGTGAGGGAGTGAGCAAATGGTGTTCTCCCAGGAAGACTGTGTGTGCAGGAGAACACAGGAGTTGAGAGAGAAAGAACGACTTCTACTTTGGACAAAGCAATTCCAAGGAGCCCATGGTACTCTGAAGCAGACTGACCACACACAAATAGCCCTGGAGGATTAGTTATTTGAAGAGGGTTGGAAAGTAGTTATTGAACTTTGAGAGCTATCGGCAGGTGGTAGTCAAAACCCGCCAGGCTCTATGAGGTCTTTGTTGAAGTGAGTCCATCTCTGAGGTGCACATCTGCTTCAGCGCACAGAGAAAATTAGAGTTTGAGCCTGAAGGGTCCTGGCACAGATTGTGGCCTAGGTTAATTTGACTTAAGTACTGCCTGCTGCTGACATCTTGGTAGGCAATTTGCTAGTGTCTTCGGGAAACTCCTAGATTCATAACTTTGTTCCATATTTGTCTTCCAGATTTTGCAGGTGTCATCTGCTTGTCATCAAAGGCTTATATGCAAATATATTTAAGAAACGTTTTCCTTTCTTTACTGATCCCTAATAGATAGTAGTTATGTGTCTGGTAGGTTACATGCAAATTAAACACATATGAACGGGAGAATTCAAATACACTGAGGAAAGCTCTAGATACTAGATGTGGTGTTATTTTTGTAAATGTAAAAGCAGTCACAAATTGTACAAGTTACCACTAATTAGTACAGAAATTTAATGAAATTTTTTTTAGTACAGCAAATAGGAAAACTCAGTTTTAAGTTTGCATTTTATAATATTACAATCATTAAATATGAACTCAATTCAAATTGGAGAAATTTAAGCTTTAGAATGAAAAGATTTATTTCTACTTTTATGGAAGAAAGTAGAATTCTTTCATCATTACTGTACTTTTTAAAAATTATTTATTATACTTTAAGTTCTGGGGTACATGTGCAGAATGTGCAGTTTTGTTACATAGGTAAACATGTGCCATGGTGGTTTGCTGCACCCATCAACCCATCAACTGCATTAGGTATTTCTCCTAATGCTATGCCTCCCCTAGCCCCCACCCCACAACAAGCCCTGGTGTGTGATGTTCCCCTCCCTGTGTCCATGTGTTCTCATTGTTCAACTCCCACTTATGAGTGAGAATATGCTGTGCTTGGTTTTCTGTTCTTCTGAAAGTTTGCTGAGAATGATGGTTTTTAGCTTCATCCATGTCCCTGCAAAGGACATGAACTCATCCTTTTTTATGCCTGCATAATATTACATGGTGAATATGTGCCACATTTTCGTTATCCAGTCTATAATTGATGGACATTTGGGTTGGTTCCAAGTATTTGCTATTGTGAATAGTGCCACAATAGACATACATGTGCATGTGTCTTTATAATAGAATGATTTATAATCCTTTGGATATATACCCAGTAATGGGATTGCTGGTTAAATGGTATTTCTGGTTCTAGATCCTTGAGGAATTGCCACACTGTCTTCCACAATGGTTGAACTAATTTACACTCCCACCAACAGTGTAAAAGCGTTCCTATTTCTCCACATCCTCTAGAGCATCTGTTGTCTCCTGACTTTCTAATGATTGCCATTCTAACTGGCATGAGATGGCATCTCGTTGTGGTTTTGATTTGCATTTCTCTAACGACCAGTGATGATGAGCATTTTTTCATATGTCTGTTGGCTGCATAAATGTCTTCTTTATATGCAGAAAACTGAAACTAGACCCATTCCTCACACCTTATACAAAAATCAAGTCAAGATGGATTAAAGACTTAAATGTAAGGCCTAAAATCATAAAAATCCTAGAAGAAAACCTGGGTAATGCCATTGAAGACATAGACATAGGCAAAGACTTCATGTCTAAAACATCAAAAGCAATGGCAACAAAAACCAAAATTGACAAATGGGATCTAATTAAACTAAAGAGCTTCTGCACAGTAAAAGAAACTATCATCAGAGTGAATAGGCAACTTGCAGAATGGGAGAAGATTTTTGCAATCTATCCATCTGACAAAGGGCTAATATCCAGAATTTACAAAGAACTTAAACAAATTTACAAGAAGAAAACAAACAACCCCATCAAAAAGTGGGCAAAGGATATGAATGAATACTGTACTACTGTTAATAAGAATCATATATAATAATTCACAAACATTTCAGGGCTGGTTAGAGTAGCCTTTCCTTTATGAGTTCATCTTCTTTAAAGGACAGAAATGGCAGTGGATTGCAAGTCTCCAGTAGGAGACAGCCCAGGTGTTCACAATGGGGGCACTATCGATGACACAATGACCCAAATCAAACAAGTGAAACATCACAGAGGCAGGAAAGTTCTGCCCCAAACCCTGCAAGAACAGGGACTTAGAAAAGCTTAGACATTCATAGGAATAAGACCTCCAGCTATTTATGGGTTGATTACAAGCTCAGTATGATTCAATTGATGATTAGATAGTAGACATCACCTGTTACGATTGGAGCCCTGTGGCCAAGAGGACGCCTGTGAACTATTTCACCTGATTAGGCCACGCTGGGATTTTTTGCTTGGGTGAGAGGTCGTGCTTCCCCAGGACACGGGCAGCAGCCTGGAGAGAGGAGTCTCAGAGGGTAACCCTGCTCTTCTCAAATATGGAAAGCTCCTATGTGGAAGGGCAGTGAGTGGGATTTATCTTTTTCTGGGGATTCCAGATGGCAGAAAAGTAAGTTACAAATGAGCAGTGGTTAAGGGTTTGAACTGAGAAAGAGGAGCACATGTACTTCCCAATTCTTCCCACAAAAACTTTTGGGCGTTACACATAATGCCTCTCTGCCTGCCAGTGTCTCTTATGAACCAACATAAAAAGACACTGGCAGGGAGAGAGAAGGCAGCCCAGGAAGGGACCTTCAGACCCAAGGCCTGATGTGGTGGTGAGTGCCCTGGTTTTTTCTTTTTGCATCACATGTTACAGACTTGGATCTCAACAAGTGAGCAATGAGGAAAGGCCAACAGGCACAGACAAAATGAATAAATAAATGCAATCCCCCAAGAAAAAGCTCGCTGTGTCTAGCCAAAGCACCAGGAAAGGGGCAGCCTAGCAACACAGGAAACTTTTAGACAATAATGTCCCCACTCCAGCCAAATACCAGGGAAAAACTGTGGCCCCACCTCCACCCAGGCCAGGAAAAGCCAGGCAGGGACCCCAGACTTCCACCCTCACTGGCCAGAACAATAGGCTGCAGGGAAGTGTCCCAACCCCAACCTGCAGCTGAGGAGGTGTTAGGGAACGCAGAATAGGGACATGAGACTCATATCCTCACCTAGTGGATGCCACCCCTCTTCCCCAGTGTAACAGAAACCACACACATGTGGGGCAGATGTGGGGCAGGGCTTCCACCACTACTAGGCTGTCCTCCTGCTCCACCAGAGACATGTCAGAACTTTCACCCCTGCCCAGCAGTAAGGAGGCCAAGACCCCTTGCCGGGTGTCTGTGAAGGCCTCTGGGGAAGCACTAAAAGGCAGAACCTCTTCTCCTGCCCAGGTAATAGCAGAGGCCTCATGGATTTTACGACCCCCCCCCTCCACCCAGAAAAACTAGGAGTCTCTCCCCACACTCAGTGTAAATAGACCCAGGTGGAGAATCTTGACTTCTACCCCATCTGGCGAGGTAGAGGCAGTGGGCCACTTCCTCAGCTGAAGTGTCAGAGGAAGCCACTAAAACAGGCACAGAATTCAATAAAATCCATAGTTTTAGAACATAATGCCCCAAATGCTCAGATTTTAATAGAAACTCAAACATAATACTAATAACCAGAATATGTTGGATAAAGTTTCCAAGAAAATTCCTTTTGTTCAGTGATATGTGAAGCAAAGGGGGAACTGGCTTCTTGAAGTTACATTGTGAAAAACCCTCACAGGGTTTGGGGTTCATATAAAATGTAGATTGGGACATCCCTTATGACTTGCGATAGTGCTGTAAGAAATAGCTTTTCTATAGTTGGACTGGGATATGTTACTTCTAATTGGATGGTTATGGTGACCCTGGTATTAACTTTGGCTAAATTATCTAATGATGATGGTAGTACTTCGGCCAATGGCGATTCCAAAGTCCAAATGTAGCAAGAGGTTAAGTTGGTTACTGAGGCTAAGTGTCGCATTTAAATAAATAAATTTAACATTTACAGTTTTCTGCCTTTTAAAACATATTTCATATTACATGTGGCTAATCAATTAAATAATTAATGGAAAATGGCCATGTAAATTGTATCCAGTTAGGCCCACACTGCTGAGCGGGATTTGAGTGTGAGAATCCAAGTACAGAAGCTGAATTTGGGAAAATAGTCTTGCTAAAGAAAGGTAACTAAAACAGATATTCATCTTGAATCTAATAAGAATCTTTCTTTAACTATACAATTATTTAAACTTTTGTATTTTATCTTTATTAGGCATTGTTGCTTTTTTGAGATACGTTTTAACAGTTTCTTTTCTTTCTGCATAAAAACATCATTTGCAGATTTCAAGTAATACAGCATCCACAAGAAATCCTTGCTATTCTAATTTGTATGAATAAATTCAGTGAGTCTAGGAGGAAATTTCTCATTTAAGTGTGCATTTCATTGAACATCAAAACAAAACTTTGAATGGAAAGAGAATCCATTTGTTGAAATGTAGGAAATAAAACATAATAATAAAAATCTGTGGCCGGGCACAGTGGCTCAAGCCTGTAATCCCAGCACTTTGGGAGGCCAAGGTGGGCAGATCACCTGAGGTCATGAGTTCAAGACCAGCCTGGCCAACATGGTGAAACCACATCTCTACTAAAAAAAAAAAAAAAAAAATTAGCCGGGAGTGGTGATGGACACCTGTAATCCCAGCTACTCAGGAGGCTGAGACAGGAGAATTGCTTGAACCCGAGAGGCGAAGGTTGCACTGAACTGAGATTGTGCCACTGTACTCCAGCCTGGGTGACAGAGTGAGACTCTGTCTAAACAATAATAATAATGTGGAAAAGGGGTTCAAATATAACTGTTTTAAAACAAAGCAACTGTAATGACATGACAACACAACTTATCAGCATTTCCCAAGGGCAGACATTAACATGTTATTTAAGATGTAACTTCAGTAGAATAACTGGGAAATGCTAGCTCAAAGTTAAGGTGACTTCCTTCTGGGAAAATCTTGTCAGTTTTTACTGTGGTACTGGTCATAGGCATCTCAGGAGGAGGGCGTGGTATTGCAGGAGCCAGCACCTCTCAAACTCATACAACATGGAACCACCCCTGCCCTTCCTCTCTCCCCTTTCTTTGCAAAGCAAATTGCACACTTGTTCCCATTTTTCACACAGTGACTAAGGGTTGGGGGGATGTGTTAGACTTCAAATTAGCATCCTGTGTTCAGGTAGGTATCACCGATGAGTTGGTTTTGAGAATTTGACACACTTAGTTTCTTTTGGCATCTTTTTCCTCTTTGTTAAACAGGTGATATTATACCTCCCTTGTAGAGTATTTTGAGAGAATGACTTGTTATATATGGGGAAATATTTTGGAACTTTCATATGAAAAATAACCCTTAATGCCTAGTGTACATAACTGGGTCATGACTTACTGGTCTCTGTTGGCACTGGCTTCAGCGATTACTTTCTTTTTGCCATTACTAGTTCATGCACACATGGCCTTGCAGAAAGCTCAGGTCAAAGTGAGTCACATGCTATCCAGTGAAATGCTTTTAAATGCCCTGCTGGGTCCACATGTGGCTAACCACAAGAGAGCATACAGTGACTTCTAGTGAATGGCCACAGGGAGTGAACATGACTTAACTCATTTATTTCTTTCAAAGCACATGTGTTGTGATTATCTCTGTTTTACAGATAGGGAAACTGAGGCTTAGATAATTGAGAATAAGTAACTCTCTCTGTCAGTCAATGACATGATATAGGTGGGTTTCAAGTCAGGTTTCTCTGTCCCCATTCTGTAAGCTCTCATTTTAAGTCATCCTATTTTTATTCTTTAATTCTTCTCTTTCAGTGGCAGATTTTCCCAATTCCACATTTTGGAAGTATCAAGAGCTGTTTCATGAGATAAGCTGGCGAGAGGAAATAGACTACTCTGGTAGGAAACTAGAGCAGGTGGGCAGGAGTGACTTTCCTCTTCTCTTCCTGTTCCTCACACCCACCAGACCCGAGGTCCCCTGCCCGTCTGTTCTCTGCAGCCCCCACTGAAGCCTCAAAGTCCTTGCAAACGTTGCAATATCCTGCCTTCCTTCTTCCTTCCTAAAGGCTCCAGCTTTTCTGGGCCATACCTTTCCATCTCCGCTACCCCATCCCCACCTCCTTTATAAGGCTGTTCCACTCAGGGCTGCTGTTGGCCTTTCTTAGTTACCCCAGGGCCAGGTGACAGACAAAAGCCCCAGTCAATACTCCAGACCCTGCTGAAATTACTCAAACTAGCTCATCCTAAGCCCCTTGTGGTATGTCATGCCTCCTGCTTCCAGGGAACTGTGAGCTTAAACTTCTTCCATTATGACAGTCATTTCTGTGTCTGTGTCTGTTGTAAACAAATCCTGGGTATAATTAAAATACCATGCATCAAACTCCAAGAAAAACCAGGATTCATCCTCTTCTGTGCTTTTACTGAGCACTGGTCAGATCCTACTTTGCACTTAGTTGGTATGATCTAAGCTTCTCTATCTATTTCTCCTGCTAATCTGCCTGCAAGCCCCTCACCAGAGGTGATACCGTTTTATACACCTCACTCTTAACATACTGTCAGCACAAGTGGACGTTTGATAAGTGTTTACTGAATCTGAAATGAGATTTATGTTGGAGGAGGTGCTCACAAATTTATTTCACCTCTGATCATTATATCATTCCCTGTTTGTAGTAACAACTTAACTAAATTATTACGAAGAGGTTAAGTATTTGTTGGGCACCTACTGTATCCCAGGACCTCAAATTTCCTTTACACTAAAGAAATAAAACTATGATTTGCTTCCAAGTATTGTCCTATCAGGCCCTCAATCCTCCAAAACGGGAATAAGATCCAACCTATTTCTGTGTTTGAGAATTCATCCTGACCCATGTAAACAGTCTGCAGTGATTCCCAGCAGAAACTAGAATATGAGTGTAGAACACGATCTTTTATTTATTTCATATGTAACATCTGAAAAGTTAATTTTTTTCCCTGCAAACAATGCCCAGCAGCAGAATGAAGTTTGAGATCATCCCAAAAGATGTATGTCTGCACCACATTTTTCTTGACAGGAGAAAAAGTGACAAGAGCTAATTAAAGGAAAACAGAATGTTCTTTTTTGATGGCCCAACAGACAATTCTTTTCAGTCACACTTTATTATTATTAGTTTATCACTACCCTATTTCTTTTAGGTGTACTCAAGGTAACATTCTCCCTACTTCCTGGTCTACTAGTTCAAGAAAAACGTTTGTTTTGAGTGCCACACGGCGAACCCATTTTAGAAGTGTTTCTATTACTAATAAAACATTTGCATATTTGGATAGTAATATGTATCATTCATAGTTTACTTTAGTTATTTCACGATCACATTTATAAAAGCTTTCCAGTTAACAATTCCTGTTTGCATTCGTGTCTCCTTTTATCCAGAGAGATAGTCACCTTGTAAGTAGGTTGAGATTGTTTTCTAGGATTTTCTTTAAGGACACCTGAGTCCCTGAGACATGCAGTGGGCCCTCCAACAGCAAACATGAGACAGTGGGCTGGACTCCAGGGCTGTTGCCATCAAATTCCACATTCTTTCTTCTCTGTTAATTCATTGCAAATATTTCATATTTTGCCCTTCACACTTGGAATATTTGAACTGCCATTATGTGTTCAACTTGAGAAAAGCTGTGACTAGGAAACAAATATTGCCGGCTTCTAGTGACCTTGAGGTCCATCCTCCACTTGTTTTTTTTGGTTAGTTTGCCTTTATTTAAATTTATTCAGTTCCTGACTTGCTACTTGTTTTATTTCTTAATATTTACCTTCATTGAAGTATCCAACCATCACAGACACATTTTTCATTTCATTCAATGAACTGCACTTAAGCAGCTACCACTTTTCTAGGCCCTGGGTCCATGTGAAGGACATTAGGTTGAATTACAATACCAATGTGCTCCTGCATGGAACTTCGTGTCCACCAAGGGGGTCAACCTGTAAGGAGGGTGGCTGGACCCAGGGGATCTGCCTGTTATCACACAACAATAGCAACACCCCCCACCCTGCCTTGACCTTGCTCTGTGTGGCCACCAGTGAAATCTGTTTAAGGCTGTTCCCTTGATTAAGGGTCTTTTGTGATTTTCCGTCATGCACTGGGTCTGTTAATCTTGTAATCTGCTAAGAATCTCATAAAAGCTATGATTTTTTAACCAAGGAAATGCACACCAGGATATATACCCAGTATTTTGCAAGCACGTCTCAGGAGCTTCATGCCCCTGACAGACATCCACTGAGACTTAAATATCCCCTGCCTAAAGCAAAAGGTCCAAATTCCTAAAATCAGCTTGTCACTCCACTTGCACAGCCAACTCACATCCCTATTTTCTCAGACAAAAAGAAACTTATTCTCCATGTTCCTCAGACAGACTCATGCCTCCCTGGTCCCCAGTCTAGCTCAAACTGTTCACTTACCTGGTATGTCTTTCTCTTCATCCTGACTGCGCATCTTCCGTGCTGTGTCATCTTACCTGAGTCAGTATCCTCATT
This sequence comes from Homo sapiens, assembly GCF_000001405.40. Classification (NCBI taxonomy): domain Eukaryota; kingdom Metazoa; phylum Chordata; class Mammalia; order Primates; family Hominidae; genus Homo; species Homo sapiens. The sequence continues at coordinate 46,475,251 of NC_000007.14, read as the reverse complement.
TGTAAAATTAAAATAAGAGAACCTACTCTAAAGGTTTACTGTAAGAAGGACATTAGCTTATAATCTTTAAAAGTCTCTAACCCACATAAATGCTACACAATAAATACTCTCCTTATCCCTTATTCATCCTTAACAGTCTCACTGGGCTGACACCTTCTCTACAAAGTGTTCTCTGATTCTTATCCCTAAGATGTGAATTGGGTGAGCCCCTCAATGCTTCCCCACATCCTGCACCCATTGGTACTACCAGACACCAGTGTAGAAATAATTCCGATTAGAAATTTTGAGTTCTCAAGTTCAGAAATGTGGTCTCCCTCAACTCAGTGCCCAGAGTACCCATGGATAAACTGTCCTCACTCAATAAATAAATATTAATCGAAGGAATGACATGGAAGATGCACATGCTTTGCCAACAATAAAGAGCTCTATGCAGTAAGCAACTATGAGTGCCAGAACAGGTGACTTGCCAACCTCCTGAGATAGTCCTATCAGTGATGATTTCTCCCTAATTATGTTTATCCTAGTTTATATGTACTCTAGCAAACAAAGGATAGCAAATGTTAAAAGTTATTGACAAATCCAAAAGTTAATTTTGCTTTAATGACCTTGTTTGGTTACTAATATTAAAATATAAATACAAACAAGTGATGGGTATTACATATATTACAGGAATAATCCTATTACATGAATATACTTTATAATATGAATATAACAAACACAGATTAATTACCTTTGGCCTGAGCTCTCTTAACTCTGTTACATATATGGGGACTATTTCTGGGCCTGAGGTTGGTATAAAGAGAACTGTGTTTGCATCGTCATTGTCACTATCCAGTTGGTGGATGAGGAATTTGCTACTCCAAGTCTCTGTGTCCCTATGAATAAAATGAAGATAATTCCATAATCCCATAGTTCTCAGAGGTTTTGTTCATTCCTTTTCCTTCTTTTTTCTCTAATCATGTCTGCCTGCCTTATTTCAGCAAGATAAAATATGGTACATATACACCATGGAATACTATGCGGCCATAAAAAGGAGTGAAATCATGTCCTTTACAGGGACATGGATGGAGCTGGAAGCCATTATCCTCAGCAAACTAACACAGGAACAGAAAACCAAATACGACATGTTCTCATTTATAAGTGGGAGCTGAACAATGAGAACACATGGACACAGGGAGAGGAACAACACACACTGGGGCCTGTCAGAGGGTGGAGTGGGGTGGAGGGAGGGAGAGCATTAGAAAAAATAGCTAATGCATGCTGGGCTTAATACCTATGTGATGAGTTTATAGGTGCAGCAAACCACATGCCACAAGTTGTTACCTATGAAACAAACCTGCAAGTCCTGCACATGTATCCCACAACTTAAAATAAAAATTAAAACTAGAAAAATGAGGGTGATAATAACATTGAAGTTAAAATCATGCTATCTTAATTCCAAAGATGGGCATGATTTTAAAAAATTAAGTTGGATCCCTACCTTATTCCATATGCGAAAATTAACTCAAAATTGATCAAAGAAAAAAATGTAGGAGCTAAAACAAAAAGTCTTAAAGGGGAAAAGTTTAATGACATTAAATTTTGCAATTATCTCTTGGATAGGGCACCCAAAGCACAGGCAACAAAAGGAAAAAATAAATAAAGCAGACTTAATCAAAATTCAAAACTATAACACTATCATCAGAGTAAAAAGCAACTCACAGAATGACAGAATATATTTGCAAGTCATATCTGATAAGGGATTAATATCCAAAATATACAAATAACTCCTATAGTTTGACAACAAAAAACAACCAGATTCAAAAGTGAGCAAATGTATTAAGACAATTCTTCAAAGATATAAAGATAGTCAATAAGCATATAGAAAGACACTGAATCTCACTAATCATTATGAGAATGCAAATCACACCACAATCAGATGCCACTTTGTACTCATTAGAATGGTTATTATTTAAAAAAGAAGAAGAAAATAACAGATGTTGATGAGCATGTGGAGAAACTGAAACCCTGTGCATTGCTGGTGGAAATGTAAAAATAATACAAACACAGTAAAAAATAGTTAGGTGATTCCTCAAAATTGAAAATAGAACTACCATATGATCCAGCAATTTCACTTCCAGGCACATACCCAAAGGAACTGAAAGCAAAGATGAAAACAGATACTTGCACACCAAGGTTTATTGTAGCATTATTCATAATAGGCAAAAAGTGGACCATTGGTGAGTAAATGAGTAAGCAAAATGTGGTATGTACATGTAGTGGAATACTATTCATCCTTAAAAAGGAATGAAATTCTGATACATGTTACAACATGGATGAAACTTGAGGACATCATGCTAAATGAAATTGGTCACAAAAAATACTGTATGATTCCACTCATAGGAGGTACTTAGAGTAATTAAATTCATAGAGAAGAAAAGCAAAATAGTGGCTGCCAGGGGCCAATGGCGAGAGCAAAATAGGGAATTATTGTTTAAATAATAAATAAACTACAGAGTTTCAGTTTGGGAAAACGAAAAACTTCTGGAGATGGATGGTGGTGATGTTTGCACAACAATGTGAATGTAATTAATGCCACGGTATACTTAATAATGGTTAAAATGGTAAGTTTTATGTTTTGCATACTTTATTACAATATTTTAAAATATGGACATGAAATTTGTAAATGTTAAAAAAAAAGGGAAACAATTTATCTGCCCCTCACAGGAGTGTAAATATAGTGAGTCAAGGTAACATGTTACATAGAAGATACATCATTAATCCCAGGCTCAAACATTTATTTCCCCATATCTGGATGGTGACTAAGCTTTCTCCAAACTTAAAACAAATTCTGGATTCAGTCTTGTTTTCAATATCATAAATATCTGTCCTCTTCCTTTTATGGTCCGAAAAAGAATTACTGTGGCCCATATATGTTTAGATTTGAAGTCCCTAGTAGAAGGCATTAATTAATATATGAGGCACTGAAACAGAGGCAGGCACCCAGGACACATCCATCCCAAAAGATTATGCCATTTTACCACACCAATACCTGTTTTATTTTACTGAAGAGTATAACAAATCATGGAAGGTGTGAAATCTTGTAGATGTTCAGGCTATGACATCTTTTGGGGCTAATCAATTTCCAATACCTCATATCTACCATGATAAAGGCTCCTTTCCTGCTTTTCTGCCTATATCCTTTGGTGGCTGAACCTAGTTAGAGAATGATAGAGGAGAGGATTGTGCGGTTTCCAAATAGGAACAGTTCTACATCGGGCAACTGCTAGGTGATGATGGTGCCCCAGGAGGCTTCACAGGATGCTGCAGCCTTTAAAAGAAATGACAAACCTTGGTGAGGCCAGGGGAGTTTTGGGAGAGGTGGTGGAGTCAGGCTGAGGACCTGGTATTTGGATACTGTTTCCTCCAGTAAAGGGGCTGGTGATAGAACTGGAAATGGTGAAACAAGCATTCAAGTGGGCAATCGGATCCTGAGTTAGGTGATGATAGAGAGGGAACTACAGCTGAATATTCAATTCAGATGTGCAGGTCTGGTTGGCTTTTGCTAAGAAAAAGTAAGGAACCAGTTAGGTGGATAGTTAGAGCAAGGTCCCCAGTAGAAGTCTTTCCAACAAAAGAGCAGCCTGAAAACTCAAGTTGCTAGCATAGATAAGGAAGCCAGGTCCAACATAAAACATCTTTGTCTTTTGTAACTGGCAAGTCTCATATACATACAGTGGGCTTCAGTGAGTACATTCTTTTTCTGTTTTGGATGTACTGAGATAAAATAACTTACACAGGGTGCTTGCCTAAGACATGTTTGCAGCTGCACAGATAAGAAGCATTACACAGAACCAGACATGTCTGCAAGGGAAAATTCCATCTCCCAAAACATGCTCAGTAAGGGAAATAAAACAAAATAAAACATGATCAGTAAGGGAAATAAAACAAAATAAAACAAATAAAAAAATAGACTCAGGCTAACGGCCTGTATGCACACTGGAGGAACAAAGTGGAGCTGCCAAAAATGTATGCCTTATGCAAGTAAGACACCCAGTCTTAACTATTTTTGTGTGTGTGTGCCTTATACCAATGAAGCATCCTGCCTCACTAGCTTGTTCATAAAAGCCTTTGTATTCAACTGTAAAATGACAATCCTCTTTCGGGCTGTCTCTCCACAGTGGAGAGCTTTCTTCTTTCACTCATTAAACTTTTGCTCCACCCTCGCCCTTGGTGTCTGCACTCCTTAATTTTCTTGGTCATGAGACAAAGAACTTTGGGTAATACCTCAGACAATGGGACTGCTACATCTGGGACCATTGGAGAGGTGAGTAAGAGCAGACCTCCAACACTTTGCTTTAATTTTTGAGGCTTCTTGTCCTCAGTTTTCTTTCTCTAGATCAAACAATACACTGGGTCCCTGTCAGTCCAAAAGTGGGAACCACAGCTGCCAGCCTTACAAGAGTCAGGAGACAAGCTTGCTGGAGAGGAGTTTGTCAATCCCCCACTGCCCTCAGGTGTTGGAAATGTTAGCTCTGTTATGATCTAGTTTCCTATCATGGTGGACCTAGCCATCATATGGGACTGGAAGGAGGTCCTGGTGCAACTGAAGGTTTCTGGCTGAGGCTAGAAACCTTCAGTGTTACCTGAAGTACCCTGGACTAACTTTGGCTATTGACCACCTGTCAAGGGGTCAGCACCAGGACTCCCAGTCTTTCATATTTCCTTATTTTCTTTCCCCTGTGGCAATCATGTCTCTTATCCCTTTGTTGTATACCATGTTGTGGGTATTTTTACAACATGGGGATATAATCTTGTTGGGAAAAGTCAGAAACTTCTTTAGTAATCAGGAATGTAACTCAAAGAATTGCTGTTTTTGTTGTATGCCATGTTGTGGGTATTTTTACAACCTGGGGATATAATCTTGTTGGGTAAAGTCAGAAACTGCTTTAGTAATCAGGAATGTAACTCAAAGAATTGCTGTTTTTGTAATTTCCTAGAAACATGAGGACTTCAAGAATTCAGTTTAAATTTTCACCAAGTAAGAGCCTTTTTGTCCCCCCAGTGAGAGACTTTCATGGCACTATATAGGGGGATATTTTACCCCAAGTAGAAGTGAATACCTTCTGCTCCATTTGTTGTTGTTGTTGTTGTTTCATGTAAAAGCTCAGCACTGCTCAATGAATCTGAACAGTTCATCATGAGACAAGTTAATTTTCTTCTCTCAGGTGGGATACTATGATAGCCTATTAAGCCCCAAACCTCCCACCCTTTCTTTCTTTCTTTCTTTCTTTCTTTCTTTCTTTCTTTCTTTCTTTCTTTCTTTCTTTTCTTTCTTTTTTTCTTTCTCTCTTTCTCTCTTTCTTTTTTTTTTTTTAATGGAGACAGAGTCTCACTCTGTTCCCCAGGCTGGAGTGCAGTGGCATGATCTTAGCTTACTGCAACCTCCACTTCCAGGGATCAAGCAGTTCTCAAGCCTCAGCCCCCCGAGTAGCTGGGACTACAGGTTCCCACCACCATGCCCAGCTAATTTTTTGTATTTTAGTAGAGACAGGGTTTCACCATGTGGCTCAGGGTGGTCTTGAACTCCTAAGCTCAGGCAACCTGCCTGCCTTGGCCTCTCAAAGTGTTAGGATTAAAGGTGTTATCCACTACACCCAATCCCTGAAACCTCTCTTTCTAACCTCTGCATGGAAAGAATTTGGAGCCATGATTTTTACCTAATGCTTAAGGTCCTACTACTCCACCTAGTGAAATGGGATTTTTCTCTGTGGTGGGCCCTATAAACCTTTTGCCATAACCTCTAATTCCCCAATTTCTTTCCCTCCTACATCCCTCTATCAGCAATCAGGACCTATCCCCTATTTGTAGACAGAAGAACTCCATTTTCAACAGCCAGAAGAAGCCATCCTGGCAAGACAGATTCTAGTCTCAGTACTGTCCTTGCCAAAGGGAGGACAGCCATTCGACCCATATGTTATTTTGAGACATTTGTTCTGCATCCAGCTACGTTGGTATTTAAAGAAAAAGCGTTTTATGTTTAGAAGTCAATCGGTCCCACTATCTGGAAATCCAATGCTTTGCCAGGGCCATAGCTAGAGAAGGCAAGGATAGAATTAATATACCCCCCAATTAAATGGCTTGCCCAAATCCAAGTTCTGTACAATCTCTCCTGGGCTCCTGTGGTATCTTGGGAGCCTTTTGGATCAATTGGTCTAGCAGACCAATAGGGAATCCCCAGTTGAGAGCAAGAGCATCGCACAGGTATTGAGGACTAGGTAAGCATGACTACTGCCAACTAGCTCCTCTGGATCCATGGGTGAAGGTCATGCTTGCATCCATGGACAGCACCTATGGCAGTTGCTGGGACCCAGAGAATACAGAGAGGGAAGGAGGAAAAGGGGGATGCCCTTTCTATTTTCTCTCCACCTTGGGTCGCTCCAAGAGGAGGAAGGAGACAAAGGGATGCTTTTTCTCCCTTCTCTTTCTAGATGGGTAACAAATCATTTTCAGTCTGCACTCCTCTCAAGTGCATTCTGAAAAACTGGAACTCCTTTGACCCTCACATTCTGAAGAAAAAGCACATCATATTCTTTTACACTTAGGCATGGCTGACTTACCAACTGCAGGATGGGGAGGACTGGCCTCCTCAGAGAAGTGTTAATTTCAATACTCTATGACAACTAGATATTTTCTGCAGACAGGTCAAATGGTCCGAGGTTCCTTATGTGCAAGGCTTCATTGCCCTGGGAGATAATCCAGATCTTTGCCAACATTGTAAAATTGGCCTGGCCCTCTTAGCTGTTATATAGGGCAAACCTGCAGTAGACAATTCCCCAAAATCAGAGAAACAACCCCCTGGGGAAGGCTCACATTAAGCTCTCTGATTCTCCAGCCCTTCCTGTCCTCTCTGTCCAGGACCCTCTTTGGCCACATCACCAGTTCCTCCAGTTTTACAACCCCCAAAATCTTTGACTTCACTATTACCCCTAAAGGAAATACTGATGGCCTGGTGCCACTGGGGTCCAGGTTACTTTTTCCTTGCAGGATCTTAGACAGATAACAGGGGACCTAGGCAACTTCTCTGATGACCCCAATCAATATATAGAGGCTTTCCAAAACCTGAACCAAGTGTTTTACCTTACATGGAGAGATGTTATGTTGCTCCTAAATGAGACCCTAAGTGCTGCTGAAAATCAAGCAGCTCTGCAGGCAGCAGAAAAATTCGAGGATGATCAATATGTCTCCTATAACCAATCAAGAAGAAAATAAAATGAGAATGAACCATAATTCCAATACCCTATAGGAAGAGAGGCAGTGCCCCTTGTAAGCCCTAGTTGGGACCCCAGTGATCCCTTAGATGAATGGAAATGAAAACATTTTTAAATGTGCATATTAGAGAGCTTATGGAGGACCAAAGTCAGATCATTCAATTACTCTATGCTTTTCATGATAAATCAAAAACTAGACTCAAATTCCTCCACCATTTTGGAAAGTCTAAGAGACTTAGTAAAACATACCTCTGTATCTCCTGACTCAATTGAGGGACAGCTAATTTTAAAGGACAAGTTTATTCTCCAGGCAGCCCCTGTTATTAGAAGGAAGATACAGAAAGAGGGCATAGGTCCAGATAGCACCTTAGGAAACCTCAGCCTTTTACAATAGGGAACAGAAAAAGAAAAGAAAACACAAGAAAAGGGCAGTGGCTCTGGTGGCCACGTTGCAGGTCAATAAAATCCACAGTCTTTGAGATGTACCTGCTAACTGCTACCATTGCAGCAAGCCAAGACAATTTAAAAAGGACAGCCAAGGCACCAAAAGAAAGTTACCTTGACCCCGTCCTGCCTGTGCTGGTGACCACTGGATGGCAGACTGCCCCCAGAGGCACAGGCCCAATGGGTCCAATACCAGTCTCCCACATGGTCCAGCAGGACTGACGGGTCCCAGGGCTCAATTCCCTGGCTCCAATGGCTCAGACTGCCATCACTATGCAGGAGCCTGGGTGATTCTGGAGTTTGAAGGAAGGAAAATAGACTTCCTTCTGGACACTGGATCTGGTCTCTCTGTACTCCTCCAATCTAGGCTTTCTCTCCTTATGCAGTACAACTATCATGGATGTCTCAGGAAAGACTTTAACCCAATGTTTCCCTCAATCCCTTAGTTGTAGCTGTGGAGACCTACTGTTTACTCATCTTTTTAATCATTCCTGAAAGTCCTACTCATTTACTAGGTGGAGATATTCTAGCCCATATGGAAGCCATCATCCTTACAGATCCAAAGCAAACCCTTTGCCTCCCCTTAGTGGAAACCAACATTAATCCAGAGGTTTGGACAACCCAAGGAAGAACTGGCCGAGCTATAAGTGTTGCACCTGTCCAAATCCACATTAAGGATCCTATCTTCTTCCCTAACCAGAAGAAATATCCCCTAAAACCAGAATCTAGAAAAGGGCTAGAAGCTATTATTAACAACTTAAGAACACAAGACCTCTTTAGACCATGCAACAGCCCCTGTAACACCCCAATATTAGGGGTGCAAGAACCCAGTGGGGACTGGAGACTAGTTGAAGACCTCTGCCTCACTAATGAAGCTGTGGTTTCAATTCATCCAATAGTTCCTAATCCCTATACCCTGCTAACTGAAATACCTGAGGGAACAAAATGGTTCACCATTTTGGACATGAAGGATGCCTTTTCCTGTATACCACTGCACCCTGACTCCCAATATTTGTTTGTATTTGAAGATACCTCCAATCAGACCATCCAGTTAACCTGGACAGTACTGCTTCAGGGCTTCTGAGACAGCTACCACCTGTTCACACAGGCCCTGTCAAAAAATCGATTTGATGTCTCTCACCCTCAGGTTGAAATTTTACAATATGTAGATGACATCCTCCTCTGTGCCCTAACTGAGAAAGCCTCTTGGGAAGGCACTAAGGCTCTTCTTAATTTCCTACCTAACAGAAGATATAAGATTTCAAAGTTTAAGGCTCAGCTCTGTCAGACTTCATTAAAGTACCTAGGTCTAGTCTTTTTCAGTAGGGACCAGAGCATTAGGTGAGGAGAAGATTAAGCCCATTTCCCCCTTCCCCTTCCCCAAATCCTCAAAGAGCTAAGAGTATTATTGGGCATTAAAAGTTTCTGCAGGTTATGGATACCTGGGTATGATGAGATAGCACTTCCCTTATATCACCTTATAAAAGATAGTTGGGCAGCTAAAACTTACTTCTTGATCTGGAAACTTGAGGTTCCAAAAGCCTTTAACCAGCTAAAACAAGCCTTACTTAAAGTACCAGCCCTCAGTCTTCCCATAGGGAAGCTATTTATTCTTTATGTCTTGGAAAGGAAAAAAAAACAGCCTTGGGAGTTTTAACCCAGGCTTGAGATACAACTCAACAGCCAGTTGGTTACCTAAGAAAGGAATTCAACTTGGTGGCTAAAGGATGGCCAGCTTTCCTCCAAACAGTTGCAACAGTAGACTTGATGGAGCCAGAAGCCACTAATTTAACCACGGAGAATGATTTAACTGGATATACACCACATAATGTGGTAGGACTGTTATCCTCTAAGGGAAGTCTCTGGCTAACAGATAATTGCCTCCTCAAATATCAAGGTTGGGTGTTAGAAGGATCTGTAGTTCAGTTAAAACCCTGTCCCTGCCTGAACCCAGCCACTTTCTTCCAGGAGAAAGCTGGAGAACCTGAATATAACTGTGAACAGGTAGTGGTGTAAACCTATGCAGCCAGGGAGGACCTCAAACTCCCCTGGAAATCCCAGACTGGACTTTCTTTACCAATGGGAGCTCTTTTGTACAACAGGAAATCCATGAAGCAGGATATGCAGTAGTCACCATAAATAACATTATTGAGAGTGCACCTCAGCTCAACTAGCTGAGCTAATCACTTGAGAAGCACTTGAATTGAGCAAGGGAAAAGTAGCCAACATTTATATGGATTCCAAGTATGCCTTCCTATTTCTCCATGCCTATGCCTCTATCTGGAAGGAAAGACACTTCCTAACAGCTAATGGGTCTCCCATCAAATATCATCAGAAAATCAACAGGCTACTATTCTCTGTTTTCCTCCCACAGGAAGTGGCAGTAATACATTGCAGGGGGTATCCAAGGGGGATAGAAGCAGACCAGATGGCTAAGTCAGCCACAAGAACGCCCCAAAGTCCCAATACATTTTAAGCCCCTCTAATCTGGGAGGGCTCCATAAGAAAAATAAAGCCTTAGTACTCCCCTGCAGAATGGACCACCTCTTGAGGATACATTTTTCAGCCCTCGGGATGGTTACAATCAGAGGACAGCAAACCACTTTCAAGCCTCCTGTTAATGGAAGATTCTTAAGCTCCTTCACCAAGCCTTTCACCTAGGAAAGGATAAGACTTCAATGCACCAAGAAATTGTTCTCAAAGGAAAATCTACTAAAAATGTCAAACAGGTTGTCAATGAGTATGAAATCTGTCTTAAGAATAATCCCTTTAACAGGCAGCTCCTCCTCCCATGAGCTCAAAGATAGGAAGTTATACAATGGAAGACTGGCAAATGGACTTCACTCATATGCCAAAAGTAAAAGGCATCCAATATCTTTTAGTATGAGTAGATACCTTCACTAACTGGGTAGAGGCATTTCCATGCCAGACAGAAAAGACCTCTGGGGTAATAAAAGTAATAATTAATGAAATAATTCCTTGTTTTGGATTCCCCAATTATGTCCAATGTGACAATGGCCTCTCATTTAAAGTGGCTATTACACAGGGGGTCTCAAAAGTGCTAGGCATACAGAACCAACTTCATTGTACCTGGAAACCACAATCCTCAGGAAAGGCAGAGAAAACAAATGATATTATCAAAAGACACCTCAGAAAATGTTCCAAAGTAACTCACCTGCCTTGGGTTACCCTTCTTCCTATAGCTTCACTAAGGATAAGGAACACCTGTTCAAAGTTAGTTTTAAGCCCATTAGAAATTATGTATGGGTGGCCTTTCCTCACCAATAACCTTTTATTAGACCAAGAAACTTCTGAGTTAGTTAAACATGTAACTTGCTGGCTCACTTCCAACAAGAATTAACACAGCCAACAAAAGCTCAACCCCAGAAAATAGGACCACCTTTATTTAATCCAGAAGACTTAGTACTGGTGAATGCTCTCCCCTCACTTTCTCCATCTCTAGGCCCCAATTGGGAGGGACTTTACACTGTTCTCCTCTCCACCCCCTCAGTGGTAAAATTGCAGGAATCAACTCCTGGATTAATCACACTTAAGTCAAAGCTTGGAAAGCAGAGGGAGCAACCCCTAACAGCCCAGAAAAGCAACCCAGATATCAATGTGGAAAAAGTCGGGGGCCTTAAACTGAAAATTACAAAAGATAAGTAGATGAATGAGGACAACTTGTCCAGCTCAATCCCACATTTACCCAACCAAACTCTATCATCTATTTCCATGTTTCTGTTAAAAATCTGCCATCAAGAATTACAACTTCTTTTTGATGCATATTTACAGAGAGACTTTGATTATCCATGGGACCAAGTTTGTAACTTCGTAGACCCACAGAGGGAAATCTAAAACTTTAATGGATAAAACCTCAGATGGAAGTCATTCACTGTACCATACTTACAGGTATTGTTTTGTTCATTCTACTTATTGCAGTAGGGTTATCCACTGTGTAGCACCTTCTGAGTGGAGTACCAGACAACGAACCTTAATTGCTCTAATATTTTGCTTAGGTATTTTCCTCATAGCAGGGATAGTAGTTGCCAATAAAAGACAAACATGAAGATTTTGTCACTGAAGTACTTTTTCCCCTTCCTAATAAGATGGTTTGGTCCACTATGCACCATTATACAACAGCTACAACACTTGGCCTCAGAAACCAACTTAACCTCTTGCTACATTTGAACTTTGGAATCACTATTGGCTGAAGTACTACCATTATCATTAGATGATTTAGCCAAAGTTCATACCAGGGTCACCATAACCATCCAATTAGAAGTAACATATCCCAATCCAACTACAGAAAAGCTACTTCTTACAGTACTATCACAAGTCATAAGGGATGTCCCAACCTAAATTTTATATGAACCCCAAACCCTGTGAGGGTTTTTCACAATGTAACTTCAAGAAGCCAGTTCCCTCTCCGCTTCACATATCAGTGGAAAAAAGGAATTTTCTTGGAAACTTTATCCAACTTTTCATATGAAGTTTTTCTTAGACACCTCAAGAAATACCTTGTAATTCCTCAGAAAAAAAATCAATTTATACCTCAAACCAGAAAAACACCACCAATTCCTTCTCATTAAATATCCAAACCCAAGAAGACCTCAGTATACCAGCAATGAGACCACTTTAAATATTTCCACAGGCTGCTCCACAATATTAATAAATAACTCATCTTTGCCCTTAGCTCAAATGTTGGCTAGGGGTTACAAAAGATGTTTTTAAAATTTTACCCTGACTCAGCTTTTCATTCCAACCTCCAGGCACAACTGGCTGCAGATGGGTCTCTTATATGGGAAAGACTCACTGGAACCTCTGGGAGCTCACAAAATCCCCCTTTGGAACTAGCCTCTTCAGGGTATGAGGTATCTTTAGACCCCAAACAAGGGCAATACTTCATATGTGGAGACTCAGGATATATGAGTCTTTGAAGCCAATGGAAGGGAACTTGTGGCATTGTTGCAATACTTCCAGAATTGTCTTATGTCAATGCCATTGCAGCATTCCTGTTTCTTATAAAACATATCTATGCCATGATAAAGACAGCAAACCCCACAGTATTTCTTCCTTTAGCTGCTGTTGTGTCTGAACTTCTGGGGACCACTCTTGGGTCCACCTCTCTTCATCTATCCTCCCAACAAACTCAGGTCCTAGCTGAAATAATGGCTGCCATTCACAAACTACAACAACAATTAGATTCACTTGCAGGTGTTACCTTACAAAATTGTAGAGGATTAGATCTCCTTACAGCAAATCAAGGAGGAATATGTGTTTTTCTCAAAGAAGAACATTGTTTTTGCATTAACTCCTCTGGCAGGGTACAGCAACATCTAGTACAAGCAACCAATATTATAACTCATCTACAGAAATCCAACCCATCAGAATGGCTGGCAGCTACCAAACAAACCTTACTGTCATGGCTATGGCCAACAATACCTCCATTAATAGCGATGATCTTAATACTCATATTCAGGCCCTATGTTCTAAATCTTCTTACAAAACTTACGTCTTCCTGCCTAGAGACTATGAAACTCCAGATGCTTCTACAAATGAAGCCCAAAATGGAGACACCTTTCATCCAAAGACTCTTCAATCGATCCCAGGAGGAACCCTGGCTACTTTCCCTGCACAACATCCCTCTCCAACAGGAAGTAGCCAGAAAGATTGTCACCCAACCTCCCTAACAGCAGTCTAGGTCTCCACTCATGAAGGGGGAAATAAGAGGGGAGAAAGTAAGAAACCAGTTAGGCAGATGTTTAGAGCAAAGTGCTTGACATAATTCTTTCTAATGAAAGAGCAGCCTGACAACTCAAGCTGCAAGCATAGATAAGGAAGCAAGGTCCAACATAAAGCATTTTTGTCTATTGTAATCAGCACATCTCACATACACGCAGTGGGCTTCAGTGAGTACATCTCTTTCCTTTTATGGACATGCTCAGATAAAAGAACTTACACATGGGGCTTGCCTAAGACATGCCTGCAGCTGCACAGATAAGAAGACTTACACAGAACCAGACACGTGCACAGTGAAAATTTTCCTCTTCCAATACACGTGCAGTAAGGGAAAGAAAACAATATGGAGTGACTCAGGCCAAGGGCCCACATGTGCACTAGAGGCATGGGGTGGAGCTGCCAAAAATGTATGCCTTATCCAAATAAGAAACCCAGCCCTAACTGTTTTTTTGCACCTTATGCTAATAAAACACCCCACCTGACTAGCCTGTTCATAAAAAGCCTGTGTATTCTACTGTGAAACAGCAACTCTCTTTCAGGCCTCCTCTCCTCAGTAGAGAGCTTTCTTCTTCCACTCATTAAACTTTTGTCCCAACCTCACCCTTGATGGCCATGCTCCTTAATTTTCTTGGTTGTGAGACAAAGAGCTGCAGGTAATACCTCAGACAATGAGACTGCTACATTGCCATGGCATTCCAGAAATTTCTGTGAAATGACAAGCCAGGCGCAGTGGCTCACGCCTGTAATCCCAGCACTTTGAGAGGCCGAGGCAGGCAGATGACGAGGTCAGGAGATCGAGACCATCCTAGCTAACACCGTGAAACCCCATCTCTACTAAAAATACAAAAAATTAGCCAGGCGTGATGGCAGGCACCTGTACTTCCAGCTACTCAGGAGGCTGAGGCAGAAGAATGGCATGAACCCGGGAAGCAGGGTTGAAGTGAGCTGAGATGGTGCCATTGCACTCCAGCCTGGGCAACAGAGCAAGACTCTGTCTCAGAAAGAAAGTTCTGTGAAATGACAGTGAATAGTGGGTGAAAAATCTGGAAAATGAAAACATCTCAAAATGGGAAACTGAGTTTTCAAGACAGATGACTATAAATTTCTGAAATTATAAAAAGAATGAATGAATATCAAGAATACTACACCAATATATGGTTACTACTTAGAAAAAAATATAGTTATCTTCAATCCTGGGCCTTACTAAGATAACCACATTAACTTTTAAACATTATCTTATAGTGCATGTGTATTTGAGGGTTTCTTTACTTTGTAGGTGCTTCACTTCACCTCTCTTGGTTTAGAGATCCAAACGTGTTGGGTGAAGGAGTAATTCAGCTCAGTGGACTTCAATGGCACATGGTCCATTTTCTATCTGCTCTAAAATATACTGTATTAATAGAAAAGTGAAGTATAGTGAAGCCAACAGATCAGGAGATAATTACCATTGAAAAGATAGTTTGTTACCCAGTTCCCATGAGGAGAGGCACCACACTCCATGCAGGGACCTGCAGGGCAATACCAGGGTGAGTTAGGAGGCAGAGGGAGAGAAGGCCCACATGGGTACAGCCTTTGCTGTGGTTTCTGCAGGAACAATTAGGCAATGCCAATGAAGCAGGCTTAGGATAGGCTAGTTTGAATCATTTCCAGACTCTGGAGCAAAGGAGCTGTCCCTAGTTGTGTGGTACTTGGTCCTGGAGTGAACAGGGCAGGTGGACAGTAGCCCTGACTGTGAGAGCCCCACAGTGGAGGTGCCTAAAAGTGTGGGTTTGGATTGACAGATTTGTATTTGAAAGTGTGTTCCTGGGCAAGCTGTTATCTATCTTTAGGAATTAGCTATCCTTAAGGGTCAGCAAGGCCGCAGAAGTCAAGGTAACAGATCATAAAAAATAAAATACATACTTAATACACATCTGATCTTGTCAGAGGTATTCAAATTAGAGAGATCCCATATTGAAAAGGGGCTGGGTAAAATTATGCTGAGGCCTACTGGGCTGCATTCCCAGGAAGTTTGACATTCTTAGCCACAGGATGAGATAGAAGGCTAGAAGACTGGCACAAATTAGAGGTCATAAAGACCCCACTGATAAAACAAGATGCAGTACAGAAGTTGCTAACGCTCTCTGAAGCCAAGATGGTGACAAAAGTGACTTCTGGTCTTCCTCACTGCTCATTATATGCTAATTATAATACATTAGCATGCTAAGAGACACTCCCAGCAGTGCCATGACAATTTACAAATGCCATGGTAATGCCCAGAAGTTAACCTATATGGTCTAAAAGGAAGAGATGCCCTCCACTCTGGGAATTCCCTACCTTTTTCCCAGAAACTGCCTATTTCCTCATGAATAATTCATGCTTCTTTTAGCATATGAGCAAGAAATAAGCCTTAAAATAGCCAGCCCAAAGCCCTCAAGGCTGCTCTGCCTATAGAGTAGCCATTCTGTTCTTTCTTTACTTCTCTAATAAACTTGCTTTCAACTTATTCTGTGGAGTTGCCCCAAATTCTTTCTTACATAAGATCCTAGAACCTTCTCTTGGGGTCTGGATTAGGACTCCTTTCCAGTAACAATCGGAGAGCAGACATACTGTTAAATTAAATTTATCCTAACGCCGTCTTTTTACACATTTGAAGTTCAGGCTAAAGGTTTCTCCATACATGGTTACACCTAACTAGATATATAAATAGACTAGAATCTACTATCTTAAAAAATAGCCAAGTCACAATCACAGTGGCTGCATTGCATCCACTCACAGTTGGCCAATTTTTCAAACCATGCTCAAATAAGGCAAATTCCAAGCTGTCACTAGTCCAGCTGTTTCTGTACCTCACTTCCATTTTCTATACGTCACTTTCCTTTTTCTGTCCATAAATGTTATCTGATCACTTGGCAGCCCTGGAGACTCTCTGAACCTATTCTAGTTCTAGGAGCTGCCCAATTTGATAATAGTTCTTTATTCAATTAAACTCTGTTAAATTTAATGTATTCAAAGTTTTTCTTTTAACATGCAAACTGAGGACTTTTGCCAGGCCAAGAAGGCAAGATCAATACAATCTATGCTGACTCTCATGGCTGCAAATCAACCCTCTCCCATAGAGCATGCTAATTCGGATTTTATTATAAAAGCTCAATTTTGTTTCTTTAACTTTTCTCTATGGGTGTGGAGCACAAGAGTGCATACACACACTTTTATTTGTTTATTTTTTGCCCCACCAACCTCTTCATTAAAGCCATTCTAACCAGTTTTTGGCCACATGTTTTGTAAATCTTGTCTAACACATTACTTTGGAAATTGATATCTTTATATTTCAGCCAGAAGTTCCATTTTAACATCTTATTACACTCATTCTAGGGCAATTTTTGCCTTTTCATAAAGTATCAAGAATAATATTTGGCTACAATTCCCATATCTGCAAAGATCAAGCAAACTTCTCTGTAAGTTAGTAACTATTATTATTATTACTGCTACTACGACTAGTCTAGGAGTTTCTAATGGTCCTAAAGGAAACCAAAACTATTTAACCCCAAAATATACTTCTTTGACATATTTTGAGATGGCTGTTCAGAGGTCCTGCAGATAAAAGTAGCCTTGCAAAGCTGTCTTTTGTGGGGGAAATTTCCTCAGTAGAGGAAATAAAGTGAAATAAACAATGGATGCAAGTAGGCTTTCTCTGGAGGCCCCTGTGTCTGGATCTAGAAAAGATTAACTGAGAGTCTGATACCCTTAATGGTCTGATGAAAACCATTACCACTGATTACCATCTACTCTCTCTGAGGGCTGCTACCTGGGGTTTCATCTGCGTGAAGTTTCCAACTGCTTTTGCCCTACACTTTTCCTTTATTCCCTTTCCCATAACCTGTCTTGCCCTATTCCAAGCCCCTCTTCTTTCTGTAACCTCAGGATGGATGAAACTTGTACCATCTGGTCCTTTCTTTGAGTTTTCTTATTTTTTATGACTTCCATTTACACATGTGCATGTAATATATTTGCATGCCATTTTTCCTATTAATTTGTCTATTATCAGTTTGTTTTATATATTCAAATTATCCAGACTTCAACGGGAAAATTTAAACTTTCCTACAGTCCCAACACACTTCTGTGAGCACTTTTAAAGCTCCTGGGATGAAACTACCTTTGCCAAAATTAGAACAGTGAGAAAATTATGACAGTGAAAGAGATCTGATCTAGCAAAACTGTCTTGCCTTTAACCTCTTAACTACCCTTAATCATTCCTGGGTTTAGGCCAAGATAACTTTGGGAGACATTTAGTTTATAGTTTAAATAATAATAATAGTCCTTCCCCAAAACTAAACTGACTTTGTAAAGCTAGTGAAAAACCATCAGGTTAGATGGATGAGAAGCCTGAATTCTGCCAAGGTATAGACTTAAAAACAATTACCAGCCATTATTCCGGATGTCACAAGATATGAAATTTCACTAATTACTCCTGCAGATAACATCATTATTATGGAACTGAAGATTAGCCTTTGAGATGTCTTTTCAGGTTTTTGCATTTCTAATGATGATGGCTCCACCTGGACCCACCAGCCATCCTGTGGCCCCACCCAGAAGAGAACCACTATCCACACCCCCATTCCCTTGCCCGCCAAACTATTCTGGAAAAACCCTAGCCCCCAAGTTTTGGGGGAGTTGATTTGAGTAATAACTTTGTCTTCCAGGTGGCATGGCTGGCCTCATGTCAATTAAACTCTTTATCGAAGTGCTGTGGTCTTAGTCAATTGGAGTTGTTTGTGCAACAGGCAGTAAGAACTCGTGGGGTGTTTACAGGGAGAGTACCAATTAACACAATAGTTACAATGAACACTCAAGATGTGAGATATAATAATAAATATTTTATTTGTGCTTCTCTGCCTTCCCCTGCGAGTCACCATTGTGAGTCTCTTTATGTCTTTGAATTTTCTGTTTTTCTACTTTTTACTGTATTTTTCTTGATTTATAAAGATAATACATGCTCTTTAAACAAAACTCAAATATTATATAACTAAGAAAAATAAATGTTTCAATAATTTTATCTTTTAAGTTAATGATATTGATGCAAATTATTTCACATTTTTCTTTTACATACTTCTCCCATTAAGAATTAGCTATTTTATTATTATTAGCTCCTTTATATTAAATAATGGAATCACTGAATATCTAGAAATCAACAAATCCTTTCTAGATACCATGGTTAAGCATAGCTTGGCTTGGTAAGCAAAACACATATTCTGAATACTTAAAACCAAAATCTTTGGGATGTTTTTTCTCTTGGCTCATGTGCAATTCCATAACACTGACGCATAACATTCCATTAAGTTAGATGCCAGTGGGAAAGTCTCACGTGACTATGCTGCATGTTCAGTCTCTAGACACACTCTGTCCATGTCTGCAGCTGAGCCTTTCCCTTAAGCATTTTTCTGACCCTGGACACATCTGGACTCCTGCCGTGGTGTGAGCACCTCACAGGCCCTGCCCTTGTTCAGTCTGTGTCTGTTTCTCTAACTCCAGGCACAGTGCCTGGGCTAAACTGAATAGATTCTCAAGAATTCTTGTGAAGCACAGTAATAGGTACATTTTACAAGGAAAACCAAGAAGAAATGCAGGTTGATATATATCATAAGCCAAAATTCGGGTGTGCAGATTGGATCCAAGAAGTGTGTGAGTCAAATGGACTACGACAACTGGCTTCACTCCAGCAGCTTGATTAGAGCCCTGGGCAAAGAAGTGTCTGGTACTCTCTGCCACACCACACACCTTGGCATGCTTAGGTTCCAGGGCACCGTGGGTAATCCTTGGCACTATTTTTTTTTTTTGAGATGGAGTCTCGCTCTGTCGCCCAGGCTGGAGTGGAGTGGTGCAATCTCAGCTCACTGCAAGCTCTGCCTCCCGGGTTCATGCCATTATCCTGCCTCAGCCTCCAGAGTAGCTGGGACTACAGGCGCTGGCCACCACGCCGGGCTAATTTTTTGTGTTTTTAGTAGAGATGGGTTTCACCGTGTTAGCCCTTGGCACTATTTTTATATGGTACAGCCATAAAATGGAATGAGTTTGTAAAAGTGAGACCCTATGATGAAGAGTTTGTGACTGTCAAAGCTGTGGACAATGTTAGGGTTAAAGGGAGAGCGCATTCGCTATTTTCCAGTATCTAAATAGAGGTCATGTAGAATTGAAGACCACTCTCATTTGGACTGACTTCAAAAGATAAATTTATAAGATGTGACAAAATAAGATTTAGTGTATTATGAGGAATGTTCTATATGATTCTTCAGGTGCACCCTGTCCAGTTGAATCCCAGTTGCCTGGAGGGATGACCCACTGATTAGTAGCCTTTACAGCTTTCCTTCCTCCCATGCCTCACCTCCCTATTCTCTCTCTTGTGCTTCTTGGGGAATCACCTCCAAACGGAACCTCTTGCACTTAAGATCTTGCTTCAGGATCTACTTTTAGGTAGAATCTAAACTAAGACATCTATTCCTGCAGGTGTGGGGCTAGGTTATGGAGTATATCCTAGTCCTCACTGTTGAAGAGCACGGTCTGTTTGGAGCAGATGGACATTACAATGAAAAAGGACTGTGAGAGGGATTCCATAAGGTCATAAGACACATGAAGCAGGTGGTAATCAATTCCACTCAGGATGCTGAAAGAAGACTTACAGAAGTGTCCCCTTGAGAGGGAACTTGAAGAATAAGCAGAAACTGACCAGGCTCATAATAGATTAGCAGTGTTTCTGGCACAGAAAATGCCATGTGCACAGAGAAGGAGGCTGCAAGCAACCACAAGACAATCAGGAGTGACTCCAGGAAGACTGAACAGCAGCCTGGGAAGCCACGGGAAAACAGAAGGAGACGGAACTGCAGAGCTTGAGCTTGCCAGGAGCAGAATGTAGAAAGCCAAGCTCTGGGCTGTGAGAATTTGGCTGCTATAGTATAAGCAGTGGGGGGACTTTAGAAGATTGAAATTAATAATAATAAAACAAATACAAAGAGAGTAACATAATCAACTGCCATTTTAGAGAGCGAGAACTTTATTTGCAATGTGAAGAACATGAATTGTCAGTAGGGAGTTCAGAGAATAATGTATTAAAATTATACCCCTCAGAAATTATTAGTGTCTTGTCCAGGATAGGGACTGTAGAAGGCAGAGAAGAAAGAAGGGTTATGAAGAATGTATTGGAGATACAATCAACACCACGTAGGATGGATTGAAGGAGTGTATGTATAAGTGCATGCACATCTGTGAATGGTGATGCATTGATAAGAACTATTAAGGCAGACACTTAGATTTTGCTCTTGGGTGATTGGAGCAGTTAGGAGATGTGACTAAGTAAATATGTAGCAGATGAGATAACTCTCCAATCATCTGTTGACTCTGAGCTGGAAATGTCCGGGAGACAGTTGGGAACATCTCCGCGGCCCAAGGGAGAAGTCCAATCTGTGCACATGGATTTCTTCATCCTCTGTACAAAGAATAACCCTAGAAGAATAGAAGAGAAAAAAAATGCCAACTCTGAAGAACATTAATTAAAACAAATTTCAGATTTTATGGTAATGACTCCATGGTTTTCTATTACATGACTATTAACCAGCCCTTAGGAAATGGACGTTTGTTGTCAAGTATTTCAATTATATAAAGAACATAGAGTTCATTATAGATTCTGGATATTAGACCTTTGTCAGATGAGTAGATTGCAAAAATTTTCTCCCATTCTGTAACAAATTTACAAGAAAAAACAAACAACCCCATCAAAAAGTGGGCAAAGGATATGAACAGACACTTCTCAAAAGAAGACATTTATGCAGCCAAAAGACACATGAAAAAAATGCTCATCACCACTGGCCATCAGAGAAATGCAAATCGAAACCACAATGAGATACCGTCTCACACCAGTTAGAATGGCGATCATTAAAAAGTCAGGAAACAACAGGTGCTGGAGAGGATGTGGAGAAATAGGAACACTTTGACACTGCTGGTGGGACTGTAAACTAGTTCAACCATTGTGGAAGTCACTGTGGTGATTCCTCAGGGATCTAGAACTGGAAATACCATTTGACCCAGCCATCCCATTACTGGGTATATACCCAAAGGATTATAAAACATGCTGCTATAAAGACACATGCACACATATGTTTATTGCGGCACTATTCACAATAGCAAAGACTTGGAACCAAGCCAAATGTCCAACAATGATAGACTGGATTAAGAAAATGTGGCACATATACACCATGGAATACTATGCAGCCATAAAAAATGATGAGTTCATGTCCTTTGTAGGGACATGGATGAAGCTGGAAACCATCATTCTCAGCAAACTATCACAAGGATAAAAAACCAAACACCACATGTTCTCACTCATAGGTGGGAATTAAACAATGAGAACACATGGACACAGGAAGGAGAACATCACACACCGGGGCCTGTTGTGGGGTGTGGGGAGGGGGGACAGATAGCATTAGGAGATATACCTAACTTTAAATGACGAGTTAATGGGTGCAGCACACCAACATGGCACATGTATACATATGTAACTAACCTGCACATTGTGCACATGTACCCTAAAACTTAAAGTATAATTTAAAAAAAACACAGAAATTAATATACTTGTATATATGTCTTTTCCAACTTGTAAAATTAGCTTATTGAGGTAAATTTATAAAATAGAGCTGTACATGTTAAATTCTTATATGTAGAGTAGTATCAGTCAGGATTTTCCAGAGAAACAGGAACAGGATATATATATTTTTTCAGTGAGAAAGAGGTTTTTTTTTTTTTTTTTTTTTTGGAGAGAGGGAGATTTAAGGAGTTGGCTCATAGGATTGTGGCAATCCAAAACCTCACAAGTCTGAAATTTGTAAGGCAGGCCAACAAACTTGGAACTCAGGCAGAAATTGATACTGGAGTCTTGAAGCAGAATTTCTTCTTCCCCAGGAAACCTCAGTTTTTGTTCCTAAGATCTTCAAATGATTGGATGAGGTCCATTCACATTATAGAGGGTAATCTCCTTCACTTAACGTCAACTGATTGTGGATGCTAACCACATCTATAAAATGCCTTCACAGCAACCCCTAGATTGGTGTAGGATTAAACAGTTGTCTACTGTAGTCTAGCCAAGTTGACACATGAGACTAACCATTACAAGTGCCAACATGCTCACTATAAATTTCTACCAATTTTACACCCCCACTATTACTATTGTTTGTGTATTTCTGCAAAACTTCAAAACTAAGATTGTCTTTTGAAGTTTTAATCTTGCCAATTTGATATGTCTTCATGTTTTTGTTTTATCTGGTTGCATTTTATACTTATTGCCAACTTTAACTCTTCTTTTGTAAGATGCCTTATCTCATGCTTTCTTGCGGTATTTTTATGCCTTTTTCTTGCCCATTTACATTTTTGAATCATATAAACGTAAAGATATAATGAGAGGAATAAAGATCCAGCTTTTTGCCCTAAACATCTAGCCAATTGTTCTAATGATTATTCTGTAATCCATCCTTGCTTTGTTGTTTATTATAAGGCAACTTCCTCATATACTCTGTGACTTGTTTTTTTTCTTCAATCGGTTTGGACATAGCAATAATTTTATCAGCATCATATCCCATGAAACAGATGTCATAATTCATGTGAGTATTTTTCCATAATAAAGCTTAAGATTTAACTTCTGTAAATTTTATATATAATGATATCCTTTCTTAAACATTTTTAAAATTTAAAATTTAAATTTTTAGAAATTATAATCTTGTTATAGTATAGTCTTGGTATGTTGCCCAGGCTGGCCTCAAACTAGTTGGCTCAAAAATCCTCCCATCTCAGTTTTCCAAGTAGATGGAACTAAAGATGCATCTCACCACAGTAAATAGTAATATTCCAAAAAGATTATTTTATATAACTTTTTCTTAATCATTTAAATTAGGGCAGTAGTGAGTACATGTGTTCAGATTTATATAGCAACACTAAAATTTCCTTAAGTCATGATAGTTTCTTATGGGTGAACATAGTGTGCACTTGGGGAATTTCAGAGCATTGCAATCGCTACCAATTGTTACAATACCTCCTTACTCCCTGCCCTGCTGTGGCTAAATTCACTTTAACAGGGTCAGAAATGTCTGATACTGCAGTGGCCAAGTTGTAGCCATTTGTCACATATGTAATGAAAATCCTACACATATCCCCTGTCAATGCTCCCTGATAATGTAAGAGTTTCCTATATTCTTTCATTGTCATTTCACATTAATTTACCTGGGAAGTCTTTCTGAGCTCTGACTTCACCATGTTGCTGCTCTGGAACCTCTCATGGCTCTCTATTGCTCACCTAATAAAGAAGTCCCTAGCGGCTCTTTAGGTTATCCATCTACCTTCCCAAACTTATTTTCCACTATTTATTTCCCTTCCTATATTCTTGCTCCAATCAAACTGGCCTATTCTTCACTGCCTGAGCAAGCTCCTTTCCTTTCCTTTCCTTTATAGAAAGCTCATGCTCTTGCTTCAAGTATTTCCCTCGTCTAATGGTCTAACATGTCTAACTGTCACACGTCCATCTTCACTCCAAAGTCACCATGTAGCCCCACCTCTTCATTTAATCTGTTTGTGCTTTTTCACCAGCTGGCTCAAACTAGGTCTCTCCAGGTCTTCTAAACTCCCAGTGTGCTTGCTTTATACATTTCTTACAGACTTCATCTTGCCATCATAAGATCAAAGAGATTTGTGGATTTCTCTGATTTTTTCCACCAAGTATCTTGGATGCTTCTTGAATGCAGTGACTAAAACTTAGTCATGATTTCTTCCTTTTTAAATGACAAACACAGATGCTCAGTATAACTATTGAACTGAGTTTTAAAATTCAGTAATCTCCAGGATAGTATTTGTTCACAATAAGACTTAAATGACTTTATCTAAATAAAGTTATAATAAAAAAGGTGAAAAATAACATGAGAAATGTAAGCAAGAAAAAAAGAATGGGAATTAAAAATGAAGTGCCTCAATTCTTCTGTTGACCATGTTAGGTAGACAGACAATCTCCCATTAAACTGACTATCAGAAACCAGCTTCTCCATAGTTGAAAATGCCATCTTGTTGGAAGAGATAATGTGAAAATTGTGGACCTCAAAAAAGCATTCTAGGATGTGTATCCTTTCACACTGTCTGATTTTGGAAGGTCAAAGTGTGAACTCTACCTAGCAGCGTGCCTGGCTTCCAGAGTGCGCTAAATATGTTACTTTCATTTCCTCTTGTTAAGAGAGAGAAGATAAACATCTGCTTACATCAATGTGTTTATAAACCAGGGAAATTCTACAGTGCCATACTTATGATCAAGTCTTATAATGATCACATATAGAATAATAGTCATCATTGGTTCACTTGCTTGACTAATGAATAGTTTAAAGCTAATTTTATGATCATTTACTAATAACATAATTATTTAAAAATGAAATAAGCTACTTGTCCTTCTCTTAATATTTGTTTTCCTTAAAGTCTTTAAAAGATTATGATCTTCAGTAAGTTAGAAAAGATGATTTGTTCTAATGCTTTCCTTTTGGTTTTGGATTTTGGAAGGTCACATGATTCAGTGTCACACTAAATCAAATTGACATAATATTAAAAACACATTTTCTAAGTGGATTTTTTTAGCTAAAATTTTACTTGGATGAAGATTATCAATATTACCTTGAACTTCTCAGAGCCAGGAAAAGAGGCAAAATAGAGTGTTTTATTTCTCCCTTTATACTTGCAGGACTGTTGCCCAGTCCACCTCCAAAAGTCAAGCCTTTCTTGGTGGAGTCTTATTTACTGTGTCAAAAGGCATAAATATTGCATCTCATCCTGAATTTGAGGGAGTTGACACCTCTTAACCAAAACCAGCCCTTAGTCAGAATTATGACTAACTCATAATGGGCACATTCTGTGCTCACTGCGTGTCTTAACTCACTTAACTTTCATGAATATCTCAAGAGACAGGTACTATCGTTATACCCAACTCACAGATGAGAGAAGCAAGGCACAGAAGGTGAAGTTAATGTCTGGCCTGGAAGGCAATCTTAAAGACTTTGGTTTATATTCTGGGGGAAATAAGAAACTGCTGTAGGGTTCTGAGTCTGAGAGTAACACAACGTGATTTAAGTGTCATATGCCCACTCCAGATGCTTCGTTGAGTCTGGACTGTGGTGAGTTGAAGAAAAAGGTAGGAAGACTACTCACGCCTGTAATCCCAGCACTTTGGGAGGCCGAGGCGGGCGGATCATGAGGTCAGGAGATCGGGACCATCCTGGCTAACATGGTGAAACCCCGTCTCTACTAAAAATACAAAAAAATTAGCCGGCCACGATGGTGGGTGCCTGTAGTCCCAGCTACTAGGGAGGCTGAGGCAGGAGAATGGTATGAACCCAGGGAGGCAGAGCTTGCAGTGAGCCGAGATGGTGCCACTGCACTCCAGCCTGGGCGACAGAGCGAGACTCCGTCTCAAAAAAAAAAAAAAAAAAAAAAAAAATAGGTAGGAAGACTAGCCAGGAGATAATCCAAGTCTGAGACTATGATAACTCTGATCAGTATGTAGGTGGTAGGGCTGACGACAAGAGGTTGGCTTCTGAATATATCCTGAAGGTAGAGCCAAAATGATTTTCTGAAAGACTGAATGTGGGATATGTAAAACAAGATAAAAATGTGACTGACTCCCAGGACTCACCCATGCTCCTGGAAACAATGAGCTTCCAGAACCTAAATAAGAGTGGACTGTGATTGCTGCAAGTGTGGGTGGGTTCTGAAGGGAACATGTTGAATGGGAAGCACAGATCATGCATCCAATCAGAGATGTTAAATGAGTGATTGGACATATTAGTGGATTTCAAGAGAGGGCTGAACCGGAGATTAAAGTCTGGGAATCTTTTCCATAAGAATAGTATTTCTAGTCAAGAGGCCAGGAAAGATTGTCAAATGAGCATTAGAGATAGAGACACGAAAAGCACAAGTCAAACCCTGGGGTGTTCCAATGAGCAGGTGTTCCTATGACGAGGAAGTGTTGAGTTCTACCAGCTACTTCAGACACTGAGATTATGGCACAAACGGATCCTAACTCAGATGTGTGCATGTTCTTCCACACCTTCTCCCCAACCCTACTCCCAGAAGCTACCTTGGTGTTGGTCGCCTGAGCTCAGTGATATGAGGAAGTGAAACTGGACAGGCTGACTCCAGAGCAGGTTCCAGTCTAAGCGCAGGTCAGCTTAATAGAATGGAAGGCAAAAGGTGTTGTTCTTTGTCTTCCCAAAATGGCATTGATACAACCCTGCCTACTTTATCTCCCAGTGAAATTTGCCTCTTCCCCTATTGACCAATTAAGTCTTATTGTGACTTTTCAACAACTTAGTTAGGCATCTAGGGAAGACACATTTTGGGGAAAAGACCCTAATCACTTGGGTCATATGGTTCACAGCTCACATAGCCAAAGAGCCTGAGTGTCATTGCATGAAGGAAAAGATGCATTGAACAGATCGGGCCTCCAGAGATGCCTGAGATGGGATTTAGGAATTAGGAGATCAGATGTTCATGATGAGAAGGGGCATACTACAGTTGTAAGTTTGTTATTGTCATACACTTAATTCAAATTCACAAGAATATGTATTTGAAAAAAAAAACTATAATGAGCTGATTTGCCAGTGTTCAGAGGAGATAAGCTTGGATTTTGTTAGACTAAATTCCATGAAGATCCAAATCCCAGAGATACTAGTACACTGCGTGTTCATCTGTCCTAAGACTCAGATTTATCACCTTTGAAATGATAGCCTCTTCACCTTAGGGAATCTCCACTGTTCTGGGTCAGAAGAGAAAGGGGCAGTGCTGTAAGATCTTGTATTTTAGTTACCCATTAAACTAAGATTGCATTTAAACTTGCCACTGTGACACTTTAGAGCACATTGTAAAACAGAGACCTTCTTAACCTGAAAGACAACAATTCTGTATTTGATGGATTAGGACAGGTACAGATGCATATGTGTGACCAGCAGAGGACCTCTGGCCTTGGGGGATCCTGAATCTTAGGGGGACCAGAAACATGGGGGCTTTAAAGTATAACAGTGAGACCTTAGAGGGAACTTCCACAGTGTGGGAAGAGCTTAGAAAATACACTTTTCCTTACAACATTGTATGCCACAGAATTTTTCCTCTTCCTAAGACATAGACAAGGCACAAAGTAACGCTTGAAGTGTCCTAAAAAGAAACCGTAAAAGCCCAAGTAATTATCTCACGTGGTTACCATGGGTCCTTTCTTGTTTGCTATTTAAAAGAATGACTTCAAATCAATGGCATCAGTTCCAAAGAACTATTTAATATATGATGGATTAATACATTGTTCTTTCTCTGCTTAGAATTTGATTAAAGTGGATTTAGATTTTGCTATTTTCATTTAAAAGACTGAATACCTGCTGCTCTGAAACAACATGTTGACTCTCAGTCCAAAAGCTGTTAATTGCAACATTTTATTTCCTTGTTTTTCCAGGAAGCATCCATGATGCCCAAACCTTAAATGTGAATAGAATATTTGCCAAGGTGAAGAACTAGGTACCCAGTGGTAAAATGATGTTGCTACGGCCTGGAATTTGCCTTTAATCAAGTCCATTGAATGACACGTGAGAATTTTTTTGCAATTTCTTAGCATCAGAAAAAGTATTTTCTGCCAAAAAGATTTGAAAAGTCAGAGCCATGGAGAAGGGCAAGCACTTTAATCCAGTGCCCACTTGGCCCCTTTATTGAAAAGTGACGGGAAGAGAGATGACAGACCTACTGGAGATCATCAGATTGAAAGCCCAAGGGGAGGTTCATTCTTTCCCAACCTAGTGGACTCCTCTGAAAGCAAAAAGTCAGCCCAGTGTGGGCTATTTTTGATCTGCATAAAGGACTGAAAGTACACGCTTGCTCTCCCACACTCTCATTTTTGTAAATACCAGATCACTTATCTGTGGAACACTATTTCTAAAGGGGTAAGCTAAGAATATTATGAGGTGATTCCTGTTCTTTGAAACTAAATAAGCAAGGTTAGCCCACCCAACAGTGAGGTACTCAAGTTATGCATTGAGTTTTTTTAGTATATTTTTAAAAACTTCAAATGTGCCTACAAAAAAATTTGTTGGTGATGCCCACGTATTCTTTGTGGTTTTTTTAAATTCTCCTTTTTTTTTTCCTCACCCAACCTCATACCATGTTTATGATCATTTATAGGGACATAACAAATAACTAACATGCTGACTCTCCTAACTTGAGCTTTTCCCTTGAACTGGTTAGAGTTTTGGGAGCTCTTCCATGTTCCATGTCACTCACTTTCTGTCCACCTCTCCAGCCCACTGAGCTCTCTGGTCTCCCCATCATACACACCTCCATTCATAATGCTACTCATTCATCTAGAAAGTGATGAAAGCCTGCCTCATGTCAGAAACTGCATTAGGCACTCAGGAGACCCAAGGGACAACCATCCCTGCATGCACTTGCTGAGATTGTACAGATCAGGGAGGCAAACAGTGGCCAACAAATACAACTCACCATATTATTTACTATCTAGGTCAGAGGTATGTGCTGTGCAGATAAAATAGAGAAGGGTAATCTGTTCTGAGTTATTCCAGGGCCAGGAAGGGTGGCCAGGGGAGGCCTCGCTGTGAAGCAAAGGATGGATCTGGTAAAAAGGATACACATCATGGGACAGCAGAGCAAAGGTCTTACCCAGAGGGTCCAGACTGTCCAGGAGCAGCAGGGAGGCCAGTGTTGTTGGAGCCCATGGACAGGAGGAGTCACTGTAGGGAAGGCGTAAGGAAGGGAGGTAAGAGCAGCCAGAAGAGAAATACTGAGAATAGAAGGTTGAACCGAGTGACATGGAAATCTTCCCTTAGCCTAAGAAGAACAGTTTCTGCCGAGTTGTGGGGACAAGAGCATGGGAGGAGTGGGCTCAACAGTAAATTGGGGAGGAGACAGGAGTAGTAGGCAGAGATGCATCAGAGGTAATTCCGCTGTGAAAGGGGGCTAAGAAATGGGTCCTTAGTGAAGACAATGGGGCCAAGTTAGTTCTTCATGGAAAATTGAGGGATTTCAGTGGGATGCCATTAATTAAAACCAGCACAGAGGAATAAACTTGTCCCAATTTAAAGGTAAAGGGCTTAAAAACATGCCATCTGTGTGGTTGAAACAATAGAGATGTGAAGGTCTAGTTGCCTTTAAATTTTAAAGCTTAACTGCCTATAATTTTAAAAGGCTTATCATTTGAAGGAGGGATTAGGCTTTTTCTGCTGGCAAATCAAGGGAAATAATGTAGCGAGAAACAGATTTTGGCTCCATTCAGTGGAGACCCTTTGATAAACAATCCCTACTGATTCACGCTCTGGGAGGGACTCCCTGACTCCATCACCATTTGCACACTTGAAGGCAGTTGTAAATGGTGTTTCTTCACAGTGTCAAGGGATAAGGCAGTGATTCTGCAGGTGCCCTCCAACTTTGAGTTTCTAAAGATGAAGTGATGCTTTGAAGAATGTGTTCTCTGTGTAAATCTATTCTGTTCCACAGTGAAGGGTCAGAGTTGGCTACTTTCTCCCAATGGGTCAGAAGTGAGACTGCACAGGTTTCATTCAGCCTCTACCTCCTGCTGTGCCACCTTAATCAAATGCTTATCCTCTCCAGGACCTCAACAGATTCGTGTTACTAAAATACCTACAAAAATGGTAAGTCAAATAAAGTAATTTACAGAAAATTAGCTCTCTGAGCCATGTATATTTCCACAAGACAGAATGGAGAATTCTATCCATACTCTTTCATAATCAAGGACATGGCTTAGAAAGAATCCCTAATCAGGATCAAGGAGATGAACTGTTTTGAACAAGGATAAGTATCATGCAAATATCAGACAGAATCAGAAAACAGGAGTGTGAAAGAAATTCCTGCTCTACCCCTTTGTGTCTAGTGGAGCCATTGCTATAAGGATACAGATGAAAATGCTCAGGCTACACCATGGCATGTGCTGTTCTCAGAATATGGACTATAACAATAGTGCTTCAGGAACACGGAAGACACAGCTAGCACCTGACTCTGCCAAGGCTATGTCAGGGAAGGATTTGGAAAAGACAGGACAATGGAAAGATGAGTGAGAGTTCCTTAGCAAAGGAAAGAGGGTGTTTTCATCCAGAAAGAAATCCATGGGCAGTGTACAAAGACCACCTTGGGCTTTTGGCATGGCTCAAACTCAGGATGTTTTCGGGAAGAGATGACAGATTTGACTGGAAGGAAATTAAGACCAGGTCTTGAAGAGCTAAGCTATTTGGACTTTTTCCTGGAGTCATCAAAGGATAATCCCATCTTCAGGTCACATAGATGATCCAGATGGCATGACTCAGAAACACTTAGTCACCACCTCGCCCTGAAGACACTCGACCACACTGTACTATCATCTCTCACCTGCATTTCCATAATTGTCCTTTACTTGGTGGCCCTGCTTTTCCCTGGCTGTGCTCTGTGATGCATTCTTAACACAACAGCCAAAGTGGTCCAATCAAACACTAAGCAGAACTGCTTCTGATCCTGTCACACATCCATCTCATTCAGAGAAAAAATTCTAGTCCCTACAATGGCTAACATTGGAGGAATTTTTCTGAGCTCAGAAATTAGCACTTCTCTGCTCTAGAAGCTCTCATGGCTCCCTATGGCTCACCTAATAAGGAGAAGCTTCTACCAGCCCTTTAGACTCTCCATCTACCTTTCCAAACTTACTCTCTACTATTTACTACTTTTTGTATATTCTTGCTCCAATCAAACTGGCCTGCTTCATGGCTTGAGCATGATCCCTTTCCTGTCTTTTGCTCATGCCATTGCTTCAGGAACTGTTTCTCTCCTCAAACTGCCATACGCTCACCGTAATGCCAAAGTCACCATGGAAGTCTCCACCTTTTTAATGAATCTGCTTTGCTTTTCTACCAACTAGCCCGAATCAGGCCTCATCAGATCTTCTAAAGTGAGGACAAGGATCTTCTAGAACTCTCAGCTCTGAACATTTCTTACAATCTAAACTTCCTCCTCTGAACATTTCTCATGAATCTCCTCTTGCCACAGCAAGGATGCTATAAGCCAGCTGTAGATGGGACTTGCACACATATTTGTAGCAATATGATAAAACCACCACAGTGATTAATACTTGTTTCTGGGGAGATACTTTGAGGCTATGCAAATATTCTTCTTCTCCTTAAAATGTCACCCAATAATGTTATTGTTGTTTAGTGGATCTTGCCTGCAGAAAATGTTACCATGGTTTGCTAATGGCAATTTTGTATTTCCCTCACTTCTACATTTATTATTTGGGATTCCCCTGTAAGGACCATTTGCCCACTTTCCTTTATTTATGTATTCAATCATTTATTTTTGTTAGTAGAAATTTATGGATATTTATTTTATTCTTACAGTTATAATCCAATACATTCATAATTTTTCTTCCTCTTATTAAGATAGTTTCAACTTTGGCCACTGGGAACTCCTTCAGGATGTTTCTGTGAGGTTTTCGTTTGTTTGTTTTGTTTTTTGACATGTTCTCATTGTCTCTCTCTTCCTTGCTCCTTTCTTCTCTCTTCCCTTTCTGTTATATTTCTCTCATTTCTTTTTCTTCTTTCTTCTTCCTTTTTTCTTTCTTTCTTTCTTTTTCTTCTTTCTCTCTCTTTCTCTTTCTTTTTCTTTCTTTCTTTCTTTTCTTTCTTTCTTCCTTTCTTACTTTCTTTTTTCTTTCCCTCTCTTTCTTTTCTTTTGTTCCACTTCTTTATCAGCCCCGTAAGATGCTTCAGGCTCTTCTTGTATGTTCTATGCATCAAACCCAGACTAAAGTCATTCAGGAAACCCTGCTTTTTAGTATAGGTAAATGGCACCTAAAAATATCTGGGTAATTAGGTATTTTAATTGCTTCTGGAATATTAGTGCTTCTAGGGTCCTCAGCAGACAGAGATAAGAAATATATATATATATATAATAACCATGAATATCCACATAACTATATTTCTATAACAATCATCCTGTGTATATATATCTTGATATCTCTGACTGTAATCTAGCTGTAATTTCAATACAGCATCACCTGTGTGTTTATTTTATCATCATCATTGTTTCATCTTGCTTAGAAGAATGTAGGCCAGATTTAGAAAGGTTTTGAAGTAACCTTGATTCTTTCTTTAATAATGGCTTATTTTGATTCTCTCTTTAATAATGGCTTATGTTGTTAAATTATATCTGCCAAGATAGAGGAGATTTTGTTAAGTTAATGGATACCCCTAAAATCACATTAGCTTAAAAAAATAAAAGTTTTATTTCGGGCTAAAACAAAGCCTTTTGTGTGGCCAGAGGACATGCTAGTGGAGCTTTCTTTCTTTCTATTTTTTTTGTTATTATACTTTAGGTTCTGGGATACATATGCAGAACGCGCAGGTTTGTTACATAGGTATACACCTGCCATGGTAGTTTGCTGCACCCATCAACCCATCATCTACATTAGATATTTCTTCTAATGCTATCCCTCCCCTAGCTCCCATCCCTCAATAGGCCCCGATGTGTGTGATGTTCCCCTCCCTGTGTCCACGTGTTCTCATTGTTCAACCCTCACTTATGAATGAGAACATGTGGTCTTTGGTTCTCTGTTCCTGTGTTAGTTTACTGAGAATGATGGTTTCCAGCTTCATTCATGTCCCTACAAAGGATATGAACTCATCTTTTTGATGGCTGCATAGTATTCCATGGTGTGTATGTGCCACATTTTCTTTATCCAGCCTATCATTGGTGGACATTTGGATTGGTTCCAAGTCTTTGCTATTGTGAATAGGGCCACAATAAACATATGTGTGCATGTGTCTTTATAGTAGAATGACATATAATCCTTTGGGTATATACCCAGTAATGAGATTGCTGGGTCAAATGGTATTTCTGATTCTAAATCCTTGAGGAATCACTACACTGTCTTCCACAATTGTTGAACTAATTTACACTCCCACCAAGAGTGTAAAAGCGTTCCTATTTCTCCACATCCTCTCCAGCATCTGTTGTTTCCTGACTTGTTAATGATTGCCATTCCAACTGACATGAGATGGTATGATCTTTGACATACCTGACAAAAACAAGCAATGGGAAATGATTCCCTATTTAATAAAGGGTGTTGGGAAAACTGGCTAGCCATATGCAGAAAACTGAAACTGGACCCTTTTCTTACACCTTATACAAAAATTAACTCAAGATGGATTAAAGTCTTAAAAGTAAGATCTAAAACCATAAAAACCCTAGAATAAAACCTAGGCAATACCATTCAGGACATAAGCATGGGCAAAGACTTCAGGATTGAAACACTAAAAGCAATGGCAACAAAAGCCAAAATTGACAAATGGGATCTAATTAAATGGAAGAGCTTCTGTACAGCAAAAGAAACTATTATCAGAGTGAACAGGCAACCTACAGAATGGGAGAAAATTTTTGCAATGTATCCATCTGTCAAAGGGCTAATATCCAGAATCTACAAGGAATTTAAACAAATTTACAAGAAAAAACAAACAAACAAACAACCCCATCAAAAAGTGGAGCTTTCTTCCTTAAGATTCTTAGCATCGTTTCTCCTTGATATGATGTATGTAAATCATGACATACAAAGAAAGAGAGAAGTGAAGAGCTCAACATCAGCAATTAAATGATTTAAAGCAGAAGAGACACAGGGTCTCGTTGCTCACACTTTATTGTCAAAGCATATCTTATGACCATAATCAACTTCACACAGGGGCTGAGGAATTGTAGCTTTTCCACATGTCCACAAAAAGAACATAGCAAATATTGATGGACAATAGAAAAATTTGCCCGAAACACTAAGTGAAGTATTTTTTTAAATTATTCTTAATATAACTACTTATCTTTCTATTTTAACTTGTTTTTCTATTATTTCCCTTACATGGTTTTATGTAATATTGTGATGTTCATGTAAGTTTGGGAAAATTATTATTTTCTTATATAGCCTACATTTGTTGAAAAAAAGGATGAAAAAATTTCTCCTCTAATGATATTTCCATGGAATGGAAGGATATATATGTATGAGGAAGGATGGCAGCAAGTGAAAAGCACAGTAATGGAATTACAATCCACACTGAAGTTTTCTGCTACTGAGTGGGATGGAGGATCCACTCAGCCCAACTTCTCACTGAGAACAATCTGAAACCTGGACAAATTCCCAAATATATGACCTGTGCACATATAGGTATCAATATAGATGTAGCAACAAAAACTAAAAGAAGAAAATTCCAGATGAGAGGGCATGGTTGTAGGCGATTCCCAGGGTCCCTTGAAACCCGAGTAGCATCTGTTGGTTTTGAGAAGGAGCCAGAGCTGCAAGACTGGGCTTGGGTGGAGCAAAGGGCAGTTGCTGATGGGCAGAGAGGTTAGACAAGCAGAGGGTGCTCAGACACAAGGCAATTTCTCCCTTCAGGTATTTGGTAAACTCCGAAGCTGTGTAGGCTGAAAACCAAAGAGCTAAACCACAAAATCTGAAAAGCAGCAGGGAATGTCCTTCCGCCTCCCAGTGTTTGGACGCTCACAAGACAAGGACCCAAGAGAAAAGGAGGTACTGGACACACCGGTGAGAGCTGCAAGCCTGGAGGGGGTGAAAAAGTGAAGTGATATGGAAAATCTGCCACCACTTTCTCTCTGGGACCACTGGCCAATCTGGGCAAAGCTGAAGGCTAAGTAGCTTTTTATTTTTATTTTTTAAACTGTGGCTGGCATTCTACCAAAAATTACTAGCCATGAAAATAGATGGGATTATCCGAAAACCAAAAGAAAAATCAAGGCAGACCTACAGGTGATTATAATTACAGCTAGCAGTAGACTTTAAAATAACTATTATGACTATTCTTAAGAAAATAAGAAAGGAAGAAGCACAAAATAGGTGAAAATCTATGAAAATTCAATAGAAATTTTTATTATATGAAGATAAAATTCATATTTAACAACTGAGGAATAACAACTGAAATTAAGAACTCAATGTATTCATTGAATAAAAGGCTGCAGAAAAGCGCAGAATTGATGACATAGAAATTAGATTCATAGGAACTACATAAATAGAAATACAGAGAGAGGAAAAAAAATTTTAAAACATCACAAAACAGATTAGAAGTGATATATAGTACATCATCAGAAGGCCTAATATTCCTGTAATTGCTGTCCCAGAATAATATGGGAAAATGGGTTAAAAGTAATGTTTTTTACAATGGCAAAGAATTTCCCTGAAACTGATGAATAACATCAAACTGTACATTTGAGAAGCTCAGCCAGCTCAAGCAGGATTTTTTAAACAAAGAAAAGAAAAAGAAAAAAAAACACACACCCAGAACCCAGACACACAAAGTCTAACTATTGCAAATCAAAGCAAGGAAAAAATGATAAAGCATCCAGAGAAAAAAGGGCACACTGTTTATAAATTTACAAGTAAAATATGCACAGCTGACTTCTCAGAACAATGGGAGAGATTAATACGTGAGAAAATACAAAAGAAAACTTACTACACAGGCATTAACAGTAGCATCTTATAGGTTTAAAATGATAATAATTAAAACTTATGGTTAACATAAAGCCAGAGCTGGCAGTAGGATACATATATATATATATATATTTGTGTGTGTGTGTGTGTGTGTGTGTGTGTGTGTGTGTGTGTGTATATATATATATACACAATTCCAAAGTCCTGAGATTATTAGAAAATAGTAAAAGTAATAATTTGGTTCATAGTTTATATTTTGTAATATCCAAGATGACAACAAAAGTATACTCAAAGATAAAAGGTAAAACGCAACTATAGCAGTAATTCAATTAAATGCAGGAGGTCTATGTCAATTTCAAACAAAAATCCCAGCAGATTTTTTAGTGGAAATTGGCATGCTGATTCTAAAAATGTATATGGAAATGCAAAGGCAAATATATATTTAAGAAACTATTGAAATAGAACAAACTTGCAGGACTGGCAGTTCCAGATAATAATGCTCATTGAAATTTGGTAGTAATCAAGACAATGAGGTAGTACAGCAAATACAGACACATATACCTAAGGCGTATTTCTTTTCTATTTCAAGACAGCATTTAAAGCCTATATTGGAGGTATAAAAGGGATGGAATTCAAACTGTGGAAAATCCAATTAACAGATTTCGATGAAATACCTGAAAACCTCTACCCAGACTTCAGGGATAAAAGAGGGGCATTAGAAAAAATGTAAAGTGGATATGTCTTTGAAAGAAAAAAAAAGTGAAGATTGCCACATTATAGGTAAATTCCATGAAAAGGAGCAAAACCTGATCACACTCTTACAAAGCATTTAAACTAGGGAAATAAAGAAAAAAGTATTCTGTCATTCAAGTAGGAGAAAATACCAGTTTTGACCCAAAGAAACAAACATCTGCCTAGCATTAAGCTATTCCTAGCAACACTAAAAAATAGAGCAACGAGCAAAGATTTTAGAAGGCAAAAGTGGTAGACATATTAACTTTCATTATTATATATGTGCATGTATGAGTGTGTGTGTGTATATATATATGTATATGTACTTGTGTGTATGTATGCATTTACTTCTATCTATGAAAAAAATTACCCCATCAAATAAATGAAGAAAAGTTAGATATTAAGATATGGAATAACCAATAGTGAATAACAAAATCATTTTAATGAGAAAAGGCAAAATAAATATTGCCAGTTATTTTAGACCATCAATGACCGGGGAATTCCCCTGCCACATGAACTGTTTCAAGAATACGAAAAATAGCAAAAGCTTCCTTTTTCCTTGTATGTTAGCATGCTCCTAATTCTTCATTCATTCCATTTTCTGATCCCCCAAAAAAGGTTGAAATTAAAACTGTAAGCATAAATTATTCAAAACTAGAGATGAAAAATGAAAAACCAAGCAAGTATAATTCTCAAATACAAAATCCAAAACTAAGTTATGAGCAGGCAATGTATATTCATGGACGAAAGACAAATTTCATTTTGAAAGTATATATGAAATAATAAGCCCTAGAAACACAAGGAAAGTTATAGACAACTAGTAGGCATTTGAAATCATATAAATTTCATAGATGGTTAAACTAACAATTATGAAATGGAAAAGCAGAATCCTTCTTTAGCATGACAAACAACTTCCATCTTAAATCAAAGGGACTTCCAGTTTCCAGTTTGACATGTAAAGAACTTGGAAGTCATCAGCCCCATCCTCACAACAAGAAAAAAGATGACCAAGATGAAAATCAGCGGTTCTTCTATCTGTCTTGGAAGAAGCTGAGGGATGGGGAGAACACCTTACTTACAGAGAAGTGAGGATTGGAATTACACTGGACTTCAGAAACAAGATCAACAAGAAGAGAGTGGAGTAACAGTTTTAAAGCTTTGAAAGAAACTAAGCTAGAATTCTATATCTAGAGAAATTATCTATAGAAAGTGAAGAAATAGTTTTTTTCAAACAAAAATTGAGAGAATTTGTCACCAGTAAGTTCACCACACAATAAATTTTGAAAAAAAAATTAATTTAAGAAAAAAGGAAAAATGTGCTAAGTCAGAAACTTGGATATAGATACAGAAAGGAAGAGTGATAGAGAAGGAACAAATGAAGGTAAAGTATTATTTTTATTTTTCTTATTCTTAATTGATGTAACAAATAGAAGTTTGTTCAAATTAATAATAGCAACAATGTGTTCAGTGATTATAATGTAGATAAGCATTTAAATGAATGAAGGAATGTTATTAGGGATAGGAGGAAGATATTGAAAATATTCACTTATAAGGTAACTGCACTACTTGTGAAATGATATCTGTTTTTCGAAAGTGAACTTAGATTAATTGTAAATGCATATTGCAAACTCTAGGACAATCACCAAATAAATTAAAAAAAGAAATATAATTGATAAGAGAAGAGATAAAACGGAGCATATAAAATACTCAGTTAAATACAGGAAAAGCAGAAAAGAGTGAAAGACAGAAAAAGAAAAAGGGAACGCAAACAACAAATATAAAACAGTTACAAGTATATGCATATAAATACTATATTATATTAAATGTGAATGGCCTAAATACACCAAATAAAAGACAGAGCTTATAAGAGCTTATAAGAGTTATATTTAAAACACATTTTAAATATGAAGACACAGGAAAATTAAAAGTAAAGGGATGGGAGAGTATATACCATGATAATGCTAATTGAGAGAAAGCTAGAATAGCTATATTAATTTCAGAAGAGCAGATTTCAGGGCAAGCTAGTTTATTAGTGACAAAGGGGGACATTACAAAATGATAAGGGAGTCAGCTCTCCAAGAAGATATAACAGTCCTTAAAACGTATGTACCTAACAACAAAGCACCAAAATACATGAGGCAAAACCAGATAGAACTGCACATCGAAATAGATGAATCCACTATCATAGCTGGAGACTCCAACACTGTCTATTAGAAATGAACAGACCTAGTAGGCAGAAAATCAGTGAAGACATAGTAGAACTCAGCAGCACCATTAATAAATTTAAAGGAGTAGAAAAACACCTTAACAAATTTAGAAGAGTAGAAGTCGTATGAAGCATGCACTCAGACCACAATGGAATTGTACTACAAATTAATAACAGAAAGATAAATGGAAAATCCCCAAATATTTTAAGTTTAAACAACACAGTTCTGAATAATACATGGATCAAAGAAGTCTCAAGAAAAGTTGTAAAAAGATCTTGAACTAAATGAAAATGAAAATATAAACTATTAGGCCAGGCCTGGTGGCTCACACCTGTAATCCCAGCACTTTGGAAGGCTCAGGCAGGTGGATCACTTGAGTCCAGGAGTTCGGGATCAGCCTGGCCAACATGGTGAAACCCTGTCTCTACTGAAAATACAAAAATTCCCCAGGTGTAGTGGCGCATGCCTGTAATCCCAGCTACTCTGGCACGAGAATCACTTGAACCCAGGAGACAGAGGTTGTAGTAAGCCAAGATTGCACCACTGCACTCCAGCCTAGGCAACAGAGCAAGACTCTGTCTCCAAAAAAAATTTTTTTAATACATAACTTATCAAAATTTGCAGGATACAAGAAAATAAGCACTTAGATGGAAACTCATAGCATAAAATACATATATTAGAAAAGAATAAAGATCTAAAATTAAACCAATTGTTTGAGATGATCAAGTGGTATGATACAATTATTTTAACATCTGTCCCAAATGTCTTAGAATCACAACTCACTATTGTCAGAACAAGGAATCATACATACAAAAAATAATCAAGAACTACAATTTTTAAAAGCTGTAAAGGACAAAAAATTATCCTAATTTAATTGTCATTTTGGAAGGAAAAAATAAAGAGAAACAACTAGAGCCAAGAACAAAATTAAATAAAGTAGGTGATCAGAAAATAATATACACTTGCCAGTAATAACTCACTATATAATATAATAGATTGATATTCATATTTTCAACAGCAATAAAAAATAAATATAGAAATAATTTAACATGATTTTCAAAAAAATTCTTTTCTAAGATTTGTAAAGAGTTTGAATAAATTAATAAAAGAGTCAGTAGAAACAGATAGTGTTTGTAAATAATATGAATCAGTGGTTTAAAAAGGAAGACTGTTTCCAAATCAGTTCACATATTGAGGTTTCATTTTGTTTTGTTTCTGTTCTTGTTTGTGATAACATCCCAATGAGATATATTTGTAACTTTATAAACTCATATTTACCTTCCTGTAAAATCAAATTCATAAAAGAAAAACAAAGGAACATCTGAGAAAGAAGGTTCCTTATGGAGAAAATGCCATGTGTAGGCTTTATGTTATAAATCTGTATGTGATAAACAATATTGAGCTAGATTGATAAAATCAAACTAATCAATGATACAGACTAACACTATAGTGTACTATAAAACAAATTATAAAAAGGTGAATGCCAACAAATTTTGCTCAAAATTTGATACTCTTACATGCATGCATAGATGCACAAATATATTTAGATGTGTATATTTAGATACCCATCAGCCTATCTAACATCATTAAGCAATTTTTATATATGCCTTTTCTGTGCATTTGTATTACTTTCTAGCTTTCTACCAAAAATAGATACAATAATGGGTAACATTGTTAGACTCATGTACTAAAGTAAAAATCTATGGGTCAAAGATAATTTAAAATTAAAATAATATAATGTATATTTGGACCACTTTTTTTCTATATAAAGTGGAGATCTCACCCATTATGAATTAAGAAGAAACTCAGCAAATACATAAAGGGCACATTGCAAAACAGTGTATGCCATATGTGTTCATCTGTTTTCACACTGCTATAAAGAGCTGCCCGAGACTAGGTAACTTATAAAGGAAAGAGGTTTAATTGACTCACAGTTCTGCATGGTTGGGGAAGCCTCAGGAAACTTACAATCATGATAGAAGGCGAAGGGAAAGCCAAGCACCTGCTTTACAAGGCGGCAAGAAGGAGAATGGCCAAGCAAAGGGGGAAGAGCCCCTTAAAAACCATCAGATATTTGAGCGCTCACTCACTCTCATGAGAAAAGCATTGGGGAAACCACCCCCATAATTCAATTACCTCCACCTGGTCTCTCCCTTGATACACAGGCATTATGAGGATTACGGGGATTACAATTCAACATGAGATTTTGACGGGGACTGTTGGGAGCAGGCCCCCCAAAATCTGGCCGTAAACTGGCCCCAAAACTGGCCATAAACAAAATCTCTGCAGCACTGTAACATGTTCATAATGGCCCTAACGCCCAAGCTGGAAGGTTGTGGGTTTACGGGAATGAGGGCAAGGAACACCTGGCCCACCCAGGGCGGAAAACCGCTTAAAGGCCTTCTTAAGCCACAAACAATAGCATGAGTGATCTGTGCCTTAAGGACATGCTCCTTCTGCAGTTAATTAGCCCAACCTATTCCTTTAATTCGGCCCATCACTTTGTTTCCCATAAGGGATACTTTTAGTTAATTTAATATCTATAGAAACAATGCTAATGACTGGCTTGCTGTTAATAAATACGTGGGTAAATCTCTGTTTGGGGCTCTCAGCTCTGAAGGCTGTGAGACCCCTGATTTCCCAGTTCATACCTCTATATTTCTGTGTGTGTGTGTCTTTAATTCCTCTAGCGCCGCTGGGTTAGGGTCTCCCTGACCGAGCTGGTCTCGGCAGCGACATAAAGCCTAACCATATCACCATATAATCTCTTTTATGTATGTACATTTACAAGTATGTGGAAATTAAATATTAAACATTTTATGTAATAGTATGTATATTAATGTATTATATGTAAGCATACGCAAATAGCAAATAAACTTTGTTGTTATCTCTGGGTGGTGGAATTAGCCATGATTTTTACATTTATACATGAAATGGTATCAGTTCAGTAATAAGAAAAGTTGATAAAGATTACAATTAAGGTCAATATATTTTGTAGTGAAAATGTTTAGCTTTTATTCTTCATCAGTGTGTTTGCTCAAAGATGTTAAGATCTTTCTGGCCCACGTCTGCTCCAAGAGCATCATTTTGCATAGATCTTTATGGGGATTATTTCCAACCTTTTAGGCAATGTTTTGTGTCCACTGCTGAGAAAATCAATAATTTTATACACAAGGCTGTATTTTTATTTTTGTTTCTGAAATTGTTGGTTTGCTTAAGAGCTAATCTAGCCTTGGTTACCCTTTCAGCTTGTGTTTATGTTTAAAGAACACCTTCCAGGCCAAGGTCAGCCCCCGTGGAAGACTCCCCAACAGTCGTGGATGGGCTGGAGGAGAGAAGTCACAACATGTTTCCTGTTAAAAGAAACTTTAAACCGTAAATCACTTTCTCACAAGGAATTTGTTCATGTTTATTTCTTAAGAGGATATTGAGCAATGTTGCCCCTTGAGCCTGGTAAATATGTTGATTTAAGATGTATATCTAATAGTTCCATGATGCATTTGACCACAATGGTTACCTAAAGGGTGGAATGAGGTAGCTATCTCCAAGGGAGGGATGAGGAGAGGAGTGTCCTCTGACATGATAACTGGACGTCACCAGAGAATGAAAGGCAGGCATGAAGCAGACACCCAGAGCTGAGTCAAAGATGGGATGGTGAGGGGAGCAGAGGAATGCATTACAGGGTCATCAGCATTATCAGTTACCTATAGGGTGCCTCCTGGCACTATATTAAGCATTAAAGCATAATTTCTCAGCAAGCCAGGCATAGATGTGGAATCTAAATTACATCCCACCCAGAGTGTTTACCCCTTTCTCTTTTCTAGCACTCAATAAACCTTAATTGAAAAGAAAATGCCAAGGTGGAAAGACTGTGGAAAGTAAAATTAGACAGATACAAAGCCACTGTTTTGTCCTGTGTTTGCCTCTGTGAATCTGTTTCCCATCTATATACTTAGGCTGTTAATGCAAAGATCAGTGTAAGCCCTCCATGAGTTTATGCAAAAGAGAATATCTCAGCATCGGGTGTGCCACCTTCAGATACCAGTATCTTTTATTCCTCTCTCTTTTCAGGACACTAGATCAGCTTCAGTGAATTGTAGCAATGTGAAATATAACATTCTTTGAGTACTGCTAAAGTTGAAGGAAATTAGGTTATCATTATGTAGTTTGGCTTGAGAAATTGCTGAAATGGAAAGAGTCAGAAGACTGTATAATACAATGTGGAATGATAAATTGGAACCATGCTCAGATGGTTCTAGAAAAGCAGTGTGAAGCACAGGGTGACAGCATGTGCATGTGGCAGAGGGAAAATGACAGCGTGGCAGAGGACCAAGGACCCTGCATACTAAGGTCAAGGGCTTTGGTAAATACTTTCTGTAATGCTCTCTTGAAACATCAAAAATTCAAGCAAAAAAGTGGCATTCAATTTGCATTTGGAAGATGCTTTAGGTAGAACTTTTACTTCGTTCAGCTACTAAAATAATGGATTACACTGGTTAATTGTAAATATTGAACCACTCTTGCATTCCTGGAATAAGCCCCATGTGTATAATTCTTTTTATATATTGGTGAATTCTGTTGACTAATATCTGGTTAAGAATTTTCATCCATGTTTATGAATGATATAACTTATAGTTTCATTTTCTTTCTTTTTTTCTTTCATACCATCTTTGGTTTTAGTATCGGGGTAATACTACCTTCATAAAAATAATTCCGAATTTTTTATCATAATTTCAGGAAGGGATTATGTACAGTTAGTGTTAATTTTTCTTTAAATGTTTTGTAGAATTCTCCAGTGAAA
This sequence comes from Homo sapiens, assembly GCF_000001405.40. Taxonomy (NCBI): domain Eukaryota; kingdom Metazoa; phylum Chordata; class Mammalia; order Primates; family Hominidae; genus Homo; species Homo sapiens. The sequence continues at coordinate 46,431,577 of NC_000007.14, read as the reverse complement.
TCATCTTGGCTTGGACATTTTGGAGGTATGGGGTGTAGTTATTAAATCATACATTATAATTTTCCTAATATAGTGTTATTCAGATTATCTATTTCATATTAGATGAGTTATTACAGTTTTGAATTGGTCTATGTCATCTAAATTGTCAAATAGATATGTATAGAGTTGTTGATAGTATTCCCTTATTATTCTTTTGATGTCTTCAGTGACTATGGTGATATTCCCTCTTTCATGCCTGAGATTAATAATTTATGCCTTCTTTTTTTTTTCTCTGTCAGTCTTGTGATATGGTTTGTTTCCCCACCCAAATCACACCTTGAATTGTATCTCCCAGAATTCCCACGTGTTGTGGGAGGGGCCCCAGGGGGGTAATTGAATCATGGGGGCTGGGCTTTCCTGTGTGATTCTCCTGATAGTAAATAAGTCTCACAGGATTTGACAGGTTAATCAGGGGTTTCTGCTTTTGCTTCTTCCTCATTTTTCTCTTGCCACCATCATGTAAGAAGTGCCTTTCACTTCCCAGCATGATTCTGAGGCCTCCCCAGCCCTGTGGAACTGTAAGTCCAATTAAACCTGTTTTTGTTCCTAGTTTTGGGTATGTCTTTATTAGCAGCGAGAAAATGAATTAATACAGTAAATTGGTACTGGTAGAGTGAGGCGTTGCTGAAAAGATACCCAAAAATGTGGAAGCGACTTTGGAACTACATAATAGGCAGAGGCTGGAACAGTTTGGAGGGCTCAGAAGAAAAAAAGAAAATGTGGGAAAGTTTGGAACCTCCTAGAGACTTGTTGAATGGCTTTGAAAAAAAATGTTGGTAGTGATAAGAACAATAAGGTCCAGGCTAAGGTGGTCTCAGATGGAGATGAGGAACTTGTTGGGAACTGTAGCAAAGGTGACTCTGGTTGTGTTTTAGCAAAGAGACTGGCAGCATTTTGCCCTTCCCCTAGAGATGTGTGGAACTTTGAACTTGAGAGAGATGATTTAGGGTAACTGGAAGAAGAAATTTCCTTTTTTTTTTTTTTTTTTTTAGATGGAGTCTCGCTCTGTCACCCAGGCTGTAGTGCATTGGTGCGATCTCGGCTTACTGCAAGCTCCACCTCCCAGGTTCACGCCATTCTCCTGCCTCAGCCTCCCGAGTAGCTGGGACTACAGGCACCCTCCACCACACTCGGCTAATTTTTTTGTATTTTTAGTAGAGACGGGGTTTCACTGTGTTAGCCAGGATGGACTTGATCTCCTGACCTCGTGATCCACTCGCCTCAGCCTCCCAAAGTACTGGGATTACAGGGGTGAGCCACCGCGCCTGGCCGGAGGAAGAAATTTCCAAGCATCAAAGCATTCAAAAAGTGACTTGGGTGCTGTTAAAAGCATTCCATTTTAAAAGGGAAACAGAGCATAAAAGTTCAGAAAATTTGCAGCCTAACAATGCAGTAGAGAAGAAAAACCCATTTTTTGAGTAGAAATTCAAGCTGGCTACAGAAATTTGCATAGTAGCAAGGAACCTAATGTTAATCCCCAAGACCATGGGGGAAATGTCTCCAGGCCATGTTAGAGGCCTTCATGGCAGACTCTCCCATCACAGGCCCTGATGCCCAGGAGGAAAAAGTGGTTTTGTGGGCAGGGCCCAGGGTCTCCATGCTGTGTGCAGCCTAGGAACTTGGTGCCCTGTGTCCCAGCCATTACAGCCATGGCTGAAAGGGGCCAACATAGAGCTCAGTCTGAGGCTTCAGAGGGTGGAAGCCCCAAGCCTTGGCAGCTTCCATGTGGTTTTGAGCTTGCAGGTGCACAGAAGTCAAGAATTGAGGTTTGGGAACCTCTGTCTAGATTTCAGAAGATGTATGGTAATGCCTGGATGCCCAGGCAAAAGTTTGCTGAAGGGGTAGGGTCCTCAAGCAGAACTTCTGCCAGAGAAGTGTGGAATGGAAATGTGGGATCAGAGCCCCCACACAGAGTCCCTACTGGGGCACTGCCTACTGGAGCTGTGAGAAGAAGACCACCGTCCGCCAGACCCCAGAATGATAGATCCACCAACAGCTTGCACCGTGTGCCTGGAAAAGCTGCAGACACTCAACACCAGCCTGTGAAAGCAGCCAGGAGGGAGGCTGTACCCTGCAAAGCCACAGGGGCAGAGCTGCCCAAGAACATGGGAACCCACCTCTTGCATCAGTGTGACCTGGATGTGAGACCTGGAGTCAACAGAAATCATTTTGGGGCTTTAAAATTTGACTGCCTTGCTGGAGTTCAGACTTGTGTGGGGCCTGTAACCCCTTTGTTTTGGACAATTTCTCCCATTTGGAATGGCTGTATTTACCCAATACCTGTACCCCCACTGTACCTAGGAAGTAAATAGCTCGTTTTTGATTTTACAGGGTAATAGGTGGAAGAGACTTACCCTGTCTCAGATGAAACTTTGGACTGTGGACTTTTGGGTTAATGCTGAAATGAGTTAAGAGTTCAGGGGACTATTGGGAAGGCATGATTGGTTTTGAAATGTGAGGACATGAGACTTGGAGGGGCCATGGGCGGAATTAGATGGTTTGGCTGTGTCCCCACCCAAATCTCAACTTGAATTGTATCTCCCAGAATTCCCACATGTTGTGGGAGGGACCCAGGGAGGTAATTGAATCATGGGGACCTATCTTTTCTGTGCTATTCTTGTGAAAGTGAAAAAGGCTCACAAGATCTGATGGGTTTATCAGGGGTTTCCGCTTTTGCTTCTTTCTCATTTTTCTCTTGCCACTGCCATGTAAGGTGTGCCTTTGGCCTCCTGCCGTGATTCTGAGACCTCCCCAGCCATTTAGAACTGCAAGTCCAATTAAACCTCTTTTTCTTCCCAGTTTTGGGTATGTCTTTAACAGCAGAGTGAAAACAAACTAATACATCTTGCTAGGGTTTTTCTAAAATCTTTAAAAAGAACCAGTTACTTGTTTCCCTAATATTCTCTAATGATTTTCTGTTTTCAGTTTCATTGATTTATGTTCTTATTTTTATTACTTACTTCCTTCTGCTTGCATTGGATTGATTTTGCTCTTCTTTTTCTAGGTTCTTGGAAGGAGACTAGAGTAAGACTCTTTCCTCTCTTCAAAATGCATACATTCAGTGCTATAAATTTCCTCCCCAGTACTGCTTCAGCTGTGACTCACAATCACTGACAAATTGTATTTTCATTTTTACTCAATTGCATCCTTTCAGACTTCTTTTTTGACCTGTGAACTGTATGAAAATGTATTGTTTTTAATTGTCAGAAAATCTATTTTATGTTTGTTATTGATTTCTACTTTGATTCCATCATCATAGTGCACACTCTGTATGCTTTCAATTATTTTAAATTTGTTAAGATATTTTAATTGTACTTGAAGTGAGTTTTTTTCAAACATTGCATATAGTTTGCCCATGTTCATTATTCTGTCAGTCTCTGTCTTGTACTTGATGTATTAAGACCATTTACAGTAAATGTACTTACTGCTGTTAGAACTAAAATCTGCCATTCTATTTTTTGTTTTCTTTTTGTTCTGTTTTCATTTTGTTGACTTTTTTCTGCCTTACTGGAGCAGTTTTAGAATTTCATTTTAATTTATCTATAGGGTTTTTGAATGTATCTCTTTGTCTAGCTTTTTCTGTAGTTATTCCATTTATTGCATTACATATACATTAAATTGCCATCAGAGTGTGCTCATGCCATCATTTTGCCAGTACAAAGGAAGTATAGAAATCTCATCTACGATTACTGTCTGCCCTCCCCTGTTTATAATGTAATTGTACTTTTATGATATGATTGTTGTATTTACCTATTCACTTATTTATTTTGCTGTTTCCCTGTTCTTTCTTCACTCTTGACATTCCTGTATTCTGTGTTTTGTCATGTCTTTCTTGTTTAGAGAACTTCCTTTAGCCTTTCCTTTATGGTAGATCTGCTGGCAAAGCATTTTCTTTTTTTTTTTTTTCCCCACCTCAGAATGTTTTGCCTTCCCCTCCATTCCTGAGGGGTATTTTTGCTTGACAAGTGATATTGGTTGACAGTTTCTTCTTTTAGCACTTGAACAATGCTTTGCCCCACTTCATCTTTCCTTCATGGTTTCTGATAGAAAATCTGCTGTCATATGAATTCTTTTCCACCCATAGGTAAGGTGGTGTTTCTCTTTGAATACTTTAATGATTTTCATTTGCCATTAGTTTACAGAAGTTTAACTGCGATTTGTCTTGGTGCTGTTTTATTTGGGTTTACCCTGTTCAGTGTTTGGCCCACTTCTTAAATCTGTAGTCTTACATCTTTTGCCTAGTTTAGAGAGTTTCAGCCCTTCTTTCTTCAAGTACTTTTATAGCATTATTTTTTATTTCCTCTCCTTCTGGGACTCTGATAACAAGAACAATATACCTTTTGTGATAGTTCCACGGGTTCCTGAAGATTCTTTTTTTTTGAGAAGGAGTCACGCTCTGTCACCCAGGTTGGAGTGCAGCCGTGCAATCTCGGCTCACTGAAACCTCTGCCTCCTGGGTTCAAGTGATCCTCCTGCCTCAGCCTCCTGAGTAGCTAGGATTACAGGCACGTGACACCACATCCAGCTAATCTTTGTATTTTTATTAAAGATGGGGTTTTACCATGTTAGCTAGGCTTGTCTCAAACTCCTGACCTGAGGTGATCTGCCCACCTCAGCCTTCCAAAGTACCGGGATTACAGGCATGAACCACCACACCTAGCCCCCGAGGCTTTTTCATTTTTATTTTTTTCCAGTCTATCTCTCTGTGGTTTAGAGTGAATATTTCCTATTGTTCTATTTTCAGGTTCACTAATTCTTTCATCTATTCCCTCTATTCTGCTGCTGAACCCATCCATTGAGTATTTTTAAATGTTGCTTATTATATTTTTCAGTTCTAACATTTCCATTTGGTTCTTCCTTATAATGCCAATTTAGTTGCTGAGGTTTTCTTTCTTTCTTTCTTTTTTCCATTTGTCTCAATCACATTTGGTATTGTTCCTTGAAGCATTTTTACAAAAGTTGCTTCAAAATCTTTGTCAGGGATTCTAAAACCTGTCACTCAGCATTGACATCTGCTGATTTTCTTTTTCATTCAAGTGGAGGCTTTCCTGGTTTTTGTATGACAAGTAATTTTTTATTGAAACCTGAATATTTTGATTATTATATTCTGGGACTTTGGATCTTCTGGAACCTTCTGTTTCACTTGGCTTCCTTTGACACCACTCTGGCGGGGGAAGAGAAGGAACTACTTCATTATTTCAAAGTGAATTGGAAGTGCAGGTTCCCCTCTTGGTCTCTGCTGACCCCTGAGGGGTGTGTGCTCCTCATTACTGCCTCTCTACTTGTCCCTCATTCAAACCTCCTTGGCAGAGGTGAATATGAGTTCCTTTTTATTGTTCCCCACACAGCCTCTACCAACACCCCTGGGGTGGTCTCACTACTGCTAGGGGTGGTGAAAGTCCTGACTCTCTATGAAGCCTCCTTTGACACCATCCCAGTGAAGAGGCAGACTGGCATTTTGTTACTGTCAGGTGAGGCAGAAGTCCGTGTACCCTATGTGGTCTCCACTGAGACCACTCAGGGGGTCAGGATCATTACTTCTTAGCAGCGATGAAAGTCCTGGCTCCTGTCTCAAGCTGGCACCACACTGTTGAGAGCGGTGGGTGGGTGCTATTGCCTGAAGAGTGTGAAAGTAAAAGCTCCTTACTTGGCCTTTCATGGCCTGGGTCGGGGTGAGACCACTGTTTTTTCTGTGGCATTTCATTTGAGTAGATCATGTTTTGTTTCAAAGTATTATTTCTGTTATGCTGCCCCTTTCCTAGTTCTTTGGCTAGACAGAGTAGGGGTTCAGTGGAGAGAGAGATTTAGTTTGTGCCAGTTGACATTTCTGAGCTTCTGGCTTCTTCATCTCCAAGTCTTAGATACATGAAGCAAAATGAATACCCAGGGAACTCACCACCCCGTTGTTTCTAGGTCCCAGGGTCCCTGGCCTATCTGCCTTCTCCTTTACAACTTTCAGAGTTTTCATATATTTGTTTTATATATAATGACAGTTATGGTTAGCAGGAAAGGTAGAGAAAAGAAAGTCCACTCGATCTTCCTGAAAATAGAAGTAAAATGTGATTTTAAAATACGAAGTATGACAAAATGTACATGATAGTGCAAACTTGAAAGTCCCTCATCCATGGGAAAAGACAGATTGTTTTATAACCATGGTAACAAGTAAATGCCAGAACTGGTTTTAATCCTGCCTGATCTATCAATGACAACACACCATAATCCAATCAATTAATAACTGAACACACCACCGAAAGTTGGCCAGTTAGTGACACCATGCTTAAAGACAGTGGCAGCCTCACTCCAGTGATCATACTTCTGAACCCAGCCAGTTCAACACAGTTGTGCCTAATAATCTGTTTCTAATGCTGTTGACAACCCACTGCTATCACTGTAACCAAGACAACTCTAACCAACACTAACCTGATATGGCTTCTAAGACTAGCATGCAGCTCTGCTCAGTGAGACTGTCCCTAATAAGCACAGCACTTCCTTAATTAAGTAAGCTGTAAACTCATCTTTTTTTCCAGTTTTGATGTTGTTTATTCTGCCTTGGACAAAAGGTAATGAGGATGAGTTATGTATCCTTTTGATTTAGCAAATGAAAGTTCACCCAGGTGACCCAGAGCTCCTCTTCTCTATGTTAGGCTCTTTGCTGTCTACCCTTTGCCTAGCTCCCTTTTACTCCCAAGAGAGGTTAAACTGCTAAGAAAAGGTCATTAATTGGAGGAATGAAAGAACTCGATGCAGTAATTTTTGTTTATTTATTTTTAAACTTTCACTTCTATTCATTTGGCAGAAACATTCTCCTCTCCCTGGTTCTGTATGGTTGTGTGAGTCAATAAATTCAGAGCCCTTTACAGAATCGCTCTCTCTCTCTCTTTCTCTCTCCTCATCTCTGTCTCTCAGTTTCTCTCTCTCTGTCTCTCTCTCTGTGTATCTCTAGTCACATCTAAGCATTATTTCTAAAGAAATGAAATGAAATTAGAATTAGTGAGTCATTTGCTCCTATCTAATTTTTGCCAAAATTTCATGTCAGGAAATGTGGAAAAGCTGAAGAGTTAATACATTTTTACATTGGTATTGATTGACAGGCAAGTTAGTGCATTAATGTGACTCTGGAATAATATCTTCTAAAGCCCTTCAACCTCTCTGTATTTCCCTCTAAGACAAACCAGCACTACACTCCCCACTTCTGTCAGGAAGGGATTAGAAAGGATAAAGGGGCATAAAATAAGCAACAGATGTATTGATTTATCAGCAGTAGATAGACCATGCCCAGAAAAATGAATGAACTTGTGGACTTCTCTTACTAGATCATATAGTAGAAATGGGTTAGATGCATTGAGCTAGGTCCATGCTATCTATTTCAATCCAAACATACAGTTATTGCTTCCCCTTGGCTGAACATTGAAAATATATGAAGATACATACATTAAGACCCTGCTGTTAATATAGTGTCACATCAAATATGGTAACTGCCATATTGACATTCATGGTCTTTTGAAAGTGCAAAATAAGAAAACTTAATTTCTAAACAGGTACAAACCAGAAGGCTGCATAGATGAAGTAATATTTGTGGCTTTAAAGCATGCATAGAATTTTAACAGCAAAATATACAAGAAAGATAAGTGGGCAAGAATGATGTGTGATTGTGGAATGAAGTGTAGTTCTGCTGGTTGTGCCCCTTTAAATCTAAATCAGGATTCAGACAAGAGATAACACTGGACAGGCAGGTTGCAGCCATATTATGACCTGCTTTGCATAAAAAGGTAAAGAAATTTGACTTGATCTATATGTAATGAGAAGCCATGGAAGAGAAGCAGGCATGAGCAATGTGTTCATGCTCTAGTGTAGAAACTGGAGAGGAACAAATAGATTCCAGAGGTGGGGAACCCACTGGGGGACCACTATTCTAATAATGCAGGTGAAAAATGAGCTGTGAAAGCTGAGGTGGGTGTGAGAGAAATTTCAGAGATGGGATCAAGGACATTTCATTCATTTGAGATTTACAGGGAAGGATCAAGTGGTGGTTCATGGTAGAAGGCCAATTAAGTTATTTAGGATTAAAGGGAGGAGTCAGATTTCCAGCCTTGACAGCTGGATGAACACTATTCAATTAATCAAGCAAGAATAGTTCCACTGAAAAACAACTGAGTAAAAAAAACTGGATAGAGTGCTTCCTATTTTCATCCCACTTATCAAAAAATTGTTGTTCTACACTTGGCATGTCCTTTCTAAATGCATAGGCTTTCAAAATCTAACATTCACTCCACTTTTTGCCTTGCCCAACTTTGGGCAAAGATGCTAATCTGCTGCTGTGCTGTCCAGGCCACTCTGCTGCAGACAAATGGGTCTCAGAGTTCATTGTGTTGGTCATGATTATTTTTTAAAAGTAAGCTAAGACTTCAAAAGACTAAATGCTTTGGCCAAAGTGACACGGTTTGAGTGGCTAAAACAGAGCTGAATCCATTTGTTTTGATGGAAAATCATCTTTAATATCCAATTTCTCAATATGAGTACTTATTATTCTTTGTAAAATACATTTGCATTACTCCCTTTTCATACTGCTGTAAAAAACTACCTGAGATCTGGTAATTTATGAAGAAAAGAGGTTTAATTGACTCACATTTCCACAAGGCTAGGGAGGCCTCAGGAAACTTACAATCATGATGGAAGATGAAAGAGAAGCAAGGCATGTCTTTCCACAGTGAAGCAGGAGACAGAGAGAGCACACATGGGGAAGTGCCACACAGTTTTAAACCATCAGATCATGTGAGAACTCACTCACTATCATGAGAACATCAATGGAGAAATCCACCTCATAATCCAATCACCTCCCACGAGGCCCCTCCTCTGACATGTGGGGATTACAATTAGAGATGAGATTTGGGTGGGGACACAGAGCCATACCATATCAACATTATTATTTAATATCCATGCAATTACAACATTCCAGAAATAAGAGGTAAAATCATCATAAATAATCTTTGAATTTTACTGTTTTGCTGTTGAATATATAAACATTCATAACAATACAAACCTGAAGGCTACTATTTGATAAAAATAAGATAATATTAAAATTGAATTTTCCCCCTAAGAGTCACATAATGAAGAGTTTTGCTACCTTTCTTCTCTGCAGCCATGTACCAGGCTCCTGACTTTTAGAGAGGTTGGCTGCCTCACTCATGTTCCTCTCAATTCCCTTAATCTTTTAAATTCTTGGCACTCACTTGTGCTGGGAAACACGACATTTTGTGGGATGGTTATTCCCTCCGCATTTGCAGCCCAGATTGGAGTTCAGGTAGTGGTTGAGCATCTGGGCTCCATCTTCAGAACCTTTCACAGCACAACCCAGTTTTTCTCCTAAAATGACTTTGTTATCATCTCAAATGAAAATGTCCCAAGGCTTCTCTAGACCTTTATAGGGGATTTAAAAGTAACTGCTGTTGAAAGTCTCAGAAAATGCCAAAGAAATCATTAACTCACTGCAGCGAGTTGCCAAACAAACAGAATTGCTGGTGTCCCACAGACTTCAAAGTGCTTTTTAGCTTATGACTAAAGGTACTAAGAGAAATATTGGATGGGATTTTAGGGCTTTTTTTTTTCTTTAGTTGTTGCTGCAATTACACTTACATTTCCAGAGCAGCTCTGTGAGAAAATCCAAATTCTCAGGAAATTTAAAATTTGACCAAAAGAAAAAAAAAGAGAATATATTGGATGTTTTTGTTAGAAAAGCCCACCACCCAGCAACATTCTAAAAAGTATCACAAGAAGATGTTTTGTATATGATTAAGTATGTTGTGTATGTAAATCCATGGACATTTCAAAAGGGAGGATTTTTGGATATTGGTCAAGTTACTTGACCTCTTTGAACCTCAATTTCCTCATCTTTATAATGTAAACAATAATTACTTGTTGTAAGATACTGTATAAGTTTCTTTGACAGTTTCCAGGAAGTATTTCATGAGAACAAAGTGACAAGCAAAGACTAAAGCTAAAAGCATACATGAAAAAGTAAGCATCATGCAATAGGCCTGTGGCACCCTGGCTTGGTGCAGCTGCCTCTTCATTACAGCAACACCAGTACGTCCAAATTAACATACAGCTCTGACCTGCTCATTGAAGAGGAAATCCATGGACAACAAGTAGATCTTCTAGGATATAACTCGACTGCCAGCATTCCTGTCTCAACCCTATTATCAATTCTGTGACCTTGGACATGTTAATTAATCTGTCTGGGCTTCACTTTCCTTGTCTGTAAATCAGTATATTAATAGTAACTGGCTTATAAGACTGTTGTAAACATCAATAAAGAACCTACTAAGCATAGTCCCTGGCACATTTTAAACGTGCAGTTATTTATTGTCAAGTTGACATTCATTTCCTTCCACTGCAATTATTTTCAGGGACCTCACTATTTTCCCCAAACAGTGGTCTTACTGTGCCAGCATCTCATTTCATAGGAGGAAAAGAACACTTACTGCAATGACAGATTACCTTGGTCTAAATCGATGCCGCTTCCATTGTCTTGTATATGTTTTATTGGGCCAGAATTGCCCAAATAACAAGGAAATATATGATAAGTATGTGTGTGCATAATTAATTGACAGACAGAAAGATGAAGAGAGAGAAGAAAAGGGGAAACCAAGGAGGCATTCTTGTTTTATAAATATAAGAAAATACATACTCTTTTTACACAAAATAGTTATAAAACAAAAAAAGAAAATGACTAAGTCCACATGTCTGTATATATCTCAATGCAGAATATCAATATCAATTGCTTTAAACCAGTGATGCATAAGCTTTGAGAGGAATTTACAGGAAATAGAATTTGAATATGAGCAGACAGACTAAAATACATATGCTGGTCAGGTCATAATGTTACTGCTTTCAAATATTTAAGGAGATATTTACATCCATTTTATTTGTAGTTACTGTCATTTATTAACATTGATTTAAATGTCTTCCTTAGATTTCTCTTTAAATTTCATCCTAAATTCATAGTTTGCTTTCATTTTACACACACACACACACACATGCACACACGCTAGACACACAAAGCCAGAAATAAATATATAACATATGTTATTTGTCTGAAAGTTGTTTTGTCTCCCGGAACTTTCAACCTATATTGTAGTTTTGGAATAATGAGTTTGTATGTATATAGGCATGGAAGTATCTGTCTGGATACTCCAAGTTTTGGAGCCATCTTGCCCCAACAGAAGATGAAGTCAGCACTGAGAAAAGGCCACAGAACCACAGGCAGACCTGGGTCCCTAATCACTAAACAAAATCCCCTTGAGCTTTCTTTATTGATATAATGTAAAATCATTTCAGCCAATTTCTGTTTGGATTTTTACTATGCACACCATTGCAACTAAAGAAGGCAATCTAAATGATCTAGAGAAGGCCCTTTATACACACACGCACACACACACACACACACACTGCACTGGATTTACAGAGAGTGATGTTCAAATTAAAAGTCTACTGCAACAGCATGAAGTCATGTTGAAATTCTAGAACCCACTTTGATGAATGTAATAATGTTATGCCAGAAGATATTAGCAAAATTCTAGGTTGACCGATGAGAAAACAGTCACACAAAACCCTCCATAAGAAAACTGAGTCTAGCTCATGCATTACCCTCTATCTCCTGATTCCAGACCTCACCTTCCTCAGATGCACAACTGGTTCCCAACTCCAAAAGACCAGATGCTTGGCCCATTCACAAGATTCTTACTTCAGTCAGTATGACCCATCCCATATTTTTCACTATATAGTCAAGAACTCCCTGTTATTGCTGTATCTCCAATATGAGTGTTTTGCCATCAAGTTCTTACAGAACCTGGCATAATGTGCTAAAGAGGTATGAAGCCCTGCACCATGCCCATGATCTAAAATATTGTCAGATATGAGATGACAACCTGGTTCATACTTTGGAGAGCATTTGTCCAGGCCAAATGAACTAGTTCAAGAAAATGCATATTTGTTTCATCAGGCACAAAGCTCTGACCCAGGACATTAAAGCCAAAAGGTATATCAAAACCAATTACTTGTTCTTCTATGTTCTGTTAATGACAGTGGTGGTGGAGTAGGTGCAAGGTGTTAGATATTGTGCTCAGAAACTTAATTCTGTTTTAACAACAACTAACGTCGATATGGTGGCTCAATACTGATGCATGATGCCCACCTCCTAAATCTAGCAAAGTAGGCTGGAAGCATACCCATATTCTCAGGGATTCCCTCCGAGATGAAGGGCATAAATCAATCAACACACTGGTACATCGACTATGTATATTTCTCCTCCATCCCTCAACAATAAGAAAACTCATAATCTCTTTCCAAGCAACATTACCATAGAGAATCTGAACAAGAAGTCAGTCTTCTGAGGAGGAGCTTTCTGGTGCTATGCTGCTGTTTCTGAAATGAGGATGAAATAGCAGTATGAGAAAGTTAACTTGTGGCTTCCCTTACTCTGCCACACTCTTAGCTTCCTTCCATAAGCATTTTTTTCCTGAAACAATAACAGATTCTTCAACAATCTCAGGAGTTACTCTGAGACAGAAAATTTCATAGAAACTTTAAAAGTTTTACAGAAAATTTTTAAAAATGGAAGTGACTGAAAACCAAAACATAATGTTAAAATATGTAGAATGCTGCTGAAGAAGCTCTGAGAGGAAAACTGATAGCATCAAATTCTTACATTTGGAATGAGAAAAGGCCTTAAACCAATAATATGAGTTCTTACCTTAAGAGTCTAAAAAATAAAGACCAATAAGCAAATAAGCAAACAGGAGAGAAAATAAGGAAAAGATCAGAAATCAATAAACTGAAGACAGAAAAATAATAGAGAAAATAAATAAAATGAAAAGCTGGTTCTTGTAAAAGTGTCATTGAAATTGATTATTATTATTATCATTTTTTGAAATAGGGTCTCACACTGTCACCCAGGCTGGAGCGCAGTGGTGTGACCTCAGCTCACTGCAACCTCCATCTCCCAGGTTCAAGTGATTCTCCTGCCTCAGCCTCCCAAATAGCGGAGATTACAGGTGCCCACCACCATGCCCAGCTAATTTTTTGTATTTTTAGTAGAGATGGGGTTTCACTATGTTGGTCAAGCTGGTCTTGAACTCTTGACCTCATGATCCACCCACCTCGGCCTCCCAAAGTGCTGGGATTACAGGCAAGAGCCACCACGCCTGGCCTGAAATTATTAATATGTAATAATATAAAAAGAAAAAAGAAGTCGACAATAAGTGAAATTGGAGATATCACTAAAAGCCTTGCAGCCATTAAAAAGATAATAAGGAATGACTATGAAAAAAATAGATGCTTGTAAGCTTGGGAATTTAGAAAAGAATAAATAGTTCCTCAAAGCCCACAAACAACAAAAACTAAATCAAGATGAAATAGATAATCTGATTATCATCATAAGTATTACATATTTCTTTTAAAATAATTCTTTGTCTAATTGGCACCTCCCTTTTTATATCCAGGCTGGTTAAAACCAAACAAAACAACACAGCTAAACTCAGATGCTCTTCTTTGACACACCTTACATTTTCACATGACTTAGTAGAACAGCTTGCAGAGTGTACCTACAGAGGTGATATAGTTGTGTAATCTGTTACCTATTATTTCAGAATAGCTTGCAGAATACCTGTAAACTTAAGGAGAATCTGTCAGTCCTTTATATTTTCATCATTCTGTACAAAGGCCCCTTTATACTTTCATCATTCTTCTTGTAAAAGTAGAAAAATAGAGAGCTCAGATCACACCTCCTACTGAAAACACCTCAACTGTGTGTGGAGTATGTTGCAGAATCCAGCTCAGTGTTCAAAAGCCACATCAGCCCTGTGAGTTTTTTCTAATCATTAAGAAAGACCTGCATAACCGAGTTATGGTAGTTATGCTCACACAAGTGAGGTCCAGTCTGCCTGATAAAGCCTCCTCACTTCTAGGGGTGTCAAAAGTCTGTATCTTCTCTTAAGAAAAAAACTGGTCACAAACAAGTCAACAAACTGCCCTGCAATCCACCTTTGTAAAATTGAAAAGTCTAGTTTGAAATCAAAGTAGAAATTTGCCAGACTCCTAGCAGAAACAAACTAACCAAAAGACATCTTTACAGGAGGATGAAAACATGAGCCTAGACTCCAATTATTTCTATAACATCTGTATCTAGATTCTAGATTCCAATATCTAGAAAATAGCAAAGGGCAAATTGTCATGCAAGAAGGCAAGAAACATGAATGGGAGCCCATGGGTAGGTTGGGAGGTGGGGAGCAGAGAACAAAAACGGACTGCATCCACTTAGAAATTAAAATGAAAAAATTCTGATTATAAAACAAGTCAACTTACTATTTACAAAAGAATATGAGCCAAGCTTTTAATATGTGAATTAGAAACCAGAACAAAGTGACATTGCAGGTTTGGGAAAGAACCGAGCAAAAATTCTGGAACTGAAAATACTAAGAATGAAATTAAGAACACAGAAGAAAGCTAATAAACATAGCTGAAGAGATAAGTAGTAAAACTGAATGTGGAACAAAAGCCCATAGAGAGACAGAAATTTAGAAGCTAGGAATAAAGGGCAAAATATAGAGAAGGAATTCAGTGGGCCAATCTAACCTATATTTAATTGGCATCCCAGAAGTAGCAAATGGGGCAAAGGTGATTTTTTTTTCTGAAGTGGTAATGGCAGCAAATATTCAAGAACTAATAAAAGATATCACTTCATAAATTCAAGAATCCCCAGAAACCACCAGAGTATAAATGCAATTCCCACATAGACACACTATGTTATTGAAAGAACTAGGGCAGTAAGAGGTTTGCAGCAGAAGAAGGCATTTACTTGCAGGCACCAAGCAAGAAGGACCAGGCAGCTCATGCTTAAGTCTTGACCTCCCTGATTCCTTGAAGGTAAGGGTTTTTAAAGGCAGTGTAACTGCCCAGCAGTTTCACCTTGCTTGCTACCTAGACAGAGCCAATTTATCGAGATAGGGTAACTGCAACAGAGAAAGAGCAATTCACACAGAGTCCGCTGTGCAGGAGACAGGAGGAGTTTTATTATTACTCCAATCAGTCTCCCTGAGCATTTTGGGAGAAGAGCTTTTAAAGACAACTTGGTGGGTTGGGGGAAGCCAGTGAGCTAAGAGTGCTGATTGGTTGGGTCAGAGATGAAATCATAGGGAGTCGAAGCTGTCTTCTTGCCCTGAGTCTGTTTCTGGGTGGGGGCCACAAGATCAGATGAGCCAGTTTAACAAGCTGGGTGGTGCCAGCTGATCCATCAAGTTCGGGGTCTGCAAAATATGTCAGGCACTGATCTTAGGTTTCACAACAGTGATTTATCTCTAGAAACAACTTGAGGAGGGCCAGAACCTTGTAGCCTTTAGCTGCATGACTCCTAAACCATAATTTCTAATCTTTTGGCCAATCTGTTAGTCTTACAAAGGCAGTCTAGTACCCAGGAAAGAAGGTGGTTTGTTTTGGGAAAGGGCTGTTATCGTCTTTGTTTCAAACTATAGACTATAAACTAAGTTTCTTCCAAAGTTAGCTCGGCCTATGCCCAGGAATGAACAAGGACAGCTTTGAGATTAGATGCAAGATGGAGTTGGTTAAGTCAGATTTCTTTCACCGTTTGTTATGATTTTGCAGTGATGGTTTCAGCAGAGGTAAATTTCAGGAAAGCAGAAGGAAAAGTTGCACATCAATACATGGAGGTCACACATTAGTTTTAGCCTAAAAGGGCAGGATACCTAGACTTGGGGGCTTATAGGTCATAGGTAGTGTTGAAAGAAAAACTTCAGCCAAATTAAATTTAAGGAGTTTAATTGTGAAATGAACGATTTGCGAATTAGGCAGCCCTAGCCCCCAGAATCACAATAGATTCAGAGAGACTCCAGGGATGCTTCGTGGTCAGAACAAATTTATAGACAAGAAAAAAACAAGGGAAGTGATGTACAGAAATTGGAAGTGAGGTACAGAAACAGATGGATTGGTTACAGGTTGGTGTTTGCCTCATTTGAACACTGTTTGAACACTTAGCGGTCTATGAGTGGTTGAAGTATGGCCTCTGGGATGGGCCAAGGCTCAGCTATTGTTAAAGGTGCATACTCCTAATTTAGGTTTTCAGTCTTGTCTGCCTATTAGGCTAGGTTACAGTGCATCCACAAAGACTCAAATATGGAAATATGGAGCCCTTCTCACACCATATTTAGTTTGCTTTAATAGCAGATTTAAAGATTTTCCAATTTGCAATTGGTTAAGGAATAGAAGCTTTGTTTTTAAAAATTTGGGGTCAGCAGAAAAGAATGTCAGCCCTGGCTCACGGATGTGACTTCCTCCAGGCCCGTCAGGAAAAAATTTAGAACAAAGAACATAGGTCAGTCAGAGTTCAGTCCTCAGCTCCCCCTTATCTGAGGTCTACATGCCAGTGGATTGGATCCCTTTGGTGGGGTGGGGGTGGTCTGGGTTTCTGAAAAACAACTCAGGGATATATGCTAAGATGTTATCTTAGTTTCTATACAGAAGCAAACATATTGTGATTCTAGCTGCCTTGGCTATTGTTTTGGGCTACTGTTACCTTTTTGCTGATCATGTTGCTTATTTACTTCTCAGTGCTAGCAAGCTGCCTGGTACTTCCCTTGAAGGAACTCAAGATTTTCCTTTATTGCCATGCCTGGAGGGGCCCACAGGCCCCTAAGGTTGGTGGGGTGGGGGGTCCCGGTTCTGTCTTATTTTATTGGATATACTGAAAACAAAAGGCAAAGAGAAAAACCTTAGAAGCACCCAGCCAGGAACAAAAGGAAGAATTCCCTTAAAGAAGTAAAGGAGGTTATGAAAGTTGACATCCCAACAAAAAAAGGCAGGTGATGGGGATGATACCTTCAGGCTGCTGAAAAGAATATATGGCTGTTTGTGGTAAAATACAGGATATATTATTATTAACTATAGTCACCATGCTGTGCAATGGATCTCAAAAAATGCATTCCTTCTGTCTAAATATATGTCCCCCTTTAATCATCATTTTCTCATTTCCCCCATCCCCTTGTTCGCTACTTCCAAAAGTTTGACTTTTTTAGATTCTGCATAAAAGACAAAAGATAACATTTGGTGAGGATGTGGAGTAAAGTAAACCCTTCTATACTGTTGGTGGGAATGAATGTAAAACAGTACAGCCATTAAGGAAAACAGTATGGACGTTTCCTAAAAAACTAAAAATAGAATTACCTCATGATCCAGCAATTCCACTTCTGGGTATGTATTCAAATAAGTTGAAATCTGTATGTTGAACAGATATCTGCACTCTCATGTTTATTGCAATATTATTCACAATAACCAAGATATGGAATCAATCTAAGTGTCTATCAACAGATGAATAAAGAAAATGTGGTATACACACACACACACACACACGCACACATACACCACATGCATACAATGGAATACTATTCAGCCTTAGAAAAGAAAGAAATTCTGTCATTTGTAACAACATCAGTGAACCTGGAAAACATTACTCTCAGTGAAATAATCCAATTGATTCTTTAGAATGTCCAACTTCATGTTTAACTTATGCTTGTGTTAGTTTAATGCCTCTGTTTTATTTTTGATATGTATTCTATGCTGACACTAAATGTATTTATTTTAAAGCAGTTTCATAAAATTTTTATATTTGTATTTGTCCTTTGTCAAATTTCTTTTAAATATTAATTTTCTTCATTTCTGTTGCAATTTTGACTTCTAGATTCAATTCAAATGGGTACAATTTTTCTGAAGCTCTTTCTCTAAATAGTGACACATATCCTATTCCAATGAATTTTTCACAGTTGTCTTTACCTGACACATCGACTACCACTCTATCATCAATTAGGGACTCCGATCTTTATTGTGCTACTGGAAGTAACAGAGAATCTATCATTGAGCCATCTGGAGGAGGGCAGGACCTGGTCTGTGCAATCATTGATACATGATTTTCTGTCCTAAATGTGTCTCTCCGCTAATGTCCAGAGCTTAGTAACAATCACCAACATGGGAGTCCAAGGATCTTTCCGATTCTTCCTTGTTTGTCATTCATCCATCATACAGGGGCGAAGCTAATTAAGTCCTCCACTTCAAACTTCACATCACCAGTGGGGCTGTTCTCGGCCATCCCAGGGATGTCCCTCCCTCCCTATTCATAGCCATCATAATGATACAATGATAAAGGCAAGAGGCAGAGAAATTCTAGGCAGCTGGGGCGGGTCCCTGGAGAGAACCCCACCCTCAAGCAGAAAAGCCTAAGATTAGGGCCCAAAGTGAGATCTTGCATCCCTGTTTTCTCACTTGAATGTTGCCTTTTCAGAAACCACCCATGGTCTGCCCCACACCCATCCTGTGCCTATAAAAACCCCATAGTCAGCTGGGAGAAGGGAGAAGCAGCTGGACATTGGAGACTATGGCTGGACTTTGGAGAGAAGTGACTTGACTTGAGAGGGACAGCTTGATGGCATAACTTCAGAGAAGAATCCAGCTGGAAATGGCTGGACTTCAGGGGCAGGTGACCTTCCTGCCCTATCCCCTTTTCAGCTCTCTTTTTTCACTGAGAACCACTTTCATCAACAATACAATCTCCAGCATATATCATCCTTCAGTTTGCTCACGTGACCTCATTTCTCCTGGATGCTGGAGAAGAACTCGAGGACCATGAGTGTGAATACAAAAGGTTGTCACGCTTGCCCTTTGCCCTCACTGGCAGAAGGCAGCCACCTCATGCAGAAAGGCAGAGGGTCCACTGAGATGTTAACACTTAAGCCATCCATGGACAGCAGAGCTAAAAGAGCACTGTAACACTTTCTTTGGAGCTTCAAGGATCTTGGGCACCCCCACTCCAGATGCTGCTGAGGGCCTACATGAATTTTGCTCCCACCAGCACCCAAAAGCGCTAGCCCCGGCTCCTGCGCCCACTCACCTGCACATCCCCTCCTGTGATGGGTGGTGTGCAGCAGGTCCAAGTGGGTGGAGTGCCCCTGCTGGTGCCAAAGCGGCCAGCTAGTTTCAGCACCTGTGCGCTCCAGTTCCTAGCTCTTTTGCTCGCGTGTTTCCTCCCACAAGTAATTGAGAGCTGCGGGCTGAGTAAACAGGGCACCTCCTTTGTGAGTCCCACGAGGGGGTCAGCAAAATATCCTGCTTCAATAGCATTCCACAACAGTCCACATGGAAGTCAGCCACTACCAGCCCCAAATTCTGTTCCTGAAATTTTTCAATACAGAAAACTGCTTACCTTTAAAATCCTGGATCCCCTGGTGAGATGATCATATATGCAGGTTTTGTACCTGGCTCCTGGCTCATGACTCCTGCAGCCCTTTGTTAGAATGTGAGGCACTTTAGGCCTCTGGAGCAGGCCTCAGAAAACAGTCTCTTTGACCTTCCCTGCCCACCTTTCACCTGCTCCTTTTCTTCCCAAGGCAGGAATCTTCTCCTACCTTTCTGTCACAGAACTGGTCATAAAGCAATTCTCTGGCCTACCATGTTTGATTGTAGGTCACCAGACCCTTATTTCAGAAGGGGTCCTGCATCATACTGGAGAGGAGGGAATGCTGCCCAGAGAAGTGACCGAGAAGAATCTGGGCAGACAGTCTTGTTAGGTTTCCTCATTTAGTCTACTAGTATTGAATTATATCTTTTCTGTTCAATCATATTTCTATATGGTTGTCAATCATGTTTGCCAAAAGAAGCCTCTATAAAAGGCCCAGGAGGACAGGGTTTGGAGAGCTTCTGGGTCACTGAACACATGGAGGTTCCTGGAGGGTGGCACACCCAAGGAGGGCACAGGAGCTGCCCACTCCTTTCCCTATACTTTGCCCTATGCCTCTCTTCATCTGCATCCTTTATAATAACCTTTGTAATAAGCCAGCAAATATAAATGTTTTCTTAAGTTCTGTGAGCACTGTAACAAATTAGTGGAACCCAAAGAGGGAGTCATGGGAATCCCAACTTGACAGTAGTTGGTTAGAAATTCCAGAAGCCTGGACTTGAGACTGGTGTCTGAAAGGGAGGCTGTCTTGAAGGCTGAGCCCTGTGGAATCTGTTGCTAGCTCCAGGGAGGTGGTGTCACCAGAACTGAATTAGAGGACACCCAGCTGGTGCCCACTGCAGAATTGACTGCTTGCTTGTTGGTGGGGAGAAATTCTTTGGTGCTGATTGTTGTGGTGTGAGAACAGAGGATAAAAACAGTTTGCATTTTTTTCCTCCTCACATATACCATGTAAGAAGATGTATTCAACTAAAATAATTTAAGCTCCTTTTCTTTTCTGCCTAGAACATAGATGCAAAACTTCTAAATCAAACTTCAGCCAACTGAATTGAACAATATACCAAAAGGAAATTTTTTTATGATCAAAGGGCATTTATCCCAGAACTATAACATAAATACAGAAGCATTTGACAATCCAGTTCTGGTGAAAACTCTCAGCAAGGTAGGATCAGAAGGGAACTTCCGAATGTGAAAAAGTCATCTATGCAATACTACAAATAATATCATACGTAATTACTGAAGGCTGAATGTTTTCCTCCTAAATTCAAGAACACAGAGATGTGCCAGTGCAGTAAGGAAAGAAAAATAACCTGGAATACAAAAATCAATGTCCAAAACCAAAATTGAACAACTAACACTACTTGATTTCAAAACATATAAAGCTAAACAAATCAAGATTTTAGTATTGACATAAAGA
The DNA here is from genome assembly GCF_000001405.40 of Homo sapiens. NCBI lineage: Eukaryota > Metazoa > Chordata > Mammalia > Primates > Hominidae > Homo > Homo sapiens. Next base: position 46,410,827 of record NC_000007.14, on the reverse strand, counting down.
TAGAGACATGGATCAGTGGAAAGGAATAGAGATTTCAGAAATAGACCTACAATGATATGCCCTGATTTTTTATAAAGGTGCAAAGGGAAGCAAATAACATTTTAAAGCAATGGTGGTGGAATAATTGAATATACATGTAAAAGTTAAATCCCCAGTTTGCACCACATAGATGATTAGCACGAAACAGGATATAGACCCATATGTGAAACTTAAAACAATGAGATTTCTAGAAGAAAGCATAGGAGAAACATTTCTAACCATGAGTTAGGAAAATATTACTTAGATATGACACCAAAAACATGACCCATAAATTGAACAAATTGTGAAGTTGGTCTTCATCTAAAGATAAAATGACTTCTCTTCAAAAGACACTGTTAAGAGAATGAAAAAACAAGTTACAGATGGGGATAATACATTTTCAAGTATTTATCTTTCCAGAGACTTGAACCCAGAATAGACAAAGAACTCCTAAAACTCAGTAACGAGCAGCCCAATTTTTAAAAACTTGGCAAAGCATTTAACAGGCACTTCCCCACAGAAGATATATGAATGACAAGTGAGCACATGAAAAATGCTTAGCATCATTTTTCATTAGGGAAACACAAATGAAAACTACTCTGTGATATTACTACACAGCTATAAAAATGGCTGAATTTAAGAAGGATGTGGAGGAATTGGAACTCATACATTGCTGGTCGGAATGGATGGTACAATCACTTTAGTGAACAGTTTGGTAGTTTCTTTAAAAAAAGTTAAATATTTACCTTATGATCTAGCTATTCCACTACTAGGTTTTACTCAATAAAAAATAAAGGATGGATTTATAGATGAAGATTTGTCCATGCATGTATGATTATAGCACTTCTGCTTGTAGCAAAACTGGAAGCTCTTTGTGTGACCTACAAATACCTATCAATAGACGAATGAATAAACACACTGTAGTATATTTAAACATTGGTTCATTCCATGACATGGATGAACCTCAACATAATTACCCTCAATGAAAGAAACTAGAAAAAAGGGCACATACTCTATTATTCTATTTATATAAAATTCTAGAAAAGTAAAACTAATCCATATTGACAGAAGTTAGATCACTATTTGGGAACAGATGGGGAAGAGCTGGGCTGGAAAGAAGTCTTACCAAGGCACATGAAAAACCTTGAGGTGGTGACGGATATGTTTACTATTTTAACGTGGTGATGATTCTACTTGTGTATGTGTGTCAAAACTTATACAACTGTATACAGTAAGTCCTCACTTAACATCATAGATAGGTTCTTGGAAACTGCAACTTTAAGCAAAATAACATATAATGAAACCAATTATTTTTCTTCATTAACATTATAATAAAATGATACAGAAGACAGTATTTCTCAGGACCTGTGGAAATGTTGTACAGTTTATTATTTGTCAGTTATACCCCAATTAAGCTCTGAAAAATACCCACCAAAACTAGATTTTGATACACCAATGAAAACACAAACATGGAAGTTCAAAAATATAGACTTCTATGTTTGGGAGAAATTGAAAATTCCTTTTAGTGCTATGCCACCACCATTTGAATGGCTCAGGTCAGAATCCTACTGATAAAAGAGTATATCATTTTTCCTGTTTTCTTTTCTGCTGACTTAGATATGAAATATTTTGAAGAGCAGAAAATAACCAAAATTTTTTTACCAAGAAGTGGTCAGTTTCATTTGGAAAATTTCTAACTTTTCTTTATTTTTGTTTATAGGTGTGGTATTTTTTTAAATGTTAAAATGTTTAAAAGCCTATCTGTTGAAAGCCTAAGTATGTATTTGGGAGTAATAAACAATATCTTGATAAGAGCCTTTTAATTTTTTATCTACTCTTAATTTTGACTTAGCTTTAATGTTGATTTGTTTTAATTTATCCTTTGATTAATAAGGTGTTGTTTTACAATGACTTGAATTCCAAGATGTACTTGGCCACTTTGTTGAATCTCCTTGGATAAACTTCCCTAAAAAGAGAAAAGAGCCATTTTGCATTGACCCCAAAGCCATACATTGGCTGCTTTTTGAAATTTTACTATAACAAATTTTAAACACACACAATAGTAAAAAGGATAGTGTAATGAACCTTCAGGTAACCATATCCAGCTTTGCCACTCATCACCTTTTTACCGTTCTTACCAACTGTTACCTGTCCTTCTATTTTCATTTTTAATACTTCACTTTATTTATTATTTCAATCAAAGTTACCTATGTAAATCCTGACAGATTTATAACTTTGAGTTCAGATTCAATTAATCAAAAAGTTAATTTGATATTTGTATTTCTTTACTCAACTTATTAAAATTAAAAGTCAAATTTTATCCTAAATATACACTTATCTTGTAGGTGATAAGTGTCTGCAGTTTAAATTTTTGTTTTTTTTTATTTTATTTTTACATTTATGGATTTTCTTGAAAGAGAACTATTGATTTCATTGGTACATCATCTTGAAAAAAAATCCTAACATCTTCCTCTTCTATCTTCCCATCCTGATTTACCTAATAATACTGGTGTTCTGCAACATGTCTATCAATATCCACCATCAAGGTTCAGTCACTTATGCAATGACGTTTTGCTACACTGAAGTCCCGCAATCATGTCCAAAGACTCCATCACTTGAAGGGAGAGGCTAATGTATTAAGCTTTTTTCTTTTCTTTCTTTCCTTTTTTTTTTTTTTTTTTTTTTTTTGAGATGGAGTCTCTCTCTATTGCCCAGGCTGGAGTGCAGTGGCACAATCTCAGCTCACTACAACCTCTGCCTTCTGGGTTCAAGCCATTCTCCTGCCTCAGCCTCCCGAGTAGCTGGGATTACAGGTACATGCCACCACACACAGCTAATTTTTGTATTTTTAGTAGAGACGGGGTTTCACCATGTTGGCCAGGCTGGTCTTGAACTCCTGACCTCAAGTTATCTGTCCGCCTTGGTCTCCCAAAGTGCTGAGATTACAGGCATGAGCCACTGCACCCAGCCTAATTCTTTTCTTTAAATAAACATGTTGGATTACCTACTATTCTTTATAATATTATATATTTTGATTATCCTATAACTTTCATTTATTAGTGTTATAATCTCTAAATGATTAAATAAAAATCTAAAAATCCAGATTAGAAATAGCTTGTTACATTAATCATAGTCTGTCTTTTTGTTTTTTCCAAGAGTTGTTCTTTTCTTTTATTTTTTGGTGCACATATTTATACTCAGTAATTATAATATGGGTATATGATTTCAGTTTATAGATAGGCTATAATGATGGCATGAACTTCTTAAGTTAAACAAAAACATTTTCAGAAGTGCAGCCTGTGATCATTTTCATGATATATATTTATAAACAGCCCAATTCTAGAATGTTCAAAGGAGTTTATTTAACCTTATTATCAGTTATTTATGATGTGTGGCAAATATATCATTTTTTTAATCTGCTTAAATTACTTTAAAAGCCAAAGGCTAAGTGAATACCCAGGAAGTATACATACACCTCCCTTGGCTCTCCTCCAGCCTGATCCCCTCCACCCAAGAACACTCTCCTGCAACAGGCCATCAAAGAAATCCTACAGAAACTATTCTCAGTTATCTATTTAATCTCAAACCAATGACGTCTTACTGATCTATCTGGTAGATAATAAGCTGCTTCTTCAAATAAAAGGTTCTCTATTATTTGAGAAATTCTGTTGTCCTTGCTGCTGTGCCCCACATAAGGCAGCTCCTAGGTCACCTGCCCTGCCCAGGCTCCCTCTGTTTTAGGAGAAGCCCCATGCTCTTCTCTTCTCACTGGGCTCAGTTCCCTTTCCAGATATGATGAGTATGACACGGTGCCCTGCAGCTTCACTTTATATATTTGTTGCTCCACATAATTTACAAACAAACTGAGGCAGGAACTTTGTTTTAGGTGTTGCCGTGTCCCCTTTTCTTAGGAAGTGCTCGGTAAACAGAAAGGATTCAATATATGTGCATCAATCAAGGTCTTGGTAGGAAATAAATAGCATTTTTGAAGGGTTAATTGAAAAGACATTAAGGAAAGGACTAAAGAAAGCCATAAAGGCTTAAAGACCCTAGGGATTTGCAACAACAAGATGTCCATTCCCCTTCCCAGGTCTGCAAGGCTCAGTCAATAAAGGGAGTGTATGTCAGCAAGTGCAGCAGCAGGACAGCCCAACAGGGACTGCAGCCAAACCATGATGATGGGGACAGTGGGGATGAGGAAGGAACAGTATTCTTTCCCTTCTATCTTCTAATATCATTTCAGAGTCTCCCATTGGTCAAACACAATCAGAAGTTGGAGGGCAGAGACAAAAACATCCATAGAGGTCATCCATGGCACGGAGGAGATCAGAGAAGGGCAGAGGGTGGATGGGGGTGGGGGGCAGGAAAGGGAGAGTCATCAGCAAAAGATAATTGCAAAAGAAATGACGGAATACGATGATTACCAGGCTCACTCGCTGTGCATGGTGCCATATGGCAATCACGAGACCCAAAAGATGGTCATGTATCAGATTTGATAGCTAATTCAGGAGGTTGCAAGCCACAATTTCAGTGAAAATATAATTCAGTTAACCTTTATATTCATACTTTTAAATTTATTCATTCCAAAGAATTTTAATATAAATTCAAATATTTTAGTAAGTATTATTAAACTGTTACAATGTACTCATTATAATTAAGTATTTTGTATGAGTTAACTTAGTCGATTAGAAGCATAGTCATTCTCTTTTGTAGACAAGGATGCTAAAATTCAAGGGGCCAAGTAACTAACCCAAGGAGATAAGGTGGACTCAGGCTCAGAACCAAAGTTTGCCCCACTGCAACTCAAATACAGACTCAGCTGGAAGCATGCAATTGCCAGCAGACATTTTCCCAAGGCCAATGTTGTCTTTTACTCTTTCATCCACACTGATGTTTGGTCAACTTGATGAAGTTTCCTTGACTCTATGCTTTTCCTTCTGTGGTTCCGGTGACATCTAAAATCCTTTCTCCCAGGACAACTAGCCCTAAACTCATCTTTCATTATCCAATTCTAGCACTGGCCCCATGACACCTCGTGCTGTAAAGCCATTGGCAACCTTCTAAGAGAAATGTGGCTCACTGGAATCATTTGGAGTCCCTTCAAGTGGTCATAAGGTGAAGAGTTGAAAAAAACTTGAGGAAAAGGGAAAGAAGGTCCCCAACGTAAGTATTAATGAGGAACTCTAGGCCTGCTTGCTCTGAAGATTCCAAGGAAAGGACTTGCTACTGGACTTTCCAGAGAGAGAGAGAGAGACGAAGGATGGAAGCAAGAAAAGGAAACTGGAATTTATTAAAGATATAATGAAGATTCGTTTTTCATTGAGGACATGCTTTGTGCCAGGCATTTTCAGAGCAACTTCGCCTTATATATATCTTCAAAACCTTCCAAGCAGGCACTGCCATTGACAATTTTCCAACTAAGAACCACCTCAGAGAAGTGAAGCAACTTTGCATTCCTGATATTATAAAGCATAAGTAGTGGGCTCCTAGTTGTTTAAGGTGACTATAGACCTGCTTGCTGTTTTAACCAAGTGTTTTTTGGGGAAGTCAAAAGTTAAATGGGGAATTATCCTAGAATACATTTAAGCTAAATCTAGTCCTGAGATTTCACAGTTATATGACATTTATTTAAGGACCTGTGAAAGCAAAGCAGAAGCAGTGTCATGTAGTGTCTAACATCATGAACTCCTGGAGCTGAATTGCCTAAGTTCAAATTCTGCTCTGACGTTTCCACCGGTAACCTTGGTGAAATAACTGAGTTTCTCTCTGCTCATTTCATATAGTTGTTTTGACAACTGAGTGAGGCTGAATAGGTGTAAACAGTCTTTAGGACATTATATAACATAGCATCAGACATCTGAATAAGCGTATGCTGACATTCATTAACATTTGGATGTAGCCAGCAAAAGTGAAAAAATAATGATAGATGATGAGGTTTTATTCTCCATTGCTACCCCATCAACCTTTTAGTTTATCAGCTGACCCATTGTTTTTATATGATGATACATAATAATTATACATATTTATGGGGTACATATAATATTTTGGTACGTGTGTGTAATGATCAGATAAGGGTAATTGGGATATCTATCACCTCAACTATTTATCATTTCTTTGTGTTGGGAAAAATTTCAAATCTCTTCTAGCCATTTTGAAATATATAATAATTTAATGGTAACAACAGTCTCCCTACTGTGCTATGGAATACTAGAACTTACTGCTTCTAACTGTATTTTTGTACCCATTAATCAGCCTCCCTTCATCCCTCTTCTCCCTACCTTTCCCAATCTCTGGTAACCACCATTCTACTCTCTACCTTCATGAGATAAATATAGCTGACCGATGGTTAAGGCATATTTAGAAATTCACTTGGAAGAAAATACAGCTAAGTTCCAAAAACTATCGCCCTGAATTTGGACAAAGTTTGAGAAAAAGCTTTCCAAATGTTCAGTCTAAAATGAAGAATAGTGCGATTTTATTACTTGATGGTAAATTACGTGACAGTAATAAAATCCACTGGACAAACAGATATGCCCACTTTTAAATCACTGAGTGCTCTAAAATCCTGCCATTTGTTGGGAACAGCCAACTAGCAGGAGAAGCAAACACACTTTGAGGTCACCTGCATTCTAAGACCCTTAATTATGTTGATCTGATCTTTCCCCTTTGAAAGCAAATGATAATTTTTATGTATAGAAATGAAGGTTTTTGCAAGGATTGCAAAGGAAAGATTTAAATATAACTCACTCTTTTAGAAATCTGAGATTAGTTCAGTGTTAAGAGTGCACAGGGTGAGAGGAACTAGACGGTATCCTGTCTCTGTTGTTCCCTAACCCAGGTTCTCCCTGCTACAATGTCTGAGCCATGAAGAAGAGGAGTCACTGGTGGCCTGACCTAACCATCAAAGGACTCACTGTTTAGCTGCTGAGATCAATTTTCTGGCAAGCATAGACATTGAGAGTGTGTAGATCCTTCTTATTAGTTCCCACTTGAGGCATTCTGGAAAAGTAGTTAAATGTGGGCTATTTTGTAACAAGTAAAATCCTTAAACTTCTTAACTCACTGTTCTTAACAGTTCATAATTAAAAGAACAGAATAGAATGTTGAATAAGGGCCCCCAGTGGTGGTTATTAGCAGATGAGGGTATTGAAACAACAAACAAACAAACAAACAAACAAACCCAGTAAAAATTAGATTAGCTAGAATATAGCCAAAAATTATTTCAGAAATATGCTGGTAATTGTCAAATAGACTAAAACAATTAATATTAAGAAGTGACACTGATATTAAGATGTTTCTTTTACACACATAGTCGCTACAAGTTTGAGAACATATGTGCCATCGTCAGAAGAAATAACTGTCTGCTTACCATTATATTTTACCTATGCCACCTAACTGCCTGAAACTAACTGAACCACTAGAGCTTAAAAATATTGCTCCCTTAATGCCTAGTCCGTATACTCTAAATACCATTTCCACTAAACTTTGGGACAGGAAATGTGCAGAGTGAGCCTGAAATATCTTGTGACACTAGAAGCCATGATGCATAAAAGACTGCCTGGGTTATGTCGCAGGAACTCTGAAGTCAACATGAAGAGGCCCCCACTGTCCAGGGTGGGACAGATTGAGCACTGGCAAGGATCATGACTGTAACCAACAGAAAAGCATCATGTGCTCACACAAAACAGGCAAATCTGCAGGCCGTGCTGGGAGGATACTTATTATTAAGGTGAAAACTGGTAAAGAAGGGAGAAGATAAATTATGTATCCTGCTTTTCCTCTGCAGTCTATCACTCAGGTTAACCAAACCATTAACTAAATGCAGGTTAAATAATTATAAAAATCTTTCAGCTGATAAATAACTGAGGAAAAATATCCTTAGAATATCATAATTTTATAACGTCTAATAAAATAATGGATATATACAATAATCATTAATGGTGCTCATTTCACAAAGAAAGAGAGAGAAACAGGCATATTTGCTCCTGACAGAAGGACACACTAACACCTATGCTGACACTTACTATACATTTCCATTCAATCTCTTCACATGTTTTAATGTCACTACCAAGTTGTAGAAAATCTAGGGGCCAGAGAAACATTTTTTTTTTCATCTACTGATGTATGTGTTTTTCTTTGTTTGTTTTAAATTTTATTTTAAGTTCAGGGGTACAAGTGCAGGTTTGTTACTTAGGTAAACTTGTGTCATGGGGATTTGTTGTACAGGTTATTTCATCACCCAGGTATTAGTACTCATTAAATATTTTTCCTGATCCTCTCCCTCCTCCCATCTCCACCTTCCAAAAGGCCCCAGTGTGTGTTGTTCCCTTCAACATGTTCATGTGTTCTCATCATTTAGCTCCCACTTACAAGTGAGAGAATGCAGTATTTGGTTTTCTGTTCTTGCGTTAGTTTGCTAGAGTGGCCTCCAGCTCCATCCATGTCCCTGCAAAAGACATGCTTTCATTTTCTTATGGCTGTGTAGTATTCCATGGGGTATATGGGCCACATTTTTTTTATCCAGTCTATTAATGATGGACATTTAGGTTGATTCCATGTCTTTGCTATTGTGAATAGTGCTGCAATGAACATATACGCATGCATGTATCTTTGTGATAGAATGACTTCTGTTCCTTTGGGTATATCCCCAGTAATGCGATTGTTGGGGCGAATGGTATTTATCTCTTTAGGTCTTTGAGGAATTGCTATACTGTCTTCCATAATGGTTGAACTAATTTACACTCCCACCAACAATGTATAAGCACTCCCTTTTCTCGGCAGCTTTGCTGGCATCTGTTTGTTTTGTTTTTGTTTTTTGTTTTTTACTTTTTATAATAGTCATTCTGCCTTGTGTGAAATGGTATCTCATTGTGGTTTTGATTTTCATTTCTCTGATGTTGAGCTTTTTCTCATATGATTGTTGGCTGCATGTATGTCTTCTTTTGAAAAGTGTCTGTTCATGTTCTTTGCCCACTTCTTAATAAGGTTGTTTTTTCTCATAAATTTGTGTAAGTTGCTTATAGATGCTGAATATTAGACCTTTGTCAGATGCATAGTTTGCAAAAAATATTCTCCCTTTTTGTAGTTTGTCTGGTTATGCTGTTGATAGCTTCTTTTGCTGTGCAGAAGCTCTTTAGTTTAATTAAATCCCATTTGTCAATTTTTGCTTTTGTTGCAACTGCTTTTGGCATCTTTGTCATGAAATCTTTGCCTGTGCCTGTGTCCTGAATAGTATTGTCTACCTTATCTTCCAGCTTTTTTATTTGGGTTTTACTTTAAGTCTTTAATCCATCTTGAGTAGATTTTTGTATATGCTATAAGGAAGCAGTGCAGCTTCAGTCTTCTGCATATGGGTAGCCAGTTATTCCAGCACCATTTATTGAATAGGGGATCCTTTCCCCATAGCTTGTTTTTGTCAGGCTTGTCACAGATCAGATAGTTGTAGGTGTGTGGCCTTATTTCTGGGTTCTCTATTCTGTTTCATTGGTCTATGTGTCTGTTTTTGTACCAGTACCATGCTGTTTTGGTTACTGTACCCATGTAGTATAGTTTAGTCAGGTAGTGTTATGTCTCCAGCTCTGTTTTTTTCTGCTTAGTATTACCTTGACTATTCTGGCTCTTTTTTGGTTCCATATGAATTTTAAAATAGTTTTTTCTAATTCCATGAAGAATCTCAGTGGTAGTTTAATAAAAATAGCATTGAATCTACAAATTGCTCTGGACAGCATGGCCACCTTAATTGATTCTTTCTATCAATGAGCATGAAATGTTTTTTTCATTTCTTTGTGTCATCTCTGATTTCTTTGAGTAGTGGTTTGCAGTTCTCCTTGTAGAGATTTTTCACCTCCCTAGTTATTTTGTGGCAATTGTGAATGGGAGTATGCCAGAGGAACATGTTAATGGACAATACAATAATGCTGTAAGTAAAACCAGACTCTGGGAAACTATATAATAAACATTCTATGCTCATCAACAAATAAATTGCAATTAATAAAAATAAAATAGAAGGGCAAGGTCTGGTGGTGTGTGCCTGTAGTCCCAGCTACTTGGGAGGCTGAGGCAGGAGGATTACTTGAATCCAGGAATTCAAAGCCAGCCTGAGTAACATAGCAAGACCCTGTCTCTAAAATAAATAAATAAATAAATAAATAAAAATAGAAGAAGAAGAAAACTGTAGTTTAAAAGAGATCTAAGAAAGATATTAATTGATTGTAATGTACTGTTTTCTTCCTTTGGGTTTAGTCAAAAATTTTCCTTTGAATTCCAGCTTAATTCATGTACAAGTCATTTTCACTTTTAGAAATATCTTGACATTTATTAATAATCATGCAATGCCATAGTTCTGGTTTTCAGTGTCTGGTTTGTTATGTTATTTGGTCCAAATCCATGTCAAAAACATTTAAATTACACAGTGTGGGGCCCATCTTCCTCCCTGTGGACTGTGTGAAGAAATTCTCATAATACAGAAACCATCTGAGTTCAGTGCCTGGTGTGGAGCTCATTTTTTTCCTGCCGATTGATAAAACCAAGGGCAACTTTCTTTATGAATCTGTGTCTGAGTGGAGCTATCATGTCAGGAACTGTGTGAATGGTCAATAGCTCCCCAGGCAAAGTATAATTCAGAAATGTTTTAAGGAATATTGTTTGGATCACATTTTTTTCATTAGTATTCTAAATAATCAAAAATTTTCTTCCATTTTTTTCAGTGTTCACTTGTCTTTTGTCTTTTCATTAAAACAATTTTACTTTCTCTATATTATTATTGTTGCATTTCTTCAGACTAACAATGCACAGGCCCAACACTCTAATTATCATGCAGCTCTTAGTTTCGGTCACTCTCCAGAGACTCACAGCTGGATTTGGAAAATTTGCTACCATTTTTCCCTGGGGACACTCTTCTTAAGACAATGGCCTCAACTGACCAATCCCCTAAGCATAATTTCAGCATCATCAGATTAATATTCAGGTAGTAAAAAGGGCAGGCAGCTCTCTGGGGCCTCTGTTACAAGGGCACTAATCCCATTCACGAGGGTTGACCCTCATGACCTACTCAGCTACCGAAGACCCACTTTTTAATCCCATCACCTTGGGGGCTGGAATTTCAGCATATGAATTTGGGAGAGGTGGTACAAACATTCAGACATTGGCATAGAGACACAGGCATATTGGATTAGGGGCCACCCTACTCCAGTATGACCTCATCCAAACTTAACTAATTACACCTGCAACAACCCTATTTCCAAATAAGGTCACATTCTTGGGTACTAGGGTTAGGCTTTCTCATATGAATTTGTTTCATATTCAACAATTCAACCTAAAAAAAACAACCTCCCTTCCCCTTCCCCTATTATTATTATTTTTTAAATAGAGATTTAGCCTGTAAGATAACTTAGTTTTGGGTTTGAACACTACTAGTAGGCCAGCTTTCCCTCTGTGTCTTCACAACAGACAACATTCTCCCTTCTCTTTTGTTTTTCCCAACAGCCTAATACAGAATTTTGAATTCCGTGTCCCCCAATCCATGAGCTTATTTTAATCACCCCAATCACATATATTGGGAAACTATGAAGTGCTGATTCCTCAGCATTCCCTATTTCATCTGACCTCAGTACAAACTTGAAGCTTTAAAATTATCCCCAATTTACAGATGAGTAAACTGAGCAGAAAGAGACATAAATGACTTGACCGAGATCACCTCACAGAGATTGTAGGTATCCCAAAGTACAAAAATTGTATTCCAAAAATCTTAAGTGTTTTGAAGGTGATTAAAACAATGTCATCAAATGTTTGTTGAGATTCTTTGAAACTTTCATGTTAATTTTCTTTTTTGAAAGAAAGCAAATGCTATATAATTCCAAGTCCTAGTCCTAAATCTTATCTCCAGGAATATTTTGGTTTTTCATTTGTTGTTGTTGTTAGTTTCTATTCATTTTGTATATATAGAAGGGACAGTGTGGCATAGTGGTTCATAGCAGCTCTGGAGTAAAAATGGCCGGATTCTTGCTTCAGTTCTCCAACTTGTTAGATCTGACGTGGGGGATTTGGTGTAGCTTCTCTGTGCCTCACTTTTCTGATCTGTACAAGGGGAATAAAAATAGCACACCTCTAAAAAGACTGCTAAAGGGTTAAAGGCATTCACATATTTAGGCCTTAAAATTGTGCCTGCTTGGAATATCTGTTACTCAACAAAATGGGCTCTGGTGGGTCCCCTGGCATTTGTTTATATTGTTGAGCACATGTGACCAACTTTGCAGCAGGAATATGGGGAAGTGGGGATCACTAGATCAAGTCTGTTTGTTCTGCATCTGCAAGGCTGCCTGAAGTAAATCTTGGAAATCAGAATGTGTCAATCTGTCCTGTGTCAATTATTTGGACTTTTGTCAAATCGATGACTTACGATAAGAGGACTTGAATTCTGTGGGGGAACTGGGGAGGTGGAGGTTCCTCTTTGCTCAAAAAAAAAAATTCAATTGCTAGCAAAACACATCCATAGACATTTGGTTTGAAAAAATGTTCAATGTTTTAAAAAAGTGTTTTTGATAACTAGTAGGACAATTCTTTTCACTGGCTTTTATTTCCTCTTAATTTTCCTAATTGCAAAATACCTGCCTTAGAAGCATTACCATTCCCTCCTAGGTTGTGATTTAGTAGTGCCATAGTTCTCACTGAGTCCTTGTCTTGATCATGTTTCTATGCTCAGATAGTGTCCCATGCTTATCTCAAGCTGGATGTTCCATGTAGAATAAAACAGTTAATACCTGAGGACTGTGTAACAGTATAAAGCATTTCCACATGACTTATTTAAATCAGAATCCAATGCTGAGTCCACATTGTCTTAATTAATTATATTGTCAGATAAGTATGTCTATTATAATAGGCGTATTTGTCTCACTGGCAATAGTACAGGGAGACAGCTTTACTAGTGGAGAGAAACAGCCATGTGTTTCCATATTTGTAAGGGATGGCTCTCAAAGTCGACAAAGAAAGTCACTCCTGATCAACATGGATCTTCAGGAATGTTGTCTGACCAGCCAGGCATGTGGAGCTGATGCACCACCAAGGTTAAAGGAAAAGAGCGGCTGCAGGTTTCAGTCTTGGTTGTTCATAAATGCCCCCCTTTCCCATCCATCTGTACCAAACACACAGCTGGACTCTGTATTCACACTGAGCTGGTATTCTATCCTACTGTTCTAACTCAACCTTTCTTAAATCTGCTCCCTCCTTTATAGCCCCTGATGTAAAGTTGCTCATCACTTGAAGATTTGCAAGGTCACTGTGGTTACCTTACAACTAGGTTCTCCTCTTTTCAGTTTTCATGAAACAAGACCGCTAGAACATTCTACCCAAAGGCTGACAGTAGTGAGCATTCAAGAGCTCTCTTTTGCATGTAGATGGAGTCCAAATCCCTCCCTCTGATATTCAAGATTTTCTCCAATGCCAGATCAATCACTCCCAGGAGCACCTTTCCCACCGAAGCCCCAACCACCTGAGAGCACTTACTACCCTTTGCCTGTCCATCCTTTGTGCATCTCATTGCCGGCTCTGTTCTTTCAGTTCAGAAAGCTCTTCACATCTGAAAGTTTGCTTTTTCCTTCTTCTCCAAGGCTTTCGTCTGGCAGCCCTTAGAGCAGGAGCCTGATCCACCACCATCCAGCAGGGTGGCATCACGTGTCCCTTCTTCAATAGTCTCTGTACTCTGGCTTTGCATGTGCACACATTAATAAATAGCCTTTTGTTTCTTTTTAAACAATTTTACCTCTTGCCAAAGGAAAATAAATGTTAGGGCTTGATTTAAAATTCCCAAACCATAAATTTTGCCCAGACTTAGGACTTGGTGGAACATTTTCACATTCCTTGTGATTTAGAGAAAAAAAAAGAAAGAAAGAAAAAAGAAAGAGAGAAAGAAAGAAAGAGAAAGAAAGAAAGAGAGAGAGAAAGAAAAGAAAGAAAGAGAAAGAAAGAAAGAGAGAAAGAAAAGAAAGAAAGAGAGATTAAAAAGTTTTCAGCAGTCACTGAACACCTGAGCTGTCAGCTGCCAAGCCGATTCAATTTTAATGACTTCCCCATGTGTGGGAAGAGAGAGTGATGCATCCTTCGTGTGTTTTAATTCTGGCAAACGTTTCCCTTGGCAAATGTGGAAACTCTTGCAAAAGTCATGAATAAAATAAGGCTGCGAAGTTTCCATTTCAAATTGCAAGCCAATATTTCCTCGGAACGTGGAAGCTCTATAATGTCACGTGCACCTTTCAAAATCCCATTTGCAATTCTTCTGCACCTCCACAATCTGTGGAAAGAGATGCTTTCCCTGGGTGCAGCCAAGATGGAAGGATTTTTAAGAGTTTTCCAAGTCTTACACAGTTCTCTAATTATCTTCTTTATGGAGATGAGCTGGGGATTTTGTTAGAAAAATTGATTCCTATCAACTATATGCAAAGAATTGAATGCATACAATTCTAGGGCTGAGGTTGGGAATTTTCACTTCAACAAGTACTTGAGTGAAACAGACGTAGGTTATCCATGAACCGCATGTTGAAAGACACTGGGTAGAGCCCAAGCTTCTCAGCATTAGTTCAAATGCCACCATCAGGGGTTCTTCATTCCATTTCCAACCTCATTTGTCATTGGCCCAACTCATGCAGTCAAATGGGGGTTGCTCTGTGTTAGCAATTCCTATATGCATGCCGTGCCCCAGCTCCTCCCCATCTTTGTCACTGCACTTCCCAACCCAGCTCCAGCTTCCACACATGCTGTCCCTCCTGCCTTGAAAGGTCACATCATTTACAATCATTTTGAGTGAAGTTTGGTGGTATTAAGTACATTTACATTGCTGTGCAAACATCACCACCATCTATTTCCTGAACTCTTTTCAGCTTTCAAAACTAAAACTCTGTGTTTGTTAAACACTAACTCTTCACTCCCTCTTTCTCATTCCCTGGCATCCCTCATTTGACTTTCTGTGTCTATGAATTTGACTTCTTTAGATACTTCCTATATGTGGAATCATACTGTATTTGTCTTTCAGTGACTGTCTTATTTCAGTTTGCATATGAACTTACAGGTTCATTCATGCTGTTGCATGTGTCAGAACTTTCCTCCTATCTAAGGCTGAATAATATTCCATTGTATGTACAAACAATGTTTTGTTAATCCATTAATCTGCCCATGGACATTTGGGTTGCTTCCACCTCTTGGCTATTGTGAATAATGCTGTGATAGAGGTGCACATTTTTAAAGGGAAGGGGGTAAAGTATGTAGTTAGCATGGCACATATGAAGTTGCAAAACAGGGAAATTATGACAGATAAATTGGTGAAATTATTTGGAATCCTGAATTTTACATACAAAGGCACATCTATCAAGCTAAAACTTCAGGGATCCTCATGTGTGGTCCCTTCCTCCCAAGTACCGATGCTCAGTTTGGGTTCAGAATTTTCTATTCTTTCACTTAGGGAAAGTTCCCTGAAAGATATCACTTTCAAGATTGCAAAACCTGGCTTTACCTTTGTGTGCATGTATGTATTACATGTAGGCATTTCTTTTTATGTCTGTGTCCCCTACACGTGCCAGTTTCAGAGGTGATACTTCAAAGAGAGTGGAGGACATGCCAGCTGCAATTCCTATTTTCATTCTCACTTTAAGAGTATTTATGGCTATAATGTCGGAATTCTATGTAAGACATTTTTTAAATGGTGATACAGTTAAGGTGCTAAAAAGGTTTGTGTATTTTTCTTTGTCTGCATATTGAAAGCTTCCCATTTATCATATATAAGAGAGAATTTGGATAATTTTCTTCCTGAAAGCAGAAGGATATATTATCATTATTTCCTACAGGGTATGGCAAGGCACCTTTCTTCCCAGTACCTTTCTTGCAACACTTGATCTCACAATCCTATAATCCCATTATATACTGCACCTTTTCCATGAAACATCATCCTTGAAGTTATAGTTTTTCCTTTTAATAAAATAACTACTACTGCATTTTTATTAACCTCTCACATTTCCCAAGCCACTTTGTGGGAGACAAACATACAAGATAGGCCACACATACGTGTTTGCTTTTCAGAAAAATTACACACTGGTAAGAAGCTTAGAATCAACACAGAATTATGGCTACAAGTAAACACAGTCGAAGATTAAATTAAATGCCTACATCCAAGGGTTAATAGGATCAGACCCAAGTGTCTGAGACCATCAGAATCTACCAATGCAAAGTTAGGATGTATCCTCACTGTATAATATATTTCAAAAACAATTCAGGATCCTGTGTTAGAAATACAAAATTCAAATGCTGGCTCAATAGCTTAAATGAGGAACTTTGATAACATCCCTGGGCTTCTGCATCTGTGTCCTCATTTGCAAAATAAATTTTATTTATTTCTATGGCACTTTTAGTTCTACTGTGATCAATGCTTAAGGCAGAGATTTATCGCTCAGATCAAGTTTCGGGTAAGGGCCTCTTCCTTGACGCTAGACAGCACCCACCGTTGGCCTTCACCTTCTCCTTAGCAGAAAACTGCGAGACCACCTGCACCTTGTTAGTCTGTAGCACCGATGAGATATTTAGTTCAATGTTCCTCACATCTAAGGCCCAACCATTCCCCTTTACTCTTCTCTACTGCAAGAAGAGTCCAAGTAGATGGAAAAGAAATGAGCTGGCCCTTGAAATGGCATCAGTTTTAGGATAAGTACCAAAGATTAAATACATTCAGGCTATATTTTGAAGCACTTCACATGGGCCAAGTGTGGACCAGGTGCTGGGGGAGATGATACAGAGACAAATAAAATCCTGGTCCTTCCAGCTGAGTGCAGGACTCAGATACACAGAGGTGGGTATAAGGACAACACAGGAGAGGGACAGTTAAGGGAGCCTCTGGGAGTTCCGGGTGGGTCATGAGATATCTGATTGAGAGAGAGAGACTAGGAGAAGAGCTAGGTTTGGAGAGGAAATTAGTGTATTTAGTCTCTCTCAGATGTCTCAGGTTTGAGTTTGAGAAAGTATCAATTAATTGAACACAGTGTAATATTATATAATAAAGATTAATTCTTTCAAATTCTGGAGAGAAAAAAAAGCTTTATTGAATAACTCCTTGATTGTGAACTTCACATTTATCCAGTGCTCAACATGTATTAACATGGTCAATACCGGGAGTTTAAATAATTTTGCTCTTAGCCCCGATGTTTAGAGTTTGAACAAATATACCCAACTGCCAACTTTGGCAGAAGCATACAACCAAGGGAATAGCAAGTAGTATGAATTGGATTGCAGCACCCCCCACTACACACACAAAAACTATGTTTTGAAGTCTTAAACCCTAGCACCTCAGAATATGACCTTATTTGCAAATTGGGTCACTGGTAGATGTAGTTAGTTTTAATATGTGGTCATACCGGAGTAGGTTGGGCCCCTTATTCAATATGACTGGTGTCTTTATGAGAAAACACAGGAGGATAATGCCATGTGATGCTGAAGGCAGAGATTGGAGTGATGCAACTTCAAGGCAACAAACGCCAAAGACTGTCAGCAATCACCAGAAGCTAGGAAGAGGGAAAGAAGGATTCTCCCCTGTGGGTTTTCAGAAGGAGCTTGGCACCGCCAACAACTAAAATTTGGACTTCAGTCCTCTAGAACTGTAAGATGATAAATGTCTGCTGTTTAAGCCACCCAGTTTATGTCACTTATGACAGCCCTAGTAAACTAATATAGCAAGTAGGAGTAGAGGATGGAAAATTATCAGCATAAGGAAAACAGTCAAAAAACTAAAGTGAACCCTCTGTTAAATCCTTTATAGGGACGATCCTAATGTCGGAAGTTACCCATGAAGAGAACACATCAGAAAGCTTCATGAAAGAACAACACATAAACCAACCCTGAAGGACACCAAGGGATGGGTAGAGTCTTTTGGGCTTTGGAGACAGCACAAATATAAGGGAATAGGCAAAAATGCACAGGGTCTTTGAGGGGACAGTGTATGCCTATGACTGGAGGATGAAAGGACACTTAGAATGAGAGAGGGGACTGGTCAAATGGGCCACAGGCAAACCAGGGCAGAAAAAAAGGGAATGCTGAAGAGAGTGGAGCTGGAACACAACCTCCCTAGAGTCGAGCTTTGGAAAGGTGAGTTGTTTCTGGGTGAGGAGACTGGATTGGAGAAGAAGCTAATGGGAAAGGCCAGTTAGGAGATGGCCGTAGCAACCTGGAGGAGGTGCAGGAGGGCCTTCCTGGCACAAGTTGGCTGCAGGAGTGGAAGGTTAACTTACAGTTGGCCATAGGAAGGAATTGGTCATTAGTGAGGAGTGAGGAATAGAGAGCAGTTCCGAGTCGATGTCATTAGGAGGTCAGAGACAACTGAAAGCTGGCTTGGGGCAGAAATGAAGTGCTCCTGATATTCTCCTTTTGAGGAGCTAGTGGGCCATTGAGGGAGCAACGCTCAGCTAATGCTCAATGATGGAGTAAAGCTCAGAATTATAGGGAAAGGTTAGATATGCAAATTTCTACCACCCTAGATGTGGCCACTGGAAACATGGGAGAAACTGAGACCACCCAAGGACAGAGGAACCAAAGTTGAGGAATGACCACTTTGGAAAAGAGAATCAAGCCAGTTGCAGTAGTACATGCCTGTAGCCCCAGCTACTCAGGGGGCTGAGGCAGGAAGATCACAAGAGCCCAGGAGCTGGAAACCAGCCTGGAAAACATAGCAAGACCCTGTCTCTAAACAACAATAACAACAAAAGAATCAGAGGAAGCAGCTCTATAGTACAATTTTCCAAGAGGAGGTGGAGTTGCAGTGACCCTGCTCATTTCTCTTTACAAAGTCATGGAAATGGATGAGATCTGAAAAATTCTTGGATGCTAGGTATTTGGTCTTGCAGACAGCTCAATTGTGTTCACAAGCAGAAGCCAAATAAGAGCTCTCTCCATTTTCTCTGTAGGTTTTCTGAACCTATTGAGAACATAAACACCACAAATCGTTTGTCTCAGGAAGACTCTTTTATTAGACTGGACAACCCTAAGAATGGAAAATGCATCTGCCTAGGAGAGACGTCCTTGACAGTGGAACTGGATTTGATTTCTCTAAAGGAAATCCTTTCCAATGACCTCTTTTCCCTTGTATCCCATGCTTGCAAAGTTTTTAACTAACCTCCAGCCTACGGCTAACCCCACATGGGCTTGTGTGCTTCACAAAGTGTTTACTTCTGTTGATTTCAGGATGTGGTGGATCCCTTAAAAAGCAAGCTATTTTTTGATATTTGACCGGTTCAGATGGGATGAGGATTAACCCCAGATGTTCCTGAGGTTGTAAAACATTCAATTAAGTGTTTTAGCTTCACTTTAATGCACTCCTTTTTTTTTTCCTGTAGCTAAGGAGAAAAGCCAGCAAATAAAGTTGGGAGGTTAAGTACTCTCAGTGTTTCCAACCTAAGGCAGAAGCACCATAAATCTCAGAAGGAAAGCTATGCTCAGCATGCAGCCAGCTGCACTGTGCTCACAGGCCACAGGGTTCTCCATAGTTCAGATAAGGTGAAGATTGCTAATCCAAAAGCCTCATCTGACCTGATTTTCAGTTCCAGCTCCTGCGGTGACTGAAATATGGATTACTGGGAAGCAATCGCCTTGGGGGTACGTTGGCTTTACTTTTAAATAGGTATGTGTTTTACGTAGTATTTAAACGTACATTGGTTAAAATGGACCTGGACGGAACATTGAAGATTTAATAAAACCTTAAACAGGTTAATAGCATTCCAAGCACTGCTGTGAACCCTGGAAGCAATCTCTGAGGCATACCTGGGTCAGTGATATTTTTACCTGAGCAAGAATTTTCCCATCAACACTTCACTCTAAGGCTCTCTTACATGGATGACATTAGTTTATCATATCTTTGAAAAGCAGTTTTCTGTTTGTATGACTCTTCTTAGATACATTTGAAAAATGATCCCAGATCAATGTGGACTCTAATGTTGTCCCCAGTGTTCACGACCCGGTTCTCTCACCCTCCTATGGGGCCTTTTCTCCTACAATCTCTGTGAAGGAAGGCACTCTGCCCTGGTCTCTGCTCCTAGACCAGTGTTTTGCACAATGCCTGTGAGATTTCTTAAATACACTGTCATTTCAATATTCTAGAAACTCACTCACTCAATTTTGTCACAGAGGAAAGGTATGTTTCTGGTGCTTTTTTGCTTTGTTTTGCCAAGTAGAAAGTGAAGTCTCTTCCTTGCACACTGAGGAGGGTCCCTGGCACATTCACCGCTTTCGCCCTGCACATTCTCATCACAGGCAACTCTCACAAGAGCCCCAGGGAAGGCCTTCTCATCTCCACAGAACAGTTAAAAAAAAAAAAAAAAAAAAAGACACCAGAAAACCAGATGTAGTGAAAGGCAATGCTAAGAAACCCTGCAGTTTTTCACTGTGTTTGGTGTTTCCTGCTGGCCCATGGCATTGAGGCTGGGTTTGCTCTTGGAAGCTGGACATGCCACCCAGGATCGCTTCTTGTTTCTACAGATGGGAATTAGATAAACGGACCCAGAATGGTCTTCCACTGGAGTGTCCACAACTTAATCTCCTTCTGTTTCAGTCATGAAAGAGTGCCATCCTTGGCCAGCAATGGGAATAACAAGAGGAATTTTGGAATACATGCTAAATCTCAACCATGACTCTCAACAATATGCACACAGAGACAGGATGGGGGTGAAGACGTTCATCCCCTGCCACTCTGTCAAGAGTGGTGCAGCCAAAACCAAATCCACCTCTCTCCAACTCTTTCCCCAGCCAGTCAGGATGCAACTCCATGGGACAACACAGATGGAATTCTCAGGTCAGCCCAAAGCACAGAGTGGTGTCAGTAAGTGACAGCTCTTAGGTTTTATTCCCACAGATCCCTGTTCTTGAGGTATAAGGACCAGAGAAGAGACTGGGAGCACCCATGAATATTTCATTTAACTTTTAGCTGTTTGTAATCAAGCTGCTTCCAAATGATTACCATTTAATTTATAAATGCTCAAAATGCAATATTTTAAATATTTTACTTGGCCACGTCATCTGAGATGCAGGTCAGTATCTGCCCCAAAGGTGACTCAATGCACCATCTTCCATTTTATGCTGTCTGTGACTCTACCTGGCCTCAGCATCTCCAGCCTTCTCTGAGGTTCTAGGAAGAGAGCTGAGCTGACCTCTCCTGTCAGCAAGTGCTCTGGGGCCCTCTGGCTTCAAGTCCAAAGGAACCTGGCACTCTACTCTGCCCCAAGAAGCAGCGGGGTTATTAGAAGACCATGATTATGGCCGTAAAAGTAAAATGGAACTGGCTTTTCCTATTTTATGAAGAAAAGTAACATTTAAGTTAGAAATCATCATAGGGAAACTTCCTGAGTAGTTGGAAGGACTGGAGAAAGACTTTCCAGGAATGACACCAATTTCCTGGCACAGATGAGAAGTCAGCCGTCACCCACAGCCACAGCTGAGCATCCAACATTAGGAACTCGGCTTGACTTGACTGATGCAGCCATTAGCACTGACACCTTCCTAAGCCTTGAATTTGACATTAAACTCCTGAGAAGCCATTACTGCAGCTGCTGCCACTGTAGACAGCCTGCTCCTCTACCCCAGCCAGCACAGACTAGTCTATGTTGCCCACTTCAGAAACAAAACCCAGGCCCTGTATGACTGAGTGTCAGCCAACATCACAGACCTGTGTCCCAGCTGCAAAGGGGGCTGAAAACATGAGTCACGAAGTCCACGTGAAAGGGTCCCATCATCGGTGACATTGTGAAAGGTTAATGGAGAAATATGGATAAGGTACTAAAATATAAAAGGCAGTCAGGAGTACCACACATGACCACAGCAGGCTGTGGAATCCACAGAACTGGGCTGGCTCCCATCCCTGATTCCACACTTGGTGTTTGATAAATGGTAGTGAGTGCAACCCAGTGGGTTCACTTTGCCCACTGCCCAGAGAGAGCCGATTTATCAAGACAGGGGAATTGCAATAGAGAAAGAGTAACTCACAGAGAGCCTGTGGTGCAGGAGACAGGAGTTTTATTATTACTCAAATAGTCTCCTTGAACGTTCGAGGATCAGAGTTTTTAAGGACAGCTTGGTGGGTGGGTGGAAGCCAGTGAGCCTGGAGTGCTGATTGGTCAGGTCAAAGATGAAATCATAGGAAGTCGAAGCCGTCTTCGCGCTTTGAGTCCGTTCCTGGGTGGGGTCCACAAGATCAGATGAGCCAGTTTATCAATCTGGGTGGTGCCAGCTGATCCATCAGGTTCAGGGTCTGCAAAATATCTCAAGCACTGATCTTAGGAGCAGTTTAGGGAGGGTCAGAATCCAGCTGCATGACACCTAAACCATAATTTCTAATCTTGTGGCTAATTTGTTAGTCCTGCAAAGGTAGTCTAGTCCTCAGGCAAGAAGGGGGTTTGTTTCGGGAAAGGGCTGTTCTTGTCTTTGTTTTAAATGATAAACTATAAACTAATTTATTCTCAAAGTTAGTTCAGCCTACGTCCAGGAATGAACAAGGACAGCTTGGAGGTGAGAAGCAAGATGGAGTTGGTTAGGTCAAAGCTCTTTCCACTGTCTCAGTTACACTTTTGCAATGGCAGTTTCACACATATTAGTATTCAGAGTTCAGGGCTCTCTTACAATGCCTTTCCCCAATCTTAGGATTCAGGGCTGCTCTGCAACACATTTTTTCCCTCTTTCAATCTGAAATTTACGGCTCAGCAGAGTAAAAGGGGCTAAGTAGACAGGAAGTCTACTTTACTTTTTAAATTTTCTTTACTTTACTGTCATCCTTGATGCCAAACTATACCCTTGGAGACGTTCCCTTAAACATCTCATTCTTTTCTTGCATCAAGCACAACCACAAAACCCTTTTTTATTATTAAAAATTTCCTATATTCTGACCTCATTCCTTATTTCTATTGTTAGGCAATCCACTTCCACTCAAAAAAAGGCATTAGGCAAATGTGTGACACATTGTGTTTGAATTCTGTGCCTGGTATTATTAGCTACATGACCTTGACCAAGTCACCACTTTCTATTATGTCATCAGCAAAATTGCTGTAAGGTTGCCTGAAGATTTAAATGGGGTAATTCATGTAAAAGTATCTGGTACTTATTAGATTCTCAATAAAGACTGATTTCATTCCTCAATGTATGTAAAAATATCTGGTACAGTATGCAGCATACAACAGGCACTTAAAACATGTGTTTATATTTTCTGTATTTTAAATTAAAAATTCAGAAATATCATATGAAAATATGTCCACTTCACTTGAAGTCTCACTGAAAACAAGAAGCAATGCAGCATCATGTGTTCACATAAACCTGTGGATTTAGTCCTGTCTTAGCTCATTCAGGCTCTATAACAAAAGTACTACAGACTGGGTGGCTTTACCAACAAACATTTATTTCTCACAATTCTGCATACCGAAAAGTTCAAGATCAAGGTGCCAGCAAGTTTGGTATCTGGGGAGGTCCTGCTTTCTGCTTCACAGAGGGCAACTTCTTGCTGTGTCACCACATGGTGGAAGAAGCAAAGAAGATCCCTTGGGCCTATTTTATAAGGGCACTAATCCTGTTCATGAGGATCCACCCTCACAAGCTCATCTATCCCTAATCATCTCACAATGGCTCCACCTCCCATGATGATATGAATTTTGTGGGGACAAAATGTTCAGTCTATAGCAATCCCCATTTGCAGAAAAGAACTGAGGTTCTGAAAATGGAGAGATAGTACCAAATTGGCCATGAAAGAATAAAACAAAACAAAACAAAACAAAACCCCATGGTCTCTCCTGACGTGAGTTGATGAATCACCTAGCAGTCTGGAGATGAACTGTCTGCAAAAGGTCAAGATAAGGTGGGCTGCCACCAGGAGAAGATCGAGGAATGCAAAGCTGCATTCCTTCAGAAACAAAAATAGGCCCGGGCTATAGCAAGATGTGATTCTAAGGACCTGAAGATTAAATTGTAAAATTCCTTCTAGAGAAACTCTCTTCAACAGCTAGGGATAATAATAATATGTTCCTGAAGTCAAAACTGACTTGAAAATCTGTAGGCATTGCAAGGACTGCTCGCTGAAATGACAGACACATACATTTTATTTCTATAGCTCCTGGATCATTATGCAATGTATGGGAACATAGCTCAGAACACTAAGCCACCACCAAGGGGGAAAATCAGCAAATTCAACCATGAGCATCAGTATGACCTCTGTATGTGGGATGGATCAGGACATTGCTCATCAGAAATGAAGCAATAGTATTTCATCGGTTTTGATATTGGTATCAATAAATGTGTAAATTGATTTATCAGGCCTATTACTTTTTGTCAGCTCTTTCTTATTAATCTTGAAATAAATCTTAGTATATAACAATGTTCTAGGCTTCTGGCTATAATGGACCTTGTCCTTTTCCTATGTTATATACAAGAAAAGAGATACCTGATTATCAGAAAAAAATATATATTTTCTGATGATTCACAAAGTCACAAGTTCTGGGAAAGTGAAATAGTTTTGAAGTAAGTAAAAATTTGGTCATGAGTACAGGATTTGGCCAAATGACAAGATAATTTGTGGGTGAAGAAATTCCTGGATCTTGGATTGGAATAGGGTTAGGTTATAACTTAGTGGGCCCTTGTTGTATTTAATATGTGACTCAGAGCCTGTTAATCTTGCTGTGTTGGGTTTCTCTGGGAGAAGTAGCATTTGTGATTCATTGTGGACCTAAGAATCTTCTTATTTTTAATCATATTTGGGAAAGTTTTTTCAATAACCATCTTGATGTTTTATTCCATGGCAACACTGTCTTACTACAGCCACAATGTTGGGACCTTCTTGTCTTATCTTTAAAACAAACAAAAAAATTCTTTACATCTGGTTTAGTCTAACATGAAGTGTTTAAGTTTCCTGGAAGGAATTAGTGAATCTATGAACTCTGCATGACACATAAAACAATAAAACAAACTATGCCCCTTGCACAATAAGATTAATATTGGCAAAATGAACTGATATAAAAAGATTTTTTAAAAACAAAAAATTAAATTTTTTAAAAAATAATTTACAATGAAACTTACAAAAAATTTAGGAATTTTGTTTTAAAATAATTCACAGTGGAACTTGGAAAACTGTATATTTCAAATACCACATATGTAATTCCTGAGATAATATATGTATATTTGTACATATCTTTTTGAAATGAGCAAAATCAATTTGAATTTAGTAATTTAAGATTATTGGACACCAAAGTGGCCTTGTTTTG
Source organism: Homo sapiens (assembly GCF_000001405.40). NCBI lineage: Eukaryota > Metazoa > Chordata > Mammalia > Primates > Hominidae > Homo > Homo sapiens. The sequence continues at coordinate 46,385,559 of NC_000007.14, read as the reverse complement.
ATGGACTTTATTTTTGGGTGTAATGTAAAACTCATAGCAAAATTGAGTGAAAAATATAGAGATTTTTCCATAAACCTCCTAGCCCACACCCCCTACCCCCACAGACTCTCCACTATCAACATCTCCCATCAGAGTGGAACATTTGTTAGACTTGATGAATCTACAATGACCCAACATTATTAACCAAAGATCACTCCTGATGTACATTCTGTGGGTTTGGACAAATGTATAATGACATGTATGCACCATTACAGCATCATACAGAAGACTTTCACTGCTTTAATAATCTTCTGTGTTCTGCCTATCTGAACTAGCTTTTATTTATTTATTTTGTTATTACCATATGTGTATTTATTATAAAATTCCAATAATATGGAACTAGCAAAAGTAGAAAGTCAAAGGTCCCTAAAGTCTCTCATGTTCCCATCACCCCAGCAAAGACAATCTCAACTGAAATTGAACCATAATTTCTCCAGCTTCATAATCTTTGGCCTTAAAAACTTTTTGTGTGTACTGTACAAAAATACCTAACTATGGGATGTCACGAATATATTCTTCTGCATTTTATTCTATGAGCTTTTCCATTTCTCCCTTCTTTTTCAGAGGAAAATAGAGATCAGGACCTATGTATCTCCATAGAGAGATTAAATTGCTCTAGTGCCATTTGTTAAAAAAGATTTTGCCTTTTTTGTACGTTGATCAAAATTAAATAGACTGTTCTGATTTCACCTCAGGCTTTTAAAGTATTCAAAAGTTGACATTCCCTTCTTCACAACAAAAAAAAATTTAAAAAATAAAAATGAACAATTTGACTTTGACCCATTAGAGAGTGAAGTCACAGGACAAACCACCATCTAGAAACCTGAGAAGATAAGTGCCTGTAAAATATACAATGTTTGAAAAATAAATTTTATATGTGAAGAAAAATAAAACAGATGCCCTACTTTTTTTAATTTTTTTTTTTTTTGAGACAGAGTTTTGCTCTTGTTGCCCAGGCTGGAGCGCAATGGCAGGATATCGGCTCACCGCAACCTCTGCCTCCTGAGTTCAAGCTGATTCTCCTGCCTCAGCCTCCCGAGTAACTGGGATTACAGGCATGCGCCACCACACCCAGCTAATTTTGTATTTTTAGTAGAGATGGGGTTTCTCCATGTTGGTCAGGGTTGTCTCAAACTCCTGACCGCGGGTGATCCACCTGCCTCAGCCTCCGAAAGTGCTGGGATTACAGGCGTGAGCCACTGCATCCAGCCCAGATTCCCTACTTTACACCACATTCCCAAGTGGATTCCAGCATATTAGAGGTTTGGATATAAAATATAACAGAGTAAAGTTAATAGAAGAAGTTAATAGAATAAATTATAGGATTATATTTTTGACTCCCAAAAGAAAATCCATTAAGTAAAATATTTATTAATTTTATTAAATGAAAATTAAATTCCTATTTAAAATTAAGGATGTAGACTTCCATTTTCAACTCTGACATGTAACAGATGGGAAGTCATCACTTCTGTCCTTAACAACAAGAAAAAAGCTGGACAATGTAAAAATCAGTGACCTTTTTTGGACCCATCAGATAACTGAGATCACAGAGCAAACAACCACCTCAACACACGGAACAGTGAATGCATCTAAAGAGATAAAGCAGATGAGATCTGTTTATCTAAAGAGAAAGCCGTGGTACCCCATAATCCTGTAGGAACATGAAACTAGAGGCTGAGTGTGGGCTGCATGAGGGTGAGAAGTTCCTGAGTCATTAGTCATATGTGGGTCACACTTTCTTAAGCTTTTTTCCATATGACCCACCACCTACTACACTCTCATGAGAGGACTCCCCAACTCCTCTCTCTCTCCTCTCCACTTTCTTTTTTCCTTCCCTATCCTGGCCTCACCTCTCTTTGGCCCTGGCAGTAAAGGGGAAAAGTGGTCATCATGAAATCTTCTCTAACCTTTCTTCCTTCCAATACAGAAGGCTTAATTCCAGTGATTCCACATGACAAGAGTGAAATTCAGTCCCAACTAGTGGGGGAGAACTCTACCCTGTTTCAGTACTGCTCAAAATGCCCTTCCTCTGTCACCTCAGGCAAGGAAATAAACACACACAAAAAAACATAATTTATAGGGGGAGGGCTCCAAAGGCACAGATTTCAAAGGTTGTTAGCTACATGGGAGGAATGAATTAGATTACAGGGAAAGTTTTAACCCCGAATGAGGGAACTTTGAAGGCCTACACCTCAAGATAGCCCATTATGAACCCCAAAGGATGTAAATTAATCAAAAGATTAGAGATTTCTTCTCTTCAAACACACATAACCTAGAAATATGTTAGGAAACTTTTAGTAAAAATAACAGTAGACTACAGCAAGAAGTGCAAGAAAGTCACTCTCTCTGAGGACTAGAACAAATGGAAGCCACAAAACCAAGAGAAGAGAAAAAACAGGGACAATAGAGAAATTGCATGCCTCTACTGCCTGTAGGAATAAGAAACATCAAACAGCCCAACTCTTAAAGGCTTATTTAATCTCAGTATTTATTACCCCACACAACAAAAAATTTACAAGCCATGCTAAAAAGGCAAGAAAAACACAGTCTAAAGAGACAAAACAATTATCAGAACCAAACACCAGTATGGCATAGATGTTGGAATAATCAAACAAACATGGAATGTGACATGACAATGATTAATAATAATATGTTAAAGAGGTTAAAGGAAAAATATAGATAACACACAGGATGAGATAGATAACGCTAGCAGAGACAGAAACTCAAAGGAGTCAAAAGAAAATGCTAAATATTAAAAACACAGTAACATAATAAAGAACAAATTTGATGGGCTGGATTATCAGTAGATCCAACTGTGACAAGGAAATAATAACTAAAAATTAAGGTTGGTCAATAGAAATTATCTAAACTTAAGCCCAAAGAAAAATAAGAAAGAAAAACAACATCCAAACACCATGCTAAAATATTAAGTGATTTTAATATTCATATAATTGAAATACTAGGAGGATATAAAAGCAAGACAGAACACATATTTGAAAAAAATGGCCAAATTTTTTTCCAAATTGATGACAGACACCAAATTACACATCCCAAAAGCTTACTAAGCAAGATACACACACACACACAATCAGACATATATTTGAAATTCAGAAGAGTTAATTGACCACATATTTTATATATTGTTGGACTTTTTGTTATGTTCCATTGTCTATTTGTCTATTATGTCAATACCAAATAGTAATTATTATTTTACCATTACAATAAATATTGTATAATCCCTTCAACTTTTTCTTTTGCAAGATGGTTTTGTCTGTTCTACATTATTTAACTGTTATCTATATACTCTAGAATCAGCTAGCTTGCCAAATTCTGCAAAAAAAAAAGGCTGCTAGAGTTTTGATTATGTTTATGTTCAATCTACAGATTGATTTGAGAATAGATATCCTAACAATAGAGTTTTACAATCCATGAACATGGTATATCCATCTATATATGTCTTAATTTCTCTCAAAAATGTTTTATGTAGAGAGAACTGGCACACGCTCTGTTAGGCTTTTTTTTCTATGTAGTTTGTGCTTCAAATGCAGAAGAGCTAAACTAACATTTAAAATAGTAACTTTTACTATTAATATTACTCTTTAAATACATTAAATTCTTGTTTTTCCTTTTATCTATATTTTTCTGATTATGCAAGTGACCATATACAGGCATACCTCCAAGATAATTCAAGTTCAGTTTGAAACCACAGCCATAAAGTGAACATTCAAATACTGTGAATCTGATATATTTTTTTCATTTCTCAGTGCATATAAAAGTTATATGTACAGAGACTGTAGTCTATCAAGTATTCAATAACATAATATTTAAAAATCAAAACTATAATTAAAATATACTTTATTACTAAAAATGTTAACAATTATCTGAGCCTTCAGTGAATTGTAATATTTTTTCTGGTGGAGAGTCTTGCCACAACATTGATGACTGCTGACTGATCAGGGTGGTGGTTGCTAAAGGTTGGAGAGGTTGTGGCAATTTCTTAAAATAAGACAACAATAAAGTTTGTCACTTTCATGGACTCTTCCTTTTACAAAAGATTTCTCTGTGGCATGCTATATTGTTTGATAGCATTTTACCCACAGTAGAATTTATTTCAAAATTTGGGTCAATACTCTTAAACTCTGCCACTACTTTATCAACTAAGTTTATGTAATATTCTAAATCCTTTGTTGTCATTTCAATGATGTTTACAGCATCTTTACCAGGAGTAGAATCCACATCAAGAAACCACTTCATTGGCTCATCCATGAGAAGCAACTCCTCAACCATTCAATTTTATCATGAAATTGCAGCAATTTAGTCACATCTTTGGGTCCCACTGAATAACATCATATCTGCTTATGGCATGGTTTACAGAATATTTTATATTTTATAATTTTTATAATTTTATAATTCTAGTTATCTGGTTATTTCCTTTACATCTGTAGTGGCTTTCTCAACTGAAGTCTAGAAGCTCCTAAAAATGTTCATGAGGGTTAGAATCAACCTTTTCTGAACTCCTGTTAATATTAATATGGTTTAACTCCTCCCATTAATCAAAAATGTTCTTAACGGCATCTAGAATGGTAAATCTTTTCCAGGAGGTTTTCAATTTACTTGGCCCATATCCATCAGAGGGATCACTATCCATGGCAGATACAGCCTTACAAAATTTATTTCTTAAATACTAAGACTTGAAAGTCAAAACTATTCTTTGATTCATGGTCTGCAGAGGATGCTGTATTAGCGGGCATGAAAACAACATTCATCTCCTTATACATCTCCATCAGAGCTCTTGGAAGACAAGGTTCATTGTCAGTGAGCAGTAATATTTTGAAAGGAATCTTTTTTTTTTTTTCTGAGCAGGAAGCCTTAACAGTGGGCTTACAATATTCAGTAAAACATGCCATAAGCAGATATGCTGTTATTCACTCTTTGTTCTTCCATTTATAGAGCATAGACAGAGTAAATTTAGCATAATTCTTAAGCTTAGATTTTCCGAATGAGCATTCAACATAATGCTCAACTTGGCTTCAACTTAAAGTCACTAGCTGTTATCAATCAGTCCCTAATAAAAGAGTCAGTGGTCCTTTGAAGCTTTTGAAGCTTTTTTTTTTTTTTTTTTTAGACAGAGTATTGCTCTTGTTACCCAGGCTGGAGTGCAATGGTGCGATCTTGGCTCACCACGACTTCCGCCTCCCGGTCAAGCGATTCTCCTGCCTCAGCCTCCTAAGTAGCTAGGATTACAGGCATGTGCCACCACGCCCAGCTAATTTTGTATTTTTAGTAAAGATGGGGTTTCTCCATGTTGGTCAGGCTGGTCTTTGAAGCTTTGAATCCAATCGTTGACTTCTTCTCTCTAGCTATGAGAAACCTGGATGGTATCTTCTTCTAATAGAAGGCTCTTTGTCTACACTGAAAATCTGCTTTTTTAATGTGGCCGCCTTCATCAATGACCTTAGCTAGATATTCTTGATATCTTGCTGCAGCTGCTACACCAGCATTTGCTGCTTCACCTTGTATCATTATGTCATGGAGACAGCTTCTTTCCTGAAAACCTCATGAACCAACCTCTGCTAGCTCCCAACTTTTCTTCTGCAACTTCCTCACCTCTCTCAGCCTTCATAGAATTGAAGAGAGTTAGAGCCTTGCTTTGGATTAGGCATTGGCTTGAGGGAATGTTGTGGCTGGTTTGATCTATTCAGATTACTTAAACTTTCTCCATATCAGCAATAAGGCTGTTTCACTTTTCTATCATTCATGCATTGTCTTGAGTTTACTTTTAGTTCACTTCAATAACTTTTCCTTTGCACTTAGGATTTGGCTCACTGTTAGGAACAAGAGGCTTAGCTTTTGCCCTGTCTCAACTTTCAACATGCCTTCCTCACTAAGTTTAATCATTTCTAGCTTTTGATTTAAAGTGAGAGACATGCAACTCCTCCTGTCACTGAAACACTTCAAGGCCATTAGAAGGTTATTAGTTGGCTGAATCTCCATATTGTTTTCTGTCAGGGAAGAGGGAAGCCCATGGAGAGAGATAGAGATGGGGAATGGCCACTGGGTAGAGCAACTCAAACACACACAACAGTTATCAATTAAGGTGGCTATCTTATGTGGGCATGGCTTGTGGTACCCCAAAACAATTACAATTATAACATTAGAGATCACTGATCACAAACCACCATAACAGATATAATAATGAAAAAGCCTGAAATAGTATGAGAATTACTAAAATGTGGCTCAGAGACACAAAGTGAACACATGCTGTTGTTAAAATGGCACTGATAGACTTGTTTGATGCAGGTTTGGCCCAAACCTTCAATTTGTGAAAAATGCAACATTTGCTAAGTGCAATAAAACAAGGGGTATCTGCACAGCTCTGTCTCTCTGTTTTGAAAGATCACAAAATATTACTCCATATGAATGTGTTACAATATATTTAATAGTCTAAGGAGCTGGTTGTGGACTTTTTGTGGAAAAAGTAAAGGAGAAATTGCTGTGGCTTTAGTGCAAGCGTTACAGCATGTGGCCACTGTCCTCCGACAGTGTGAAAAGGATTTGTGGAGACACAGTGATTTTGTGATCTTTCATATGGAGATAATCCATAGGAATGGTGCTTGGGGCAAACTATTCAGTTGCTGGCACACCTGGGTTCACAATTCATTGCTAGCACTTGCTGACTTGCTGATACTTGAAAAAAAATCTCTTTTCAACTCAGTTTCTTATTCAGAAAACATATCATTAGGTTTTCCCTAGAGTGAGATGAAATTATGGGTTCATAAACTGTACTCTCTAAGACATGAATGAAATGCAAAAGTACAAGGTTGTCATTGTTTTAGTTGTTGTGTTTTTGTTCTGAGGGGTTGTTATGTGATCTCAGCTTACTCAGAATCTACAGTTTATCACTTGATACGTGAAAAAGAGCTTTAAATCCAACTCATTCTTCACACTGATGCCTGTGTGATTTGCATATATGTATTTGTATGTCTGTGTATATATGTGTATATATATATGTGTGTGTGTGTGTATAAAATCACATATATAGAAAAACATATATATATATATATATATGTCTTTCTTGCATGAGACCTTTCAGTGCTTTCATGATTAATAGCAAAAAAAGGCCCCAAATATCCCTAAGCACTATGTACACAGGAGGCATTAGAAACACCAAAGGCAGGGTTGGCTACATAAATTGCAGGGCCCTGTGCAAAATGAAAATATGGGGCCTCTTATTTAAGAAGTAGGAAAAGAATGTCATTGAGGCTATCAAAATATAAAGCTTTTTTCTTTCTTTACAGACTGTCTTTTGATCTCATATTTAGTTAATGTCCTTCTAAGTGAAGAATAAATAAATTTTTAAATTATTAGCATGAATATTATCATATTGTGGAACTATTTTAAATGCTAATGTAAGAGCCTTTAACTGATACATAGAATCACTGAAATGACACAATTCCTATTTCATAGCTCATAATGCCTATGTATTTTATTCACATCAGAACAGTAGAAATACTACACAAAAATAAGTAAACTATTTTTTTCACATCTTGATACATGCACATTCTACCAACACTCTTTACTTTTGGATAATTGATGAGTAAGAAAGGACTGAAAGAAAAGGAACTATTAATATTAGTGGCCCTATCTTTTCCTTTCTTTCTATGTTACCATTTTAAGTGAAAAGGGCCAGCTAGAGGTAACACAGTGAGTAAGAGATCATTAGGTCCCTTAGTTATTCTTGTGTCTTAGAATTTGATTGCTTTCTTTCCACATCTGGTGCAAGTTTTGGTTCATTTGAAAAGTGTAGTCTCTGGAGGCTGCAATACTCTCACTTAGTCCTAGATATAATGCACTTTCTTTCCACTCCTCTCGAACCTCCTGGGCTACCACTCATAGAGGGGCTGCTGTAATTCTGTGCTCATGAGTCATTGCAGAAATACTGTAAATGGCAGAGTAAGGACTGGCGGTAACCGTGAATACTGCTTGTGTCTCCCCTGCCCTCAGCATGCTCCATTGTTCCACTGGCATCACTGAAAAAACACAAGTGCAAACGTAAAATTAAAGGCAGCCCTTGCTTCGTATAGTTCTAATGTGCAGGCCTATCAATTACCACCATTTAATTACACCAGCCCCGCAAAACACAGTTCAAGTTTCAGCTACCCTGGTATATTAACTACGAATGATTCCAGTCCACAAATCACTGTATAAATAACAGATGTGCATCGTGATCATTGACCAATCACATTGCTTCTTCCAAAGTCAGTCAGTGATTGGCCCCTGCACCTCTGCTTTCACATACAAATGGCAAAGTGTGCCGTTATATTGGCTCTTTATCTCCCCACGATGAACACGTGTGATATTTGAAAAAGTTGGCTCATGAAAAGAGGGAATTAGCCCACAACGATGCAAATGCAGCAAAGAAATCAAAAGTGGTAGTGCTGGAAGTGAAATTTGAATTGAAAGAAAATTGAGTTGCAGAACACATAGCTGTCCTTGGGAAGGTTGATCCTGCCACTGTTCAGGAGCAAATTTGTTAACAGACGTGAAGAAAGTGGTTATGATGACAAGGAGGGAGATGTAATAGAGGAAGTGATGCTGCCATAAAGAAATTGACATTTAAGAATCTCTCAGAGATATTGAGCAACACTAAAAATATAAAAGTATTGTTCAATCTACTCTTGATGCGTTTTTTATAAGGAGAGAAACTTTTCAATTCTCAATGTTTTTAACATTTTAAATTACAGTGCACTAAGTAAGTATTATTTTTACTATTTATTTTCTGCTTACTACACATTTGTAACTGATGGGAAGGGAGTTTTTAGCATTTTGACAAAAAATGTAAAAAGTAACAGAACAATCATCATTTCCCCAAAGATAGACGAAGATCATTACACAATTTCCACCTGCACAGTCATCTTTCAGGTCCTGTATTACTGTAAAACATGAGGATTGTGTGTATGAAGGATTTCAAAACGGCAACAGCAGAACATTGCACCACAAGCAAGAAGACCCTTATGAGTGTAAGACCCGTGCAACTGCTTCACCAAAGGCCTACCTTTGATCTTTCTGTGTACGGTACTTGAATTTTCTTTTGTTAGTATGTAAAAAAGGCCCTCCATGAATCTGGGCCTACTCTGGCACTGCATTTCCCACTGCTCCCTTCCGTGCACTGTGGGTCAGCCCACAGTGCAGCATAGCTTGCCTCTGGTCTTCAATGCTGCATGCATCAGTACACACCTTGCAAGACCGGTACAAGGCAGACCAAGATAAGCTATGTTAACACTCTAAACTATGCACAGTCCTCTGGCAATCAGAGCACTGTGGTATGATTATGGCCTTATTAAAGTAATGAACTCCTCCATCTTCCCCATTCTACCTCACCTTTCCCACCCTTTAAACAACCCCTCAACCTCCAAAACCAAACATAAGGCTTTTCTCTTCCTAGAAATTTGCTCTGACTTCCTCCAGGTGAAGTGACCACTCCTTCTTTTGTACCATTATGTACCTGCACTGCACATAGTAGGGCCTAACCTCATACAACTGTAGCCTGCAGATGAGCAGAAAACAGACATCTACTCATTATGATGAAAAGCCAATTTGGATGCAGAACACCAAAATTTACTGAGCTTTCTGCTCAACTTCTGCCAGGCACCACAGTGAGCCACTTCACTGTCGGTTTTGCATGTATGCTTAAAATCACGCAAAGTAGATGCTATTAGCATTCTTATTTTTGACACGAGGAAAACAAAACCCAGATGGTTACATAACTTCCTGGTGGGGGTCGGGGTGGTCATATGGGTAGCACTTTAGCTGGTTATAGGAAAGGGAAGAAGTAAAAAAGATTTCCAGGGTAAACTTATGGGAAAGATACGTTTTATTACCTAGATTTAAGAGTTTTCCAGGCCCAAATTCCTGCAACCAGTGTTTTTCAGACTGGAGGTTTAAAACTTCTATTTAGAAAATCAAAAAATAAGATCACTTTAAATACATCTTATACAGAGACTAAAAGACAGCAGACCTTCTGAGTTTGAGGCAGAGCTCTGGAGTGCTCTTTAGGCTGCATGTATCCTCACTACCCACTGCCCGTAGCCCCTCCCCAATGTAAAACACACACACACACACACACACACACACACAATATTTTTGGCCTTGATTGCTAAAGAGAAAATTTTTGAAAATCTAATTTTTGCAGTCCTAGGATAGAATGTGGACAATCATTGCACATTTACCTATATTGTGGAGAATATCCAAAAAGTACCTTGAAGGAAAATCATGTCCGTTTTTCTCAGCAACTGTGACGTTGAACCATCTGCCACTATACTTATTCAGTTGAGATTAAATATATTAAAGATTTTTGAAGGAATACCTAAGAAAGATCTATATATCTTTGAAGTACTACTTAAATTCAGACCATCAGAAAATTTTGTGTTGGGAATGTGGCTTTTCACCTTCCATACAATTGCATTTCCTGAGCTGCATTTAGGCCTAAAATAATTGTTAGAATCTGAGAAATAATACAAGAAACAGCCCTATGAAAATCAATAATTTTATTAATGTTGTTGAAGATTCATTTGATTGTTTAACATGTACTGAGTTCCCGGCTGGGTGCGGTGGCTCACCCCTGTAATCCCAGGACTTTGGAAGCCAAAGTGGGCAGATCACCTGAGATTAGGGGTTTGAGACCAGCCTGGCCAACATGGCGAAAACCTGTCTCTAATAACCTGTCTCTACTAAAAAAAAAAAGAAAAAAAAATACAAAAATTAGCTAGGCATGGTGGCATGTGTCTGTAATCCCAGCTACATGGGAGGCTAAGGCAGGAGAATCGCTTTAACCCAGGAGACAGAGGTTGCAGTGAGCCAAGATCGCACCACTGCACTCCAGCCTGGGTGACAGAACAAGACTTCATCTCAAAAAAGAAAAAAACAAAAACAAAAACAAACAAATAAATAAAAACATGTATTGAGTTCCCACTATGTACTCAGCACTCTGCTAGGGTGTAGATAGAAAAAGAGAAAATGGTAGACACACTTGTCCCTCACAGATCTTATGTTTTGCAGATAGATTATTAACAGTTACATAAATAATTACTTGACTTTGGTGGTGTTAATTGCCTGACAATCACAACAGTGGCTCTAATAGTGACAGTCTGTCTTGGTGAGCAGAGTAAAGGCTTCTATAAGGAAGTGGCATATAAGCCAAGTGCTGAAAGATGGATAAGAAATAGCTGGATTTAAGGATCATGGGACTTATACGGGAATGTTTTTTTATGAGGATTTGATGATCTTTTTGAGAAATCTGTGGGAGAGAGTTCATTCCCCAAGGTTAGGAATGGTGGATCTTTGTTCCAGTAGCTAATTTGTTTGGATGGTATGGAAACACAGTAGTGAATGATTTCTTACTGGAAGTTGGCTTTTAATTTTTGTATCAGTAAATTAGCACAGAGACTTCCTACAGAAGTAAATAAATAAATAAACTAGATTTCATAAATTTAAAAGTTGTGTACATGAAAGGACACTATCACCCAGGACACGATGGCTTCACTACTGAATTTTATCAAACATTTAAAGAAGATATAATACTAATCCTACCCAAACTTTTCCAAAAATTAGAGGGGAGGGAATACTTGCCAACTTTTTCTATAAGGCCAGTATTATCTTGATACCTAAATCAGATAGAGTCACATAAAAAAAAGAGAAAACTACAGGCCAATATCTTTGATGAACATTGATGCAAAAATCCTAGTAAAATACTAGCAAACTAAATTCAGCAACACATTAAAAAGATCATTCATTATGACCGAGCAGGATTTATGCAAGGGTGGCAAGGATGGTTCAACATATGCAAGTCAATCAATCTGATACATCATATCAACAGAATGAAGGACAAAATAAATGATCATTTTAATTGATGCTGAAGAAATTTGATAAAATTCAACATCCCTTCACGATTAAAAAAAAAAACTCTCAGAAACTGAGTATAGAAGGAACATACCTCAACACAATAAAAGCCATATACAACTACTATCATACTAAATGGAGAAGAACTAAAAGCCTTTCCTCTAAGATCTGGAACAAGACAAGGATGCCTAGTGTCACCACTCTTATTCAACATAGTACTGGAAGTCCTACCCAGAGCAATCAGAAAAGAGAAAGAAATAAAGGGCATCTAAATTGGAAAAGAGGAAGTCAAAGTATCTTTGCTTGCAAATGATATGATCTTATATTTAGAAAAACCTAAAGACTGCACAAAAACTATTAAAAATGATAAATTCTTTAAAGATGCAGGATACAAAATCAACATGCAAATATCAGTAGCATTTCTATATGTGAACAATCTGAAAAAGAAATCATAAAGTAATCCCATTTACAATAGCTATGAATAAAATAAAATACTTAGGAATTAACTGAAGAAGTGAAAGATCTCTATGATGAAAACTATAAAACATTGACGCCAGAAATTCAAAATAATACACAGGAAATGGAAAGATATTCCATGTTCGTGAATTGGAAGAATCAATATTTTTTAAATATTCATACTACCCAAAACAATCTACAGATTCAATGTAATCCCTATCAAAATACCAATGGCATTCTTCACAAAAATAGAAAAAATAATCCTAAAATTTATATTGAAGTACAAAAGATCCAAAATAGCCAAAACTACCCTGAGCAAAAAGAACAAAACTGGAGGACTCATATTACCTGACTTCAAATTATACTAGAGCTATAGTGACCAAAACAGCATGGTACTGGCATAAAAATCGACACATAGACCAATGAAACAGACTACAGAACCCAGAAATAAATCTATACATTTACAGTAAACTCATTTTTTTTATAAAGGTGCCAAGAACATACATTAGGGAAAGGTCAGTCTCTTCAACTAATGGTGCTTGGAAAGCTGGATATTCATATGCAGAAGAATTAAACTAGATCCCTATCTCTCACACGTACAAAAAAATTAAATCAAAATGAATAAAAGACTTAAATCAGGGGTGTGTAATCTTTTGGCTTCCCTGGGCCATAATGGAAGAAAAAGAAAGGTTTGGGGCCACACATAAAATACACTAACGCTAACAATAACTAATGAAGTAAAAATAAATAAATAAATAAATCTCATAATGTTTTAGGAAAGTTTACAAATTTGTGTTGGGCCTCATTCAATGCTGTCCTGCACTGCGTGTGGCCCATGGGCCATGGGTTGGACAAGCTTGACTTAAATATAAGACCCAAAATTATAAAACTACTACAAGAAAACACTGGAGAAGCTCTCGAAGACATTGGTCTGAGAGAAGTTTTTTTGAGTAATACCCTACCAGCACAGGCAACCAAAGCAAAAATGGACAAATGGGATCATATCAAGTTTATAAACTTCTGCACAGCAAAAGGAACAATCAACAAAGGGAAGAGACAACCCACAGAATGGGAGAAAATATTTGCAAACTATCCACCTGACAAGGGATTAATAACCAGAATAAATAAGGAGCACAAACAACTCAATAAGAAAAAATCTAATAATTTGATTTTAAAATAAGCAAAAGCTCTGAATAGACATGTCTCAAAAGAAGACAAACAAATAGCAAACAGGCATATGAAAAAGTGTTCAGCATCATTGATTATCAGATAAATGCAAATCAAAGCTACAATGAGGTCTCATCTCACCCCAGTTAAAATGGCCTTTACCCAAAATGCAGGCAGTAACAAATGCTGGCAAGGATGTGAAGAAAAGAGAACACTCGTATACTGTTAGCGGGAGTGTAAATTAGTACAACCACTATGGAGAACAATTTAGGGGTTCCTCAAAACATTAAAAATAGAGCTACCATATAATCCAGCAATCTCACTGCTGGGTATATACTCAAAAGAAAAGAAATCAGTATTATTGAAGAGATATTTGCACTCCCATGTTTATTGCAGCACTATTTAGCCAAAATTTGGAAGCAACCAAGTGTCCATCAACAGGTGAATGGATAAGGAAAACGTGGTACATATACACAATGGAGTACTATTCAGACATAAAAAAAGAATGAGACCCTATCATTTGCAACGACATGGATGGAACTGGAGGTCATTATGTTACGTGAAATAAGCCAGTCACAGGAATACAAACTTAGCTTGCACTTACTTATTTCTAGGAGCCAAATAAATTAAAACAATTGAACTCATGGAGAAGGAGAGTAGAAGAATGGTTACCAGAGGCTGGGAAAGATAGTGGGTGGGTAGGGGGAAAGCAGAGATTGTTAATGGGTACAAAAATATAGTTATATAGAATGAATAAGATCTAGTATTTGATAGCACAACAGGGTAACTACAGTTAACAACAATTTATTGTACATTTTAAAAAACTAACAGAGTATAAGTGGATTGTTTGTAACATGAAGAAGGGATAAATCCTTGAGGTGATGTCTACCCCATTAAACCTGATGTAATTATTACTGATTGTATGCTTGTATCAAATATCTCATGTACCCCATAAATATATACACCTACCATGTACCCATAAAAGATAAATTTAAAAATATATAAATAAATAAATGAATAAAATAAAACTGAAAGAGTCCCAGAAGATCAGAAATGTAATTCCCCTCTTCACACACACACAAAAGGACATTATCAAGAAAATGAAAATAATCTATAGGCTAAGAAAGAATATTTGCAATTCACGTATGTGATAATGAGCCTGTATCCAGAATAAATAAAGAATTCTTACAACTCAACAAGAAGATAAACAGCCCAACTGAAAAAACGGACAGAGGATTTAAATAGACATTTATTTTATTTATCCAAACAAAATAAACAAATGGCCAATAAGCATATGAAAAGATACTCAATATCATAGTCATTAGGGAAATGCAAATCAAAACATAATGAGATATCACTTTACACCCACTAGGATAGCTATAATCAAAAAGACAAATATGAGTGTTGGCGAGGATGGAGAGAAATTGGAACACTCATATAGTGCTAGTGGGAATGTAATACAATGCAGCCAATTTGGAAAACAATTTGGCAGTTTCTCAAAAAGTTAAACATCGAGTTTCCGTATGACTCAGCAATTCCACTCCTAGAATTCCACTCAAGAGAATTAAAAACATATGTTCACAAAATAACTTGGACATGAATACTTATAACAGCATTATTCATAATCCTCAAAAAGTGAAAACAACCCAAATGTCCATTAACTGATAAATGGATAAACAAAGTATACTGTATTCATACAATAGAATATTATTAAACCATCAAAAGAAATAAAGTGCTGATGCATGCTACATTTCCACAAAAGTGCATACACTGCCTTTTGATTCACAGGCTCAGGCTTTGTCTAGAGATCTGCAGAATAAAACACCTCAAGAGGGCTCTCTATTTAGGGGATCCAGGTCCACAGACAGGTGAGGCCGTTTTTGGTCTGCTTCCCAGTCTTCAAAGGATTGATGCTCTGAAAAGTCTGACTCATGAGTATGATATTTCAGTTTTAATAGTGAGCCTTAACCGTCAATTCATTTTGCTTGCTGGATATTTCTTTAGGTAAGTTTACCAGACTAAGGCACTTTATTCCCCAGGCAAAAAGCTCTTTCTGGAGGAAGTGCTTAAAATCAACAGAATTACTTAAGAGAAGGCCACTAGTGAATACAACATGATTAAAGTAAGTTTTAGAGCAACACTCCACTACGGATTTTATTCCACAGAGTTATCTTCACTAGGAGAAATTTGATGTGCCAAACCATGTGCAGCTTTTCAAATTTTAGTACTCTAAAATTAATCATGAATTACAAGCGGGTTTAGAGAAATGGCAAATCCATTAGCATCAGGCAGAATTTAGTTTGAATGTAGTCTCTACTGTTCTGAAGCTCTATAATTTTAATTGAGCCAAGTAAACTCTGTAAGCCTAGCTCATTTTCTAAATGAGCTATTCCTGACTACTTCATTGTGTTATCATTTTATAGTGAGGAATAAATGAATTTTATACCAATAAAGTTTTTAGTATTTACTATGCCTGGTGCATAGTAAATGCTCAATAAGTGATCATAGTATTTACTATGCCTGGTGCATAGTAAATGCTCAATAAGTGATCATTTATTATTATTATCCTTTAGTTCTTCAATAGTTGGCTATAACCAACATTTATGGACCCAAGTTTTCATTCAAAATTCATTTACAGTATGAGGAACTGTGCTGAGAGTTCTAAGATGGGTTTGGGTAACAAGACAAACAGCTTCAAATATACAAACCTTCTGATAGAGCGAGGAAAAAAAATTAGTCTTCACAGTTCAATGGTAAATATAATACCACATTTCAGTAGTTCTGAAACATTAGTGTGCGTGAGAATCACCTGCAGAATGTCTTGACACAGTTTGTTTCTGATTCAGGAGGTCTGGGTTGAGGTAGGAGAATTGTGCTTCTAACAATTCCCAGATGCACATGTGGCTGGTTGGAAAGCCACATTAGGAGAACCACAATTATAAAGGAGGGACAGGAATTGCCAAGAATGACTTGGCAATATTTTTGGTATTGGAAGAAGTGTGCATGGAACTCCACAGAGATAGTGCTAAATCAGAAGATCTGGAAGAAAATCACTGTGGTATAGAAATAATTGGAGCAGAGCAGAGATAAGAGATAGGAACAGGCACAAAGGGGCCAAGGGTTTGGGCTCTCTCACACATTGTTGGACATTTAAGCTTAACGGGGAGACTTTTAAGATAGTTAAGCAGCTGCATGATGGGATACATTTGCCTGGTAGAAACGTGGCTGTAGGGCATCCCTTCACTACCACACTAGGCAGTTTGCTGTTTCTCAAAACCTCGTTCCACCTGCTTTCCTGAGCTCATGCTGTTTCTTCAGACTGAAATATGCTTCCCTCATATCTCCACATGCTCATACCCAAAAGGTATTCCTTGGATTACAGCTGATTGTCTTCTTATTTTCCAGCAATATGATGTCATATTACTTTCCTTAAAATAACAGTGTCTTTATTATGGCTTTCAGGGAGGAGAAGTCTTACATGTCCATTAACCAGGCTGTAGTGCAGCCAGCTGTCACTGAATCCTGATAACTGAAGTCTGCAGTTTTTGCCATTTTTTCTTTCTATTAATATGCTTGTCTTCTTTGAGTTTGAAATGTAAATATGAATATAAAAACAAACATGTAGTTTGTAGACACCAATCCACTATGATTCAAATGTATTTTATTATAAAGATCACAAAAATCTTTTCTTTTAAATTTATATATGGTGTGTAGATAGCCAAATAAAGAATAGTTTCCTCATCTTTATTTCATATATTATTCAAAATTCCTTTCCTATATAAAGGAAAGGGATATAATAATAAACATGCAAGTGCTTATGTGTGCAAACGAATTCATGGAATTCATGCAAGAAACCAAAGAAAAAGATCTATGGGTGAGACGGTAAAGAAGAGGTGAAAGAAACACAGACTGAAATAGAGTAGGAGGGAAGAGGAGGAGGGAGTGGCACCTCTCTGCATATACCACTTTTTTGTAACATTGACTTTTAAAATCATAGTAATGTTTCACATACTCCCACAAAACAATTAAAATTAACAAGGATGTGGGGTGAACCCCAACTGAAATATAAACACTAATAAATGAACCAAACTAGATTACAAGTAAATAGCAAAATCACATTGAAAGAGGTAAGGGGTCGGGGGAAAGAACTGACCTAAGTAACTGTGGAAAAAAAGTATTTTGAGTAGATATTCTAAGATAAAGGGGCAAAAATTAACTGTAGGCAAACATTGTACTCCAGTTAGTATAATTTTTTCTCATGTGGCAATGCATTAGCAAGTCTGAAACCACTTTCCATGTATACAAGAGTTGAATAAATAAGTATACATATCATAGATAATGAGAGACAGGATTCTCATTGTAAGAGGAGAAGTGACAAATCAGGAAAGAGGAGGCTGGAATGAAGCTTGTGGTGTTGCACTGGAGTCAGAGATGCAATTATGAACTCGTGGACTTTCAGTAAAAATACCAGTAAAAATACAGTTATATAGATACGGTAGAAAAACAGATATGAGTATGCATGGTTTAGTACACATATACATATTTCCTAGCTCTGTCCATAAAGAGGACCATGAAGCAACAATGGCCTGATAAGAATGAGCACACCTAGCACCCAGATCTTGATTTCTAAATACCACTCTCTAATAAAAGAAACCAGGACTCCTTTAAAAAGTAGTGATTGCAGCACTCAGGTAGAAGAAATATAAGATGAACCCAAAGCGTCTCCTGGTACCAGAAATTAAAGAAGTGCTCAAAAACAAAAAAGGAAAACAGGAATATGCTGGAAGGACACAGGAGCCAACCTGAAAGAGCTCCCAGTGGCTAACGCAGGAACAATTTGAGCCACATAGTAAATAAAAATAGAATTGAAATATAATCCAAAGAATAAAATACATTTTCATGAGTACATACTGATATGTAATTGAATTAATAAATTGGGAGGACAACTCGTTCTTACAAAGTAATTTCAATTAATAAACATAGAATTTATGAGGTATATGGAAAATCACCAGAAAGCAAACACTACTGTGGTAGACAAAATCCACTAATGGATGCTAAAATTAGTGGGTAAAATTTTCAGAGGAAATGAGATATTAATATGATCTCAACATACATTCCCCCAAGTATTTACTAACTATAAAAGGAAATATAATGACTTTACCATGAGGTTGCCTGGCAGATACCCTCTTAACTAAGTGATCTATGTTAACATCAGTAATGAGATGTGAACATCACACACCACCTAATATGGTGTGCTGAGAAGGGTACATCATTGCTATGGTATCCCTGTCAAAAATTCATATCTTAGTCTAATCATGAGGACACAGCGGATGAACCCAAATTGAGTGTCAAAATAATGAAACTGTACTCTCCAAGGTTATAGAAGACAAGAAAAAAAAAAAAAAAAAAGCAGGAGCTGATCCAGATGGGAGAGACTAAGAAGCCTAATGACCAAATGCATTGTTGAAAACTGAATTGAATCACGAAAGAGAAAAGGGACATTAGTGAGAAGTGTTGGAATTCTAATAAAATCTGCAATTCAGCTAACAGTATTATATCAGTTTCAATTTTCTAGTTGTGATCATTGTATATGACTATGTGTGTTGTTAACATTAAGAAAAGCTGGATGGGATATATATAACAAATTATTATTGTAACTTAAATAAATCTAATTTTTCAAAATAAAAATTTTAAAGTAAAATTTTTTTCTATTTTGAAAAAAATATGCTAAAAAACTAGACATCTACGTGTTAAACAGAAAGAAGAAAGAAAGAAAGAAAGAAAGAAAGAAAGAAAGAAAGAAAGAAAGAAAGAAAGAAGAGAAAGAAAAAGAGAAGGAAAGAAAGAAAGAAGGCTTTGTGCAGTGGCTCACACCTGTAATCCCAGCATGTTGGAAGGTCAAGGCAGGAGGACTGCCTGAGGCCGGAATTTGAGACCATCCTGGGCAACACAGCAAGACCCCCATCTCTAAAAAGAAAAAAAAAAGAATGAAAGAAAGAAATTGGACACCGACCTTACATTTTTCACAAAAGTAACTAAAATAAATTGTGTGTATATATAATATAAATATATAAACAATATATGAATATAAACTATACAACTTCAAGAAGATAAAATAGGTGAAAAACAAGGTGACCTTAGGTTGTCAATGACTTTTTATACACGACACAAAAGAACAATTGCTGAAAGAAAAATTGATGAGCTTGACTTTATTAAAATTAAAAAGGCTATGCAAAGATGCTATTTAGAGAATGAAAAGATAAGTCACAGACCAAGAGATAATATTTGCAAAACACATATCTGATCCAGCACTTATATTCAAAATATACAAGGAACTCTTAAAACTCAGCAATAAGGAAACAAACAACCCAGTTAGAATATGGGCAAAAGATTTGAACAGACACTTCACCAAAGATATTTGGGTAGCATGGGAAAATATATTTAACATCATATGTCATTGGGGAATCTCAAATTAAAACAACAATGAGATACCATTACACACCTATCAGAATGGCTAAAGTCAAAGATACTAACAATATCCAGGTCTGGTAAGGATGTGGATAAACTTCTTATTCACTGCTGATGGAACTGCAAAGTGGTACAGCTACTTTGGAAGACAGTGTGTCCATTTCTTGCAAAACTTAACATAAAACCCAGCAATAGTGCTCCCTGGTATTTATCCAAATGAGCTGAAAACTTATGTTCACACAAAAGTCCGCACTCTAATGTTTATAGCAGCTTTATTTATAATTGCCCAAACTTGGAAGCAACCAACATATCCTTCAGTAGGCAAGTGGACAAATTGTGGTATACTCAGACAATGGAATACTATTCAGCAATAATATTCCATTAGACATGGAAAGATATCAAGGATATTTGAATGCATATTACTAAATGAAATACGCCAGTGTGAAAAAGCTATATACTGCATGATTCCAACTATATGACATTCTGGAAAAGGCAAAACTGTGAAGACATTAGAAAAATTAGTGGTTGCCAGGGTTTTGGTGGAGGGAAGAAAGGATGAATAGGTGAAGCACAAGAGATTTGTAGAGAGATGCAAATATTCTGCATGATACTGTAATAGAAGATAAGTGGCATCATACACTTGTCTAAATCCAAACAATTGTACCACCACAAAATTTGAAACAATAATATATAGATATGCCTGAGATATTGTGGGTTTGGTATGAGACCAATAAAATAAGTCAAACAATATTTTTTGTTTCCCAGTGCATATAAAAGTTATATTTAAATTGTCATGTATTATACTGAATGCTATAACATTATATCTAAAAAAGTACCTACCTTAATTTAAAGATACTTTATTGCTAAAAAGTGCAAACAATCATCTGAGCTTTCTGTGAGTTGTAGTGTTTTTGCTGTGGAAGGTCTTGCCTCAATATTGAGGGCTGCTGATCAAGGTGGTTGTTGCTGAAGGTTGGAGTGGCTGTGGCAGTTGCTTAAAGTAAGACAGCAATGAAGTTTGCTTTGTTGATTGACTCTTCCTTTCACAAAAAGAATTCTCTGTAGCATGCAATACTGTTTGCTAGCATATTTTCCATAGAGGAACTTCTTTCAAAATTGGAGACAAACCTCTCAAAACCTGCCACTGCTTTATCAACTGAGTGGAGTGGTGGAGGCAGAAGCCTCATTCAAGACTCAAAAGTGGATAATGAGACAAGGCCACTGACAGCGAACTATTTTTTCAAAGACATCCACTGTGATTAGAGGAAAGTGGGATAAACATGGCAAAAGGACACAGTAATGAGGGCTTTGAGGCACGCTGTCCTTGTGGATGCACAATAAAGAGTGGAACCAGTAGTGGGTGACACAGAGCTGAGGCACTATTGTGTCCATGAAGATGACAAGCAAAGCAAGCTCTCATGAGAGAATGATGACGACAGGAAGATTCCTCAGGTGACATGGCTACAGGTGACCATAGGCACCCTGGCAGGGCATTGAGGAGGAATGGTGTGACTGAAGACCCCAGGCATGATGAGCTGCATGAACCCTAGGCTGGGCTCTTGGCTTTATTACCCATGCACATTGAAAGTTCAGCGCAAAAGTCAAGGGACAAAGGGTGTCAGTGAGCCTGTTTCCCATGGCAACCACTAGGGCTCTGCTTTGCTTTCCACTAAAATAAACAAAGAACTGCTGGATGTGGCCCAAGGAGTTCAGAGTCCTTTATCATTTTATTTTGTAAATAATCCCATAATTTTATCTGAATTGAGGAGAGTAAACATTAGAAATTATTTCTCTTCCTGTCTTTTTTTGGTTGCTGTCTTTGGATGCTGAGTCTGTAAATGTAGCATTGATGATTACCTCACTTTCAAGCTTCTATTCTCCTCACTGTAAGCTAAATAGCTTTAGAATAAGTGTGCATCAAAAGAAAGAGAAAATTAAACAGTTCCATTTTTTCTAGTTAGTCTCCCCAGGGTACATTTTCCAAATCTACTCGTTTAATGGACACATTGTAGTGGAATTCATGATTTCTGAGCAGAAAATACACAGCATGGGACACATGCAGACAGATGTGCATGTCTTTAGAAAAGCACAGTGTCAGAAAGATATGCCTGACATGAGTCCGAGACAGAAACTAGGAAAACTATTGTCTTGTTTATCAATGGCACAGTCTTAACTCCTGTACTCTGCTGATTAGGGAGGTGATTAGATCCTGAGATTGAAGTCTTCAGGATGGGATTCATGCCCCTATAAACGAGGTCTCAGAGATCTCCCTCACCCTCCTTCTGCCATATGAGGATGCAGTGAGGA
The DNA here is from genome assembly GCF_000001405.40 of Homo sapiens. Classification (NCBI taxonomy): domain Eukaryota; kingdom Metazoa; phylum Chordata; class Mammalia; order Primates; family Hominidae; genus Homo; species Homo sapiens. Next base: position 46,363,224 of record NC_000007.14, on the reverse strand, counting down.
GGTGGCTGTCTGTAGACCCAAAAGAGCACCCTCATCTGAACATGACCATGCTGGCACTTTGATCTTGGACTTCCAGCCTCCAGAACTACAAGAAATAAATGTCTGCTGTTTATAACCCACCTAGTCTATGGTAATTTGTTATAGCAGCCCAAGCCAAGACAATAGTTTTCCTAGTTTCTCTCTGGGACTAGGCCTATAATATATAGACGTGCCTAGTCCCAGATAGACAAGGACAGTCTCAGAGAGAAACTAGGAAAATTATTGTCTTAGCCCGGGCTGCTATAACAAATGATCATAGAATAGGTGAGTTATAAACAGCAGACATTTATTTCTCGTAGTTCTGGAGGCTGGAAGTCCAAGATCAAGGTGCCAGCATGGTCATGTTCAGATGAGGGTTCTCTTTTAGGTTTGTAGACAGCCACCTTCTCACTGTGTCCTCATATGGCAGAAGGAGGGTGAGGGAGCTCTCTGTGATCTCATTTATAAAGGTAGGAATCCCATCCTGAAGGCTCCGTTCTCGTGACCTAGACACCTCCCTAAGCAGCAGGGTATAGGAGTTAAGGCTGTGCTATAACCTCTGCCTATTTTTATTTCATTTATGTATTCATTTAAAATGTATAACTTTGGCATTATGGTTTGTACTAGAAGTCTAGTGAAAACATAAACTATTTACATGTCCCTGCTGCTAGGGAACTTTCATTCATCTATTTTATAAAGATGCAATCAAAATTTCGAGTTATCCCCTGGTACCCATTCTTTGCCCTTTTTAGATGGGAATCACAATTTTAGCTGTGCATAAGATTCTACTGACCGGCCTTCCATGCAGTCAGGTGGGTCCTGCTGCTACATTCTGGCCACTGAGGTGCGAGTGTGAGTGACAGATGCAGCACCTAAACCACACTTTTAAGAGGAAAGAGCATGAAGGGCACCCCCCATACACACTTCTGCTCCCTGCAGTTGGGAGGTGTGGATGCCCTTAGGCATCACAGAAGAGGATGCTGCTTGCAGAACAGAGCTGAAACTAACTGGGGCTTTTACAAGAGAGAAAAATAAGCTTGTGCTTTATTAAATGCTTTGCTATGTTGTGTTTTACTGTTTCAACAAGATCTGAGCCTACTTTTTAAATTCATATGAACACTCTTCTTGCTGCCACCTGTCTGGCACAGTCGTGGGCAAGCTATTTTGCCAGAATCTCACTCTTCCCAAGAAAAGGTGGGGCATTAACGTACCCCTCATCATAATAGGGTGTGGGTTTGAGATGTTGCACACAAACATTTCTTTTTCAAATCTTAAAAGGTGCTTAGAACAGTTTGGCTAGGGACACAGTATAATTCAAACTGGAGCCTTATTACTCTCCTGATTGTAAATTTAGTGACTAATGGGAAGAATCTCACTGCTGATGCAGGCATGAATTCAACTGCCCTCTTAACAACAGTACACAAGGCTGGGCGTGGTAGCTCATGCCTGTAATCCCAGCATTTTGGGAGGCCGAGGTGGGCTGATCACTTAAGCCCAGGAGTTAGAGACCAGCCTGGGCAACACTGCAAAACCCCATCTTGTACAAAAAACTACAAAAATTAGCCGGGCATGTTGACAGCCACCTGTAGTCCCAGATAATCAGGAGGCTGAGATGGAAGTATTATCTAAGCCCAGGAGTTGGAGGCTGCAGTAAGCCATGATCGCATCACTACACTGCAGCCTGGGTGACAGAGTGAGACACTGTCTCCAAAGAAAAAGAAGGAAATTTAAAAAACCCAGCAATCAAACAATTGTATGGACTAACATTTTACTTATGTATATAGATTTGAAGGATGAAAAGTGCTATCTACCTCGTGCTAATGTGTTTTTCTAAAAGCATCAACATGCAAGTCATGGACAAGCAAGTTGGTTTCTGGTCCCAATTCTGACGACTCACTTGCTTTGAAACTTAATTTCAAATGTTGAAGTGCAGGTTTAAGTTGCTCACAAGAAAACCGTGCAGAGTTGTGACTGTCCCTTTGTAAGATGATGGCAAACTGTTTTGTGAACTTCACATCCACCAGCATGCCCTGGACCAGGAAGGGCACTTCCTGTGCCCTCTGCCTCCTGCCTGAGGATGCCCTTTTGCACTCCTGCACCTCCCTCCACCTGTTCTGTCTCTACCTCCCCAAGGTCCTTTCAGGGCTCAGGCCTTCCCTTGACTTGGCTGCTGCTGCTGCTGTCCAGGCTGCCCTACTGCTAGTGTCCATGTGCCCCCTCGTGGGGGGTCCCAAGCTCCTCCAATGTGTGGCCCTTGACCTCTGCAGCACCTCTCAGCCCTTCCTGTCTTCTAGCACCTCAGAAGCTCCCCCAACCAAAGGGCAGCAGTAACTTTTCAATGACAAACTCTCCTCCTGGCTTCTTCCTGTCCTCCTTATCAGCCAAGCCGATGTCCCTGAAACCCAGTTATGATGTCTTATATGAAATAGTCTGCAGTGTCAGTGATATTGTGTCAGTGATATTCTCTTCCTCACCTATAAACTGTCTCTCTTTTGCTGGTCTGGCACCTACGGGTTGTGAGGCTTTTATTTCCTATTTATGCCCCCATCTCAAAGACCATGTGCATCATTTCCATTCTAAAGACTCATAAATCTTAGACCCATTCTAACTGCCCATAAATCTACCCACGTTCACCCTGAGCCATGCTCCCTGTTTCTGAGGCCCACAGATCCCTCCGCTGAGCCTGACATCAGCCTCACAGATCCTTTCTATTGATGGCAGGAATCACAATCTCAGGATCCCATGCTGACATTATTTAGCATTCTTTCAGAGCACGGCTTCTCAAGCATGAGGTTTCTCTCTGTTTAGCCCTTCTGCCTCTCTGTTCCTGCACAAAGGACTGAAAACAATGGCTTGAACTGCCAAAGGCTGATCACCTTAGGAATAACATTTCTCAGGTAAATCTATTATGTGGAATCTATACATCTGTATCTATATCTATATTGTTAAAGGGTGTGGCAAACCCAAGTAAATAAAAATGCCTCCTTGAATAGGATGATATGTCTCACAAATTGGTAATTTTCCAACTTATAAATAAGTTTGATTTATTCCAAGTTCCAAAAGCATTCATCTTTTAAATTAAGTGACTTAATTTGAAGTTCAACTGAATAATTAATGTGCAAAACTAACTGAGTGAAAATAAATAATTATGAAAGGATACTTGCCAGACCAGATATTAGCACTTACTGTAAAGTCATTATGTTTTTGATGCAGAAAGTTATATCACTATATTTTGACACAGAAGCAACAATACAGGGAATCCAGAAACAGGTGCAGCAATATAGGAATAAGTATAGAATAAAGGTGGTATTCCAAATCAGGTAAAATGGAATGAACTATTGAATAAATAAGTTGCAACGTTTTTACTATACATATGAATAAAAGTTACTTTTTCTTCATGACATAGGATTGCAACAACGTATTTCATTAGACAAAGTACATAAGCTCAACTAAAAATTAAAGAACATGTAAGAGAACCATTTGAAAGCTTATGAATGCAGCAGCCTTCCTAAACAGGAATTAGGAGGTAAAAACTTTTAAGTTGTAAAAAGATAAACAGTACCAATATAAAGCAAGTTAAAAGATAAGGGACAGACAATTTTTGCAATTGAGTATACATAGATATACACACAATGTGCACACACAGGCACACATGTACAATGCATATTAAAAATTCATGTATCTAAAATCAGACTAAAAAGGCAAAAATCCTGTGATAATCATTTGTCATTTCACCTTTTCTATTTTCAATTTTCCGGGTTTTAAGTAGGACTTCCTTTGTTTTTCACTTTTTATATATAGGTATGGATGTGCAAGTTACTTTGGACAATGAAATATGAATAGATATTAATAAAAAAACAAAATATTACATTAACCCACAGTGAATTTGTAATCGTTGGTTACTGCAGCAGCAGCATATTCTAACCTGTCTTGACTGGTACAAAACTCAATTGAAAATAGAAATAAAGTAAATTAGCATTTCATAGGAAAAACATGTAAATGATTCATTAAATACATTAAAAAATATACATTTTTACTATTAACAGAAATTAGTTCCATTCTTTACCTATTGCAATAGATTTTTCAACTGACACTAGCAGTGTGATAAACTCAGATACATGTCATTAGTTAAATGAAATAACATGCAGCCACTAAATGAAAGATTCAATCTACAGATACTTAGAGAAGGTTGCACATAATCTGTCACTAATTTTAAAAGGTAACTTAAATAATAAAATATCTTACTATTTTCAAGTAAACATAAATGAAGAAGGAGAAAGACAGAGACAAAGACAAGGAAAAAGAGAAAAGGACAGAGGAAGAGAGAGTATCTAGAAGTATATGTATCCAACTATTAATAGAAACTTACACTTGGGAGTAGAATACAGAAGTATAGAGAAAGAGCTTTCAACAGCTAATCTGTATAATTTTAAGGATTGATGGTATTTGGGGTAATTTTATTTTTCTGTTTTTGCTTTCCTGTATTTTCCAAAACATAAATATGATATAATTGATATCTAAAAAGGAAAAAATAATAGAGGAGAACATAGTATAAATAGAAGCAATAAATGTTGTTGTTCTTTAATCCAATAATTACTTAAAAGAAATGTTTTATTACATATATGTATCACATTTCAAATGTAAGTAGATTTTGCAATGAAAATGCTACACTCTTAAATAGAAGTGAAATAGGTAAAGCTTTTTTTATACTTTCAGTTAATTCATTGGTAAAATGAGAGAGTTGGGTTGTGGAATTTTTACCCTCCTTAATGATATGGAGGATAGCTAAACCCTTTAATGCCCAATGAATCATATGATTTGGCCAAGATGTCTCCTATCATTTCCCTGGACTTCTCTCAAATCCCATTAACTGTCCTGCAGATCTTTTGTTCTTCACCTTCCAGAAAGCTATGTCTCTGTCAGCATCCTATTCTCATCACCAAAATTATGGGACTTTTTTCCTATTAACATTTGTGGCGTGGAGGAGAGAGAGAAGCAGAGCTTTCCTCAGAGTAACTCCACAAGCTCACAAGTTATCAGCTACAGTTCACTGATGCTGACACAAACTGTAAGCTTTCTGGGTCAGAGACACAGAACTTTCTTCCTCACAGCGTGTTCACATGGGCCCCCGTTCCCACATACCCTGTGGGAAATGTGGGTCTCAGGTGGATGTCCCTCCCGCAGGGGGTTCCCCTGCAGCTGGGAACCCTGAGCTTAGGGAAGCTGCTGCTTTGACAGTAAGTGGTGAACATGTCTTCTTGGTTCTGAGGAAACTAGGTGCAGCACCTGGCCAAGGGATGCAGTACAGCTTGGTGATCGCTCAGTGCTCAAAACTGCCAGCTACAGAAACAACTCTGTGAAGTGGTCCAGGTAAGGGAAACAGACAAGCGCTTGTGATTTGGGCTCATTCAGCAAGACGTGCAGGCATGCAGGTGGGCCATGGCAGACTCCCTCCCATCTTAAGGTGGAAGATTTTTGAGGGAATTTGTTTTCTTCTAATCTATTAATTTTACCAAATATCCCTTTTTATTGTCTTTCATTAACTGACTTTATGTCTAGCTGCTGACTTTTGCTCATCTTTTCCTATTTTCTTTTGACAAACACCCTTTTCAGATTAGAGTTGGAGATGCGGCCAGTCCAATCTCTCTCTCAGGGCTCAGTCTGGCGTGGAATGATCTGTGACCACAGGCTGTACCATAATGACTGGCTCAGTCCAGGGAGGAAGTGGAAGCCTGAGGCATGACATCCCTGTGCAGAGTGTATGAAGTGTGGATTCAAATCAGAACCACTGCACTAGGAGGCAGGATGACATCCACATCACCACTGATGAAAGCAAGGGGCTAGGCTACAGGTAAGAAGAAAACTAATTATTTTAAAATTATTTATTTTATTATTTTTAGTTATTAAAAGAATTATAGATAAGAAAACTAAGGTGAAGAGACTGTAATAGCATCACTTAGTCTCATTACCTGCAAAATGAGAATGAGGAACCTTCTAGAGGCTGATGAGACAACACTTTCTCTATGATTTAGCCAATTTTACCTACTCTCAGGAAATTTGCCATGGACTGGCCTGACTCCAGGCTGTGGCCTCCCAACCGTTGGACACAGCTGTCTTTGGAAAACAAGCCTGATCCCGACAAAGTGTGTGAATCTGCAGGATGCAAAACTTACCTCCCCATCCACATGCCGATGCCAACTTCCTCTAGGCATTTGACTAAAGTTTTCACTTTTTCTCCAGGTACGTTGCAGACCCCGAGTTACTGGTAAGTCAGATAGCAGGTCTTTCTCCCTATACATTTGTCCTATATTACAGCTTTTACTCAGGCCTTTCCTACTAGTCTTTGCCTGTCGACACTTGAGTTTTTGACTGTGGTAGCCTAAGAAGTAGTTATCTGAACTGAATAATTCTGGGTCCCATGGAAATCACCTAGGAGAAACAGTAAATATTTTTATTCTGAAGAATAGATGCATTTAGTGGACATTTTCACAGAAAACATGCTTTAATGTGTTTATTTGTTGCTATTGAATTTCTTTCCTATTCTGAAGTCCTCTATGATACAAAACAAACTACTCAGCGGGGCCTGGGAAGTTAAGCCAGGACTGTGTGATTATCACACAGACAGATGTTACACTCACAAGAGGTGACTTGCTAGCAGCATTGACTTCTTGGCAACAGAATGGTCTGCGCTGTTAGGTAATCAGTTCACTTCAAGGAGAGATTTTTAAACAAAGGCTCCATGGAGGGCTGTCTGTTAAGCTTTCTGCAGTAGACTTTGGTGATCTTTAGACATGCATTTTACAAAGGAATAAACTAATATTTATGAATACATAAATTTTGCATGTGTAGAAAAAGAAGTAAATGGTCCATATGCTAAAGGGAGAGCTTAGAGCTCATCCAGGTAAGGGCTCCTTGGACTCTCTCAAAGGGTTGCTTGAGAACTGGAAGGGTGAGCCTCCCTTGGTTGGCCCAGGCAGCACTCACTGGACAGCTGTTCCAGCCCCTTCAGCAATTCAGGCCACAAAAGATTCTTGGGAACAAGTCTGCATATCAACACCTATTGTTAGCTGCTATTTCAACCCAGGTGTGGAAATTTGGGATAGAGAAAACCAATGAATGTACCGAACCTTCTTCCTTGTAAATGTATTGTTAAGCTCAGGACAACTTCACAAAATGCAGAAATTGGCTGATTACCTTATGTCCAAAACCCTTGTGCAAACTTTTCAGCGGAGGCATGATAGTACTTATTCACCCTCACAGCAGATTGGAAATACGTTAGTTCTATTGTGTTGTCATTGTCCTTCTTCACTGAGGATAAGATTAAGTTCAACCATAGTTTTCTGAGAAGGTGACATTTAATGATTTCAAATTTCAGTGAGAATTATCTTTACTGGTGTGAGGAAAGAGCCTTTTCATTATTTCTTTACTCAGATTTGTATCATTCATTCACCCACAAATTCATAACACCCCTGAAGGGCAACCGATGCCCTCCATGAGATGGACAGAGGGCAGTGTACTAGGCTATACATCCGTCACACAATTCAGTTTTGTAGCTAGCATTAATATGTCCACTCTATTGCAATCAATTGCTGCCATTGCAAGAAGATGACGGCCCACTACTGTGCTTTCCCTGTGACAGAATCCAAGCAGTGGAATAATGCCAAGAAACTTACACAAGTCACCTATGTGCTAACAGCAAGTTACCCATTCCCAGCCTCAAATCTCTCTCAGCAGAGCTCAACAGACCTATAATGCGTCCCATAATCACCTGGCCTCCTGATCTCTACAAGACACTCTTTCTGCCTCCAAAATGCTTTTGAATATGCTTACCATCTACAGTTCCCATGCTGCTGCCCTGCCCTGAGCTGCCTCATTCGTAATTTGAAATGTCACACTGTCCTCCCAGGTGGCTTTTCTGATACATATTTATCCCACTGCAATCCCTTCTCCACAGAACTGACTGAGGGATGTTCATAAAACATAAGTCAGGAAAGGATTGTTCATGATGATAGATAATGGAATGAAGGAAAAGTCAAAAATGGACAAATCCCATTGGTGGTGTATGTGTGCATGTGTGTAGGCTGATCACTAACAGGGCAACGTCGTCACCCATCAAACCATCCCAGTGACCACGCAAATCTGCTAGGGGTCCTGCCAGGTGCACCTTCGTGGATGCAGGAGGCCCACTCCCTGGAAACAGCTATGCTCAGAGGCAGTCGCAGCGCCTGCCCTGGAAGCCACCCGCTTGCCCCTTTCTTGTGTTTTCTGGCATTGCCTTCCCTGCAGTGGCCTCTGTAAGTTATCTGTGCTGGAGGCTATCACAAAAATGAAATTTACCCCATTGCTGTGGGATAATACACCGAGCCACCCTAGAGCGCTTACATCTGCAATTGGAAGCCAGTGCCGGAGCTCTGCCTCTACCCCTCCCATGATCACCCTTCCCCACCACCCAAGAATGAGCCTGCCTCTTGCTTTTCGCAGCCCCCTGGTGAACAGCATGGGCAAGTCTCCCTGGGTTACGGCAAAAGGAGCATGAGGAACACTGTCCTGGCTTCCCCAACACATCCCCAAGTGGTCTCCAGGACAGGGCCATGGACCTGCTTCTCTCCTTCCTCACCGTGCAACTGGGCCTATGCTGTTGCCACTCTCTCAGAAGGCTGGGGATGTGTCTCTCCCTTTGGGGCATGGGGCCCAAGACCCTGTCTCGACATTTGACACTCTCTTTAGTGTGGATACCTGGAGCCGCGCCTTGCCACCAGCAGCCTTCCTGGGAAGGCTTAGCCCCATTCCAGCCACAGAGTGAGTACCTGTCCCACCACACACAGCACCACAGTGAGCCTCGTGCTAGACATCGTTCCTTCAGCATGTTTGCCTTCTCTTCAGGTTTGCTCTTCCTCTCTTTTCCACTTATCTGAAGGAAATGGCTTTCCTTCTGTTCCCAGTGTGTCCCCTGCCCCCATGAACACTAATGCTCAGTGTCCAGTGTATCTTCAAGCCAACCCCTACTGCCTCCCTTTGGTCCATTCTCCATTGTCCAATGACAATGCTTGGGACACTTGGAGCCTTTGGCTTGAAGGAGTCAATTGTTCTTGGGTGACAGTCTTTCACCTCCACTCCATTCTGCTTCCTGGAGCCGGATTTATCGTTCTAGAAAACAATTTTATTATGCCACATGGACCCCAAAACACAAACAAAATTCTACTCAGGATGATTTTTTTTTCTTTTAACAGGAGTTTTATTTACATAATTTGATCACAAGACAGATGTTTGAAATTGCTGTTACTCAGAACAATTCCAAGTAAGTGGTCACGTTGCCCTTGGCTTACAGAAGAAAGCCATGACCTGATGAGTGGAGGGATGAGGGTGCCAGAAAAAGTGTGGTGAAGGCCACAGAGAGGTCAAAGGACTTGTAAGAATTCCCAAGTGCCCACCCCTGAGGTGGCTGCCACCTCTCCCTCCCCTAAGCACCCAGCCAGTGCCTTTCCTGCAGTCCATCCAGTTGCATGTCCAACATGGTACCTCTGAACCCTTTCCTGTGACTCATGTTTCTATAAAAACTACTTGGGACCCTTTTTATATACACCCCAAGGTTTCCTGACTCAAGCCGTGATTAGGGCACATCATCCATCAAAATGTTCCTCCTCCTTCCTTCTCATGTCTGCATAGCCCAGTTACGCCCACCATTCAAGACCCAACTGAGTTAGTGTGGGTTTCTGAAAACTTCTGTGTTCCTCAGCCAAGAGTCTTCTCCTCTTTCACTGTAAAAGATTTGTTTCCTGCCAGGCGCAGTGGCTCACACCTGTAACCCCAGCACTTTGGGAGGCTGAGGTGGGTGGATCACCTGAGGTCAGGAGTTGGAGACCAGCCTGGCCAACATGATGAAACACAGTATCTACTAAAAATACAAAAAATTAGCCGGGCATGCAGGTGGGCTCCTGTAATCTCAGCTACTCAGGAGGCTGAGGCAGGAGAATTGCCTGAACCTGGGAGGCGGAGGTTGCAGTGAGCCAAGATTGCGCCATTGCACACCAGCCTAGGCAACAGAGCGAGACTCCATTAAAAAAAAAAAAAAAAAAAAAAGATTTGTTTCTATAATTCTCACCCATATTTATTCCTTTACATCTATGGGGCAGATAAGATAACTGACTGGTTGATTGACCTCCCCTGGAAGACTGGGAGCTTGCCCTATTTCTTTACCCACAGTACCTCAAACAGAACTCATGGAATGGATCCATACATATTTTGGGATGTATGAATTGAAAAATAAACATCTAGTCACCTTGATTAGGCCCTAAATTCCTCTAGGACTTGAAAAGATTGTGGATTTTTTATTCTTTTCTTATAATATCTACTCAAAAACATTGGGCAATATGATGTTGTCCATTGATTAAGTCATTAGTTTATTTCCTATAATCAATTACACTGCAAAATATTATAAACTAGTAGTTGTAGTCTCAAAAGGTAGCACAGTGTTTTTTTTTCTTCACACTATTTTTGAGAACCGGAGCTCTGTGACTTGTGCAATTAAAATGCATGTTATTATGGACCAGCAAACCCAAGTCTTGAGGACCAATTGGTAAATCCATGGGGATTTGCACTCCTGCATGGCCTGTCTTTGGGAGGTATTTCCCTTCATAACACGTGCCACTAGGTGCCAGTGTTGTTCTACCAAAGTGACCCTCCAAAAGTACAGGTGGTCCCCAACTTTACATGCTTAGCATTCTTGAAAATGATGACTTTACACAGAAGGTAGAAGAGCAAGTCTAGTAGGGAAATGAACTGTGTAACTTATGTTTGTACAGGTTTGACATCACCACATTAAAGAAATGAACAAAAAGATTGACTAAAGGGAAGTACAGGTGCTTATTAGGTAGCATTAAATCAGTTTAGAGACAAAGAATGAAAAATGATCTCTGCTGAGATACTCTTGAATTTGCAAACCAGGCATGCTCAGTTGTTGCTCATTGAGCAAATGCAAAATGATCTAAAATTAGTATTCAATTTATGATACTATTGCACAAGAAACATTTCCTCTCCCTCCCCTTTCTCTTTCTCTCTCTCTTTCTCTTACTCTATCTCCATATATACATACATATATATATATAGCTCTCCAGTAAAGCTTTCCACATATGGAAACTTAGAATGCAAGTAACTTGTTTCAACATGCCTTGTACCTGTACCTGAATAATTATGTTAAAATAGTTTGTCTAATTATCATCAATTAGAAGGAAGCTAATGCCAGATTTGCTTGTGTTTCTAATAAATTCTTTGGCTGTGTTTTATCCCTGTGCTGTGGTATATACAGAATACCAAGTGATTATTACTGGTGATCAGTTTGCCATAGACAATACTAGTTGCAGGAAGTATATAATTCATGATCAGTGTAGTCAAGCCTTCCAGAAAGAAAAAATGGATAAATGGTGTTTGACATAAGGAGAAACTAATGCAGACAACCAAAGTTATCGTGTGTGTGTGTGTGTGTGTGTGTGTGTGTGTGTGTGTGTGTGTGTAAGAGACAGAGAGAGAATAATGTGGGGGCAGGGGAGAATTCATCATGGCTGCAGTGTTTTTTTAATATAGCAGCACAAAAATACATGTATCTGTGGGATAATAAAATGAACAGGTGAATGTTATGGGTCAAAATTTTCATCATTGGAAACAGTTCTAAGAGAAGAAGAAAAAAGCACTTTGCTTTTTGATTCCATGTTCATTTCAAGACAAATCCTATATTACCTAGCGAAGCGGCAGAGTTTAATTTCCCATGCTACCTGAGATTTAAGGCATCTCGGCAGAACAACAGCAACAACAAATAACAACAACAAAATCTTTAAATCCCTAAATAATGCAGCAATAGCAAGCAGAACCATTTGCATGGTACATCTTTCTCCTTCATTTTACAGTAAGCACATTATTAGGCAGCTGCAAAACTATGAAGAAACATTTTTCAAACAGCCTGATGAAAGAGACACGTTCCTGAATTTGAAAGCTTCATCTATTCAGGAAAATCTTCATGTATATATCTTTAAATATCATCTCTACCAATTGCTTTTATTATCTTCTCCAGAATCTAATAAAATAATAAACTTTCTCATTGTATTTTTCATTCATCTTCATTATTTAAACAATATTTCGTATCTTTGTCTATATTCCAGAATTTTAAATCAAAAATATGTCAATATTTCAGTAACTTATTGATATATTGCTCATAAATAAAATCAGCACTATTGGCAATGACTAATTTTGTGGGTAACAACATCAGAAGGTTAAAAAAAATGCTGGACAAGAACAGCATGGGAGGAGGAAGTGATGAGAAGAAACACTTGTAAGTTTTCTGTGCTGCTCTGTAAGCACACAGAGAGAGTGATCCCGGACAGCTATTCTATTATGTCTGAATGCACCAGTTTGTTTAGCCATTCATTTGTCGAGGGACATATGGGCTGTTTCCAGTTTTGGGTGGAGTCCTTTTTGCAACTGTCCTCGGCAGCCCCCCAGTCTCTGTGCTGAAAAGGGGAGTGTCTCTGTCTCTTTAAGACAAAGCCATCACTGGTCACACTGCTTGTGTCAAGCCCCTCTGGCTGTTGATCTTGTGTTTTGCACAGAACAGGGGAGTCTCTGGCCTGCAGGGATGGGGAAGAGACTTCCTGGGCCAGGTCCCTCTTCTGTCAAGGTACCTCTTGCTGGTTTTCCCCGAGAGTGTCAGTGTCTCCTGCTGGCAAAAGACAGTCTTGGAGCCAGTAGAGGAGAGTGGGTGCCCTGGCTGCTTGCTATTGTCAAGAGTCCATTTTGATCCCCCTTGCTGGAGGTGCCAGAGATCTCAGGTCAGCCCAGGGAAATATGTTCCTACTTGAACTGTCAAATGTTGCTGGTTTGGGGGTGGGGAAATGCTGAGTCTAGGTGGCCTTTTTATGTTGGGTTGAGGAGCTGAGATGCCCTGCTGCTCTGCTGTTCCTCCAGTTCTGGGGTCCTGGATAAGTCATGAGTTCTCCTTCCTCTTACTGCTCTCCAGGCTTCTCCCATGGCTGTCTGCTGCATTATTTCTATAGTTGGGTTTAGCAGGAAGGAGCAGAGAGAAAAAGGTCTCCATGATCTCAATAGGCCAGTAGCAGCTGCTAACAAATTGTTAAATAAATAGAAATATCACTCTACAAAACATGTTGGAGGTAGCAGAAAACCTCAATGGACAGATAACAATTATATTAATTGAAACAACATTGAAGATATTCACAGAAAACAACAAAAGTGGCATTTATTAAGTGAGTTGTATCAAGCATTTGAGGAACATAAAATTTTAATCTTATGCATGACTTCCCGGAGAATAAAAATAAGGAGTACTCCCAAAGTAATCTTAAGACTATAGGATAAATATGATATGAATCACCAATTTAGGTATGTAGAAAAGAAAAACTACAGATCAAAATTATTTATGGGCATAAATGAAAGTATCCTAATAGAATTTTAGAACACTTCAGCCAATAGTATGTTAAAAAGATAAGATCCAAGTTAGCTTCTCCTCCCAGGAATGCAATGCTGATTCCAGTTTAGATAATCTAATTCTGTAGTTAATTGCTTTAAAGATTAAAGAGACAAAGCACATGATTCGTGCAGTTTATGTAAAAGCAGCTTTTGATATAGAAATGTTAAGAACCAGTGTAATAAGAGGTTACACGGGGTAAAAAGGTGTTAACATGAGAAAGCTGCTGCCTTTCAAAGGAGGTGCCAAACCACATGTAAACTTTTCAAAGAAGAGAGCCAAAGATAATTATGTGACTTTTTCATCCCTTCACCCAAAAAAAGATTAAAATGGGGGTACAAAGTGCAGCCTTCCACATGTCTAGACACAGAGGAAAATGGAATAATAATTTCTTCCACATGACAGACATTGGTAATAATTAAGAAACTGGGGCCCGGCGGGGTGGCTCACGCCAGTAATCCCAGCACTTTGGGAGGCCGAGGTGGGCGGATCATGAGATCAGGAGATCGACACCATCCTGGCTAACAGGGTGAAACCCTATCTCTACTAAAAATACAAAAACAAAAAAATTAGCCAGGTGTGGTGGCGGGTGCCTGCAGTCCCAGCTACTCGGGAGGCTGAGGCAGGAGAATGGCGTGAACCTGGGAGGCGAAGCTTGCAGTGAGCCCAGAGCCCGCCGCTGCACTCCAGCCTGGGCAACAGAGCGAGACTCCGTCAAAAAAAAAGAAAAAAGAAATTGGAATTAAGATCTCATATTGATACTATTTCATAAATATAAGCTGAAGTAAAAAACTTCTACAAAAGAAAATGTTGGTACAAATATAGAGCAAGGAGCATTTCAACACTATGTGTGTATTTCTGCAAACTGAAGAGAAATTTGGAAATATTGAGTATATTAAAAAATGTATCTGTGATGCAATCCAACAATTCCATTTCTCTCCTCTAGGAAGAGAGTGTACCTACTCTAGGAAGAAACATGAGCATAAGGAGATGTGCGCAGGGAGAGTCACGGCAACTTTACAAGTCACGGTGGCGGCCAGACAGGTTCTCATGATGCTGCCACCAGAGAAGGCTCAAGCAGGTTGCTAGGTCTTCATCCCGGTGTAAGCAGTGAAAATGACTGCCTTAGAAATGCAGGTATCCATATGAAAAGATATTTAAATATAAGAAAAAAATATAAAAAGTAGAGGAAGAACCATACAATCAAAGAATATGTTGGCCTGGGAGTAGTGATAATAAGAGTAGAAAAAACAAAAGTCATAAAAGTATATATATAATGTTACTATTCTACAAATGTAAAAATATACAAAGATGGTAACATATTTTTACAGTTTCATATATATGCATGTGTGTATGTGTGTGCATATACCTCAACTTTACCACTGGTAAGGTGGACTGGAAACCCTGGGACCTGCAGCCACAGCTGGACTCCCTCAAACCCCTCAACACCATAATGTCTTATGTAAGATGTTACAAGACGTAATTCAAGGTCATGGTGACCTCTAGAAAGAAGAGAGGGGACTCAACCTTGGAAGGCTATGAAAGACAATGGTTTTGTAACGTTTTATTTTACTAGCAATTAGAGAAGCAATTATGTTTATTATGTCTTATATGTGCATATATCTGAAATATTTTATAATTTAAAGACAACTAATTGTCGGTCTGCAGCTGATATTAAATCCACAGTTTTGTTCCCTAGAGAAAAATTAGGAGCAGGCTCCTGTACATGCCTCTAGAGGTTTCCCTTGCACATACACAATGGGTAGCTCCAGCTATTTCACGCTCTACTTCTGTCTCTATCTTCCCTGTCTCTATCTCTTTCCATATCCTACTTTTATCCCTATGCCAATTTCCATCTTCTTCTCTATTCTTAATTCTGTACTCTTCTCTCTTGACCTCTGTGTCTTTCTCTCTCTTGATCTAGCTTTCTCTACCTTTTTATCTACTTTTAAAAAATCATACTGCAGATACTCATTCTATAGTCTGCTTTAAAAACATTTAGTCACATTCCCTCAATTTATTTCCATGTCAGCTCATGTCAACACATTTTATTGTTTCTTATATCCCCATGGATTTTCACAGATTTCACAGATCATTTATCTTCCACTATTACCAATTATCACCTGGTCATTAATTGTATTTTGTTATTACAGACAAAACTTCCTAAGTGTGCATACTTTTGCATGAAATTTGTAGGAAAAATTAAAAGAAGTAGAGTTGCTGACTCGGAATAGTTTCTACATTTTGATAAAAATTAGTACTAAATATTATAAAACTTCTTAAATATTACTAATATAAGAGGTAAAATACATCATCACTTTACTGAGGAATTTAAATAAGTATATCTTCACATAAAGTTTATTCTTTTATAAGATTCACCCATGAAACTGCTCTTATTCTTATATAGAAGACTATCTGAGTGTTTTTAGTTTTTCTCCATCATTAATCATTAAGATTTATAAGATGTGGAGTCATTTACATTTTATTTCTCTCTTCTTGGGTTATTTGAATGTTTATAGTTCCCTAAAGTCACATAGAGGTTTTCACATGTATTTGCACACAGTAATCTATACAATTATTTAACTTCCCCCCGAACCATTTCTACTTCTCTCTCTCATTTACAGTTTTGTGTACTTCTTTTTTCTTGAATTAACTACAATTGAACTCCTTTAATACTACTGTTATCATTCTCACCCACATCTGCTCTTCCTTTGATGCACAATGGTGTGTGTGTTCCTGAAGGAAACCCTCACCTGTCTCTGTGCCACCACACAGGACTACCAGAAGGAAATGCTTGGTTACCCTCTGTGCAGGATGCGCAAGCACGTGGCTTTACATCTAGTTTGGCAACTAATCCCCTGACTTCTTTATCTTCCCTCAAGTGAAGACATAAATATTTTGGAACATCAGCTAATAATGGAGAAAAGGTAAACGTCATCTTCATTTGAAATCTCTACAATTAGAGTAACCATGCCACATGGAAATTTGGTTCATTTCTCAAGACCTGAAAATTGCATCAGTCCTAAAAGTTGACTCTCCTATCTCCTTCATCATGGTTCACAGAGGAACATTCAAATCATGCCCCCCACTGACTGAATGAATGACCTCAGACATATTCCTTAATATTTCCAAGCCTTATTTTTCCAATTTCTGAAATATAGACAAAATTTAATGAACATTTGAGGAAGATCTAATAAGGTGTGTAAGGACAGAGTCCATAGACTGGCACATATTAAGTACTCAGAGTATGGGTTATTGTTAAATTTCTATTTTAATTAGTATTAGATGAGAAGACTGTGCAAAGCAGTGACCAAGCCTGGCACCTTCATGCTCAGAACTCTTGGTATCCAAGCAAGCTGATGGTTATGCTAATTAGCTTGATTTAAACCTTCCACATTGTATACTTCTATCAAAACATCACATTACATTTCATAAGTGTAAGTAGTTACGATTTGTTAATCAAAAATAATCTTTAAAAAAAGAACTCATGGTCGTACTTTATTGCCCATGAATAATCTAAACTCCCTGGTCTGTCACACAAAACAAAACCCGTTGCATTTCTAATATGTTTATTATATTCAGCCCAATCCCTTCCCATCTCCCTATCTATTGCCGGCAACAAATTGCCACAGGAATTAGCAGCCTAAAACAGCCTATATGTATTAGCTCATGATTTCGGTGGATCAGGAATCCAGGCACAGGTTACCTGGGTCTCTTGCGTAAGATGAACAACTCATCAGAATTTGCCCAGGATTTTCCCTGTCTTAGCACCAAAAAGACTTCATCCCAAAAAATTCATTTCCAGGCATGCTGGGATGGGTTTCTAGAAACTGCATCAGTTAGACAATAGAAAGCCCTGCATCCCAGCCACTTCCCTCAGTCCAGGGCCAACTGGATGGCTGGTCACCTAGCTGGAGGTCTCTCACCTAGCTGCATCAAGGCATCGGCTGAGCTGGAGTCATCAGAAGGCTCAACAGGAAAAGAATCCACTTCCATGTCCACATAGTTGGTGGTAGATTCATTTCCTTTCTGCTTGTTGGCCGGACATTGTCCTCAGTCATTTGTCTCCAACATGGCAGCTTGCTTCATCAAAGCAAGGAACTGAGAAGGCAATAGAATTTGTTAGCAACATGGAAGCATCATGTTTTATAAACTAATGACAAGGTGACATCCTATGGCTTTACCATATTATGTTGGCTGGAAGCAACTCACAAGGCCAGCACACTCCAGGGGAGAGAATTACACACTGGCAAAAATACCAGAAGGCAGGAATCTTTGCAAGTCATCTTAGAAGCTGCCTAAAATGCCCCACCTCCAGGAACCTCATTCCAGAGCTACACTGAGAGCTCAACTTTCCCAGTAGTCTTTTCAGTTTTTTTTAAATTTTGATTTTTCATTGATGCCTGCGTGCCCCTTTATTCCCCATGTACTAATAAAATATTCGTATTCCAAAATAATCAAATCCAATGACAATTCTATTTTAGAAATATTCCTGATCTTCCTGCCCTCATATTCTCCAGGCATCATTAACTATTCAACCTCTTTCTTATGACAGTGTGTGTATGAGTATTAATTGTTTACTCTATATGACAACTCGTTGCTTAAGCATTTTTCTTCTCTAGCCCATCAAGTCCCTAGGTAAAGGACCTTGTAATCTATTCATCTACAGAACAGTCTCTTTCACTTCAAACCTTTTCCATAAACAGTGCTCTAAAACAAACAGAAAAAAGCCTGCTCCTCATTTCTGTCAAGCCCACTGAAACAGTCCCAGGTGGAGAAGCATTAGAGAAGAGGGCTGCACACCCAGAGGCAGGGGCAACATAGAGGTGCTCTTCAAAGTCAGAGGGGACCTTGACAAGAGAATGACTTAATGCTAAGTCACCACCTACACTTCACACCCTACTATTTCACCTGCTCTCGGTGTTTCTAGGGGAAAAGTATTCCAAGAACTGTTAAACCCCGTGGTGTGTTTCTGAGTAATTCATCCCCATCATCAGCCTTGGTTCACAGGGTGGGGAGGCTTGGCTTGTCCTGATGCGATATTTATCAGTCAACACAGCCATTACCTAGTGGCTTTGTTGAGACCTGCAGAGGACTTAGGGAAACGTGGAAAACACTGAGTGCACTTTTTTTTCCTACTGAAGATATATATCAGTAAATGATTAATCAAAGAAAAATATTCTTTGAAAATAGCTCCATACACACCTTTTCATAGACTCTTAGATTTATACAGAATCCAAGAGGTCAACCAGACCAGAGATTCTCAAAGGAAACCCCTCTCATGAGGGAGGTTTTGTTGTTGTTGTTTAACAGCTAGACATATTTAGGTGAAATATTGAAATAAGCATTACATTTCCTCTCATTGCTGAAACCATGAAAGAATATGTCTTTTGTCATCAAAGTAATAATTTTAACATGCAAAAATCGATTTTTATTATTACTTTTTTAGGTAAAGGTTATATTTGAAAATAAGTTTATATAGACTTCAAACAGCCTAGACTCAAAAGGAAGTGAAATTCATTGAAATACCACTACAGCTACATTGTATGCTGCTGGTATACTCATATTCACAGTTTATAACACACAAAATAACCTAAACTCTTAAGATCAGCTCTAAAACAGATGGATTTCCATTAACATATCCACTAGTTATGCATGTTCTGCAATAGGAGGAAAGACAGATATACAAGATTTTTCTGTAAAGAACTGACTCAACATTTCAATAGCACTTTCAGTTAAACTAAATTGGAAACTAATGTTCTGAGTAACCAAAATACAAGGTCAGTTCTCCAGCTGAGACTAAACATTAGAGAATACATTGGAAGACTTAAGAGAATATAGGGCACACTCTGTGGTGATTTATTTTAAAAATATTTAAAAATATAATTCTCAGGTTTATGACTGAAGAACGAATTTTGATCCAGCCAAAAAATCTATATTCAGAGGTACTAAAGCAAGTAACACCGCCATCAAGGGTTGTTCATAGGAACTGTGGAGAAGTTGATCCATACGTTCTCTCTAAAATCTCCTTTGATGGAAAGTTTACGGAACAGCACTATTTGCAAAACACAAAAAGTACCAGCTTCATATTTAGATAAAATGACATTACCACCATCACTGTTCTGATATGTTTTTATTTGGAGAGATGGAGAGAGTTCTCAAAACAGACTCACAGCTTGCAAGTAGTGACACCATAACAAAAGTCTGGAGAGACACACGCCACGAAATAATTCTTAAGTAATGCGAGATTTTTTTATTTGTCCTCTGTGGGAGAGATGGTGCAAATTGGACACATTCAGGAAAACTAAAAAATAAGAAAGTAAAACAGCATCCCTTTTCATATCAGTCAGATTAGTTGAAGTTCAATTTTGTCAATCACAACAAAAATGGTACATAGATGTGGACATAATATCCAGTTTTTGCAAGAGTGGGAGAAATAGTGTGAGCACTAGCCATTAGTGAAAGGGAAAAGCTCTCTGATTTTCTCAGAGGAGAATGTGGTAATGATTGTCCAAGTTTAAAATATGCAAACACTGAAGTTTTGACTCTATATTTTATACTCTATCCTGAAGATACCCATAAGATTGTGTATATCAGTAATTAACCCATTAATTGGTTGATGAAGTATCATATTATACAAACATGATGTGAAACTAAGCAGCTGCTGAAGAAGAATGAGGAAGGTTTACATAAATTGAAGTATCTCCAGTGTAATACAATATTCAATAAGCAATACAAAATGTAAGCATTATAAATAACAAATAAGTATATAATATTACAATATTATTATATAGAGAATACTTATAAGTATATTAAGCAATATTTATATATTAAAATGCAGATATTAAAATAAACATGAGTTTTTACTGATATTTCTGACTAATCCAACACCATGGTGTTCACTTAAGCTCTTCTCTGTTGCTTATTTGCCAATTCATTCTCTGACAATAATAAAACTGAGTCCTATAATCTACTGTTTAGTTACTTACTCTTTCAACCCTAATATACATGTTAAGCTGCCTCACAACTGCTAACCATACTCCTTTGACAAAAAAAGCCAACAAAAGAGTACAGATTATACAGTTTGTTTCATCTTTGGACTAACAGTGCCCAGTCAGTAGATTGCTTTACAAAGTTACTTAGATCATCCTTTATCCCCCACCCCTTTCAGTGAGCTTTGCAATTTGGAGGAAGTAAAGTTTACAAAGTGGTGTACAGTTCAATGGGTTTTGACAAATGCATAAAATCCTGTATTCACCATCACAGTATGGTGTAGAACATATGCATTACCCTAAAATTTGCCTTGGGCAGCCTCCTTTTCATAAACCTTTCTCTGTCCCCCAGATTCTGACAACCTGTGCCTCTCTATCCTTTCTTAGAATGTCATGTGCATGGAGTGATACAATATAGCTTTGCGGGGCTGGATTCTTTCACTTTGCATTGAATGTTCATTCATGTTGTTGAGTGAATAAAAAGGCAACCTACATAATGAAATAACTTATTTACAAAGCATATATTCGAAACACATTAATGTCCAAAATATATAAGGAACCTACACAACTAAATAGTAAAAAAAAAAAAAAAAGGGATCTGATGAAAAAACGGGCAACGGCCTGCAAATGGCCAGTAGGTATATGAAAAGGTGCTCAACATCACTAATTATTAGGGAAGTTCAAATCAAAGCCACAGTGAGATATCACCTCACACCTACGTAAGACGGCTATTATCAAAAAGATGAAAGGTTAAAAGTGTTGGCAAAGATGTTGAAAAAAGAGAACCTGGAGTATTTCCCAAGACGGTCGAATAGGAACAACTCCGGTCTGCAGCTCCCAGCATGATCGATGTGGAAGACGGGTGATTTCTGCATTTCCCACTGAGCTTTGAAGAGAGCAGTGGTTCTCCCAGCATGGCGTTTGAGCTCTGAGAACAGACAGACTGCCTTCTCAAGTGGGTCCCTGACCCCTGTGTAGCCTAACTGGGAGACACCTCCCAGTAGGGGCCGACAGACACCTCATACAGGTGGGTGCCCCTCTGGGACGAAGCTTCCAGAGGAAGGATCAGGCAGCAATATTTGCTGTTCTGCAATATTTGCTGTTCTTCAGCTTCTGCTGGTGATACCCAGGCAAACAGGGTCTGGAGTGGACCTCCAGCAAACTCCAACAGACCTGCAGCTGAGGGACCTGACTGTTAGAAGGAAAACTAACAGAAAGGAATAACATCAACATCAACAAAAAGGACATCCACACCAAAACCCCATCTGTAGGTCACCAACATCAAAGACCAAAGATAGATAAAACCACAAAGATGAGGAGAAACAAGAGCAGAAAAGCAGAAAATTTCTAAACACCAGAGCACCTCTTCTCCTCCAAAGGATCGCAGCTCCTCGCCAACAACAGAACAAAGCTGGATGGAGAATGACTTTGACGAGTTAACAGAAGTAGGCTTCAGAAGGTCAGTAATAACAAACTTCTCTGAGCTAAAGGAGCATGTTCTAACCCATCGCAAGGAAGCTAAAAACCTTGAAAAAAGGTTAGACGAATGGCTAACTATAATAAACAGTCTAGAGAAGACCTTAAATGACCTGATGGAGCTGAAAACCATGGCATGAGAACTTCGTGACACATGCACAAGCTTCAATAGCCGATTTGATCAAGTGGAAGAAAGGATATCAGTGATTGAAGATCAAAAAATGAAATAAAGTGAGAAGAGAAATTTAGAGAAAAAAGAGTAAAAAGAAATGAACAAAGCCACCAAGAAATATGGGACTGTGTGAAAAGACCAAATCTACATTTGATTGGTGTACCTGAAAGCGATGGGGAGAATGGAACCAAGTTGGAAAACACTTTTCAGGATATTATCCAGGAGAACTTCCCCAACCTAGCAAGGCAGGTCAACATTCAAATTCAGGAAATACAGAAAACACCACAAAGATATTCCTCGAGAAGAGCAACCCCAGGACACATAATTGTCAGGTTCACCAAGGTTGAAATGAAGGAAAAAGTGTTAAGGGCAGCCAGAGAGAAAGGTCAGGTAAGGGAAGCCCATCAGACTAACAGCGGATCTCTCCGCAGAAACCCTGCAAGCCAGAAGAGAGTAGGGGCCAATATTCAACATTCTTAAAGAAAAGAATTTTCAACCCAGAATTTCATATCCAGCCAAACTAAGCTTCATAAGTGAAGAAGAAATAAAATCCTTTACAGACAAGCAAATGCTAAGAGATTTTGTCACCACCAGGCCTGCCTTACAAGAGCTCCTGAAGGAAGCACTAAACATGGAAAGAAGTAACGAGCACCAGCCACTGCAAAAACATGCCAAATGGTAAAGACCATCGATGCTATGATGAAACTGCATCAATTAACAGGCAAAATAACCAGCTAACATGATAATGACAGGATCAAATTCACACATAACAGTATTAACCTTAAATGTAAATGGGCTAAATGCCACAATTAAAAGACACAGGCTGGCAAATTGGATAAAGAGTCAAGATCCATCAGTGTGTTGTATTCAGAAGACCCATCTCACACGCAGAGACACACATAGGCTCAAAATAAAGGGATGGAGGAAGATCTACCAAGCAAATGGAAAGCCAAAAACAAAAACAAAAACAAAAACAAAAACCAAAAATAAAACAGGGGTTGCAATCCTAGTCTCTGATAATACAGGCTTTAAACCAACAAAGATCAAAAGAGACAAAGAAGGCCATTACATAATGCTAAAGGGATCAATTCAACAAGAGCTAACTATCCTAAATATATATGCACCCTATACAGGAGCACCCAGATTCATAAAGCAAGTCCTTAGAGACCTACAAAGAAACTTAGACTCACACAATAATAATGGGAGATTTTAACACCCCACTGTCAATATTAGACAGATCAATGAGTCAGAAGGTTAACAAGGATATTCAGGACGTGAACTCAGCTCTGCACCAAGCAGACCTAATAGACATCTACAGAACTCTCCACCCCAAATCAACAGAATATACATTCTCCCCAGCACCACATCCCACTTATCCTAAAATCGACTGCGTAATTGGAAATAAAGCACTCCTCAGCAAAAGTAAAAGAACAGAAATCACAAAAAACTGTCTCTCAGACCACAATGCAATCAAATTAGAACTCAGGATTGAGAAACTCACTCAAAACCGCACAGCTACATGGAAACTGAACAACCTGCTCCTGAATGACTACTGGATACATAATGAAATGAAGGCAGAAATAAAGATATTCTTTGAAACTAATGAGAACAAAGACACAACATACCAGAATCTCTGGGACACATTTAAAGCAGTGTGTAGAGGGAAATTTATAGCACTAAATGGCCACAAGAGAAAGCAGGAAAGATATAAAATTAACTTCCTAACATCACAATTAAAAGAGCTAGAGAAGCAAGAGCAAACAAATTCAAAAGCTAGCAGAAGGCAAGAAATAACTAAGATCAAAGCAGAACTGAAGGAGATAGGGACACGAAAAACCCTTCAAGAAATCAATGAATCCAGGAGCTGGTTTTTGAAAAGATCAACAAAATAGATAGACTGCTAGCAAGACTAATAAAGAAAAAAAGAGAGAAGAATCAAATAGACACAATAAAAAGTGATAAAGGGGATATGACCACCGATCCCACAGAAATACAAACTACCACCAGATAATACTATAAACACCTCTACACAAATAGCCTAGAAAATCTAGAAGAAATGGATAAATTCGTGGACACATACACCTTCCCAAGACTAAACCAGGAAGAAGTTGAATCTCTGAATAGACCAGTAACAGGCTCTGAAATTGAGGCAATAATTAACAGCCTACTAACCAAAAAAAGTCCAGGACCACAGGGATTCCAGACGAATTCACCAGAGGTACAAAAATGAGCTGCTACCATTCCTTCTGAAATGATTCCAATCAATAGAAAAAGAGGGAATCCTCTATAACTCATTTTATGAGGCCAGCATCATCCTGATACCAAAGCCTGGTAGAGACACTACAAAGAAAGAGAATTTTAGACGAATATCCCTGATGAACATTGATGCAAAAATCCTCAATAAAATACTGGCAAACTGAATTCTGCAGTACATCAAAAAGCTTATCCACCACGATCAAGTCAGCTTCATCCTTGGGATGCAAGGCTGGTTCAACATATGCAAATCAATAAACCTACTCCATCACATAAACAGATCCAATGACAAAAACCACATGATTATCTCAATAGATGCAGAAAAGGCCTTCGACAAAATTCAACAACCCTTCATGCTAAAATCTCTAAATAAACTAGGTATTGATGGAATGTACCTCAAAATAATAAGAGCCATTTATGACAAACCCACAGCCAAATTCATACTGAATGGGCAAAAACTGAAAGCATTCCCTTTCAAAACCGGCATAAGAAAAGGATGCCCTCTCTCACCACTCCTATTCAACATAGTGTTGGAAGTTCTGGCCAGGGCAATCAGGCAAGAGAAAGAAAAAAAGGGTATTCAATTAGGAAAAGAGGAAGTCAAATTGTCCCTGTTTGCAGATGACAAAACCTCCTTAAACTGACAAGTAACTTCAGCAAAGTCTCAGGATACAAAATCGATGTGGAAAATTCACAAGCATTCCTATACAGCAATAACAGACAAACAGAAAGCCAAATCATGAATGAACTCCCATTCACAATTGCTACAAAGATAATAAAATACATAGGAATCCAACATACAAGGGATGTGAAAAACCTCTTCAAGGAGAACTACAAACCACTGCTCAACAAAATAAAAGAGGATACAAACAAATGGAAGAACATTCCATGCTCATGGATAGGAAGAATCAATATCGTGAAAATGGCCATACTGCCTAAGGTAATTTATAGATTCAATGCCATCCCCATCAAGCTGCCAATGACTTTCTTCACAGAACTGCAAAAAACTACTTTAAAGTTCATATGGAACCAAAAAAGAGCCCGTATTGCCAAGACAATCCTAATCAAAAAGAACAAAGTTGGAGGCATCCATCACACTACCTGACTTCAAAGTATACTACAAGGCTACAGTAACCAAAACAACAAGGTGCTGGTACCAAAACAGGTATATAGACCAATGGAACAGAACAGAGGCCTCAGAAATAACACCATACATCTACAATCATCTGATCTTTCACAAACTGACAAAAACTAGAAATGGGGCAAGGATTCCCTATTTAATAAATGGTGCTGGAAAAAACTGCCTAGCCATATATAGAAAGCTGAAACTAGATCCCTTCTTTTCATCTTATACAAAAATTAATTCAAGATGGATTAAAGACTTAAATGTTAGACCTAAAACCATAAAAACCCTAGAAGAAAACCTAGACAATACCATTCAGGACATAGGCATGGGCAAGGACTTCATAACTAGAACACAAAAAGCAATGGCAACAAAAGCCAAAATAGACAAATGAGATCTAATTAAACGAAAGAGCTTCTGCACGGCAAAAGAAACTACCATCAGAGTGAACAGGCAACCTACAGAATGGGAGAAAATCTTTGCAATCTACCCATCTGACAAAGGGCTAATATCCAGAATCTACAAGGAACTTAAACAAATTTGCAAGAAAGAAAATAACCCCATCAAAAAGTGGGCAAAGGATATGAACAGACACTTCTCAAAAGAAGATGTTTATGCAGCCAATAGACACATGAAAAATGCTCATCATCTGAGTTCATGTCCTTTGTAGGGACATGGATGAAGCTGGAAACCATCATTCTCAGCAAACTATCGCAAGGACAAAAAACCAAACACCGCATGTTCTCACTCATAGGTGGGAATTGAACAATGAGAACACATGGACACAGGAAGGGGAACATCACACACCGGGGACTGTTGTGGGGTGGGGGGAGGGGGGAGGGAGAGCATTAGGAGATATACCTAATGCTAAATAACGAGTTAATGGGTGCAGCACACCAACATGGCACATGTATACATATGTAACAAACCTGCACGTTGTGCACATGTATCCTAAAACTTAAAGTATAATAATAAAAAAAAAAAGTAACATTTCCCAGCTTGCCTCTCACCTGGATGTGGTCAGGTGACTAAGTTCTGGCTAATAGAAAAGGTTTGAAATTTTCATGTGGTAGATTCCAGAAATCTTCCTTGAGAGACACTGGCATATTCTTATGGTTCCCACGCTCCTCCTACCATCCCATTTTTTCCATCCTGCTGCATGGGACATAGATATGATAGCTGGAGCTACATAATGGACCATAAGAATGAAGACCACACCCTAAAGATGGTGAAATCTGAAAGTGAAAGGAGGTGGGACCTTGAATAACTTAGGGAGCTGTCTTACCAGCCCTGAACTTTCTACCTCTACTTTTTATGTAATAAATAAGCTTTTTTACATCCTTGTTACTTAGAGTGTGGTCCTCAACCCACCAGCATCATCAGTATTCCTTGCAACCTTGTCAGAACTGCAGATTTTCAGGCCCCATCCTGACGCATTGAATGACAATCTGCATTTTAACAATCCCCAGCTAATCCCTATGCTCAGTAAACTCGGAAAGGAATTAGTTTAAACCACTGTTATTTTATATGTCTCCTTATAGCTGATCATTGTCTTCACTGATAACAATGTTTTATTTCATCTGTTCAAATAAGTGGATAGTTGAACAATTCCTGAGATTTAAAAAAAGAAAAAAGAAAAAGAAAAATTCTCATCATCACTGGTCATCAGAGAAATGCAAATCAAAACCACAATGAGATACCGTCTCACGCCAGTTAGAATGGCAATCATTAAAAAGTCAGGAAGGCCGGGCGCGGTGGCTCACGCCTGTAATCCCAGCACTTCGGGAGGCTGAGGCGGGTGGATCACGAGGTCAGGAGATCGAGACCATCCTGGCTAACACGGTGAAACTCCGTCTCTACTAAAAATACAAAAAATTAGCTGGGCGTGGTGGCGGGCACCTGTAGTCCCAGCTACTTAGGTGGCTGAGGCAGGAGAATGGCGTGAACCCAGGAGGCAGAGCTTGCAGAGAGCAGAGATTGCGCCACTGCACTCCAGCCTGGGCGACAGAGTGAGACTCTGTCTCAAAAAAAAAAAAAAAGAAAAGTCAGGAAACAACAGATGCTGGAGAGGATGTGGAGAAATGAGATTGCTTTTACACTGTTGGTGGGAGTGTAAATTAGTTCAACCGTTGTGGAAGACAGCGTGGTGATTCCTCAAGGTTCTAGAACTGGAATTATCATTTGACCCAGCAATCCCATTACTGGGTATATACCCAAAGGATTATAAATCATACTACTATAGAGACACATGCACATGTATGTTTATTGCAGCACTATTCACAATAGCAAAGACTTGGAACCAACCCAAATGTCCATCAATGATAGAGTAGATTAAGAAAATGTGGCACATATACACCATGGAATACTGTGCAGCCATAAAAAAGGATGAATTCATGTCCTTTGCAGGGACATGGATGAAGCTGGAAACTATCATTCTCAGCAAACTAACACAGGAACAGAAAACCAAACACTGCATGTTCTCACTCATAGGTGGGAATTGAACAATGAGAACACTTGGACACAGGGCAGGGAACATCACACACAGGGGCCTGTCAGGGGGTGGGGGTTGGGGAAGGGGTAGCATTAGGAGAAATACCTAATGTAAATGACGAGTTGATGGGTGCAGCAAACCAACATGGCACATGTATACATATGTAACAAACCTGCACGTTGTGCACATGTACCCTAGAACTTAAAGTATAATTTAAAAAAAGAATTTAAAAAAGGAGAACCTTTGCACACTGTTCTTTGGACTGTAAATTGGCATAGCTATTATGAAAAACAGTATGGAAGTTACTCAAAAATATAAAACTGCCACATGATCCAGCCATACCACTTTTGGGTATATACCCAGAGGAAATGAAATCCAGATCTCAAAGGGATATCTGCACTTCCATGTTTACTGCAGCATTATTCACAATAGCCAAACCTGGAATCAACCCAAGTGTCCATCAACAGATAAATGTATAAAGAAATGGTAGTATATATGCACAATGGAATACTGTTCAGCCTTAAGGAGGTGATCTGCCATTTGCCACACATGGATAATCCTGAGGAAATTATGCTAAGTGAAATAAGCCAAACATAGAAAGACAAGTAGTGCATGATGTTACATATGTACGGAATTTTTAAATGTCAAACGCATAGAAGCAGAGAGTAGAATGTCAGTTACCAGAGGCTGATGGGTAGAGAAAATGGGAAGATCAAAAGAAAAAGAAAAAAAAAAGAAACCTTACTGGCATTTTGACTGGTATTACATTAAATCTGTAGACCACATCAAATTGAAAGAAAATGACATCTTAATGATCTTAAATCTTCCAATCTATTTATTTAGATTTTATTTGGTATTTTCATCAATGTCTTTGGTATCTTGTATTTTTATTTTTATTTAGTTAAAAATATATTTAAATTTTTTTTTCCTGACTCCTCTTCTTAGATCCATGGGTAATTTGGAAGTGTATCTCTCATTCTCAAAGTAAGTGATACATTTCATATATCATTTTGTTATTGATTCATTAGGAATTTTGTTATTTCTTCTAGTTTAATCCCTTTCTAGTCTGAGAACACACATTGTGTGATTTCTTTTCTATTTGTCAAACTGTGTTTTACGGCCCAGAATGTGGTCTACCCAGATGATTGCTCTATATACAATTGAGGAGACTATGCATCCTACTGCTGCTGTTCAATAAAGTCTTCTGTGAAATCAATTAGATCAAGTTGGTTAAGAGTGATCTTCCTATATTATATTGTGTAATCCATATCCTACTGGTTTTTTGTTTGTTTGTTTTGCCAACTTGTTCTTTTAATTATTGAGACAGGAATGTTGAGGTATCCAAATATGATTGTGAATTTAACTATTTCTCCTTTCAGTTCTATTAGTTTTTGTCTCATGTATTTTGAAGCTCTTTTGTTAGGTTCATACACATTTAGAGTTACTATGACTTCTTGAAAAATTGACTGGTATTGCTATGCCATGTCCCTCTTCATCCTTGATATCTCTTAATGCCCTCCTTGCTTTCTTTTCCTATTCATCTTTTTCATGCTTGCTGGTATGGTGTTGGGATCAGGGAGAGGGTACTTCCTCTGTGGTTCTGATGAAGCCTCAGTGTTCAGCAGGCACTGAGGACCTTGCCTTCATGATTTGGCCCTCATAAATGTTCTTGAGCCTCATCAGGATGTAATGCTGGGACTATCATGGTATCCTGGCACCCTTCAGAGGCAGAGCTTTATTTCCCAGTTTTCCTCCCTGAGCTGAAGGAATTTCCAGCAGTGCCTACTGGCTCCAGTCTTGTTGCCATTCCCTGCAGTCCTTAAAGCAGATAGAAGATACAGTTCTTTGTGGAGTTTTGACAGTGGCTGCTGTTTTGCTCCATCAGGGAGCACCACAATGGGAAGTTGCTCATGATTTCCTGATATTCCCACCTTTTGGGATCCCTGAAATAAAAGCATGCCAATGTGTATGGGGAGTTGGGGACAGGGGAGGGTTAAGTCTCCGTTGCCTGAAACCCCCAGGACTTTAACCACTCATGCCAGCCTATACTCCATCTTAAGCAGTTCATTAAAAATGTCTAGCCCAATCTTCTTACCTTTTTTTTTTTTTTTTTTGAGATGGAGTCTCTGTCACCCAGGCTTGAGTGCAGTGGCACAA
Source organism: Homo sapiens (assembly GCF_000001405.40). Classification (NCBI taxonomy): domain Eukaryota; kingdom Metazoa; phylum Chordata; class Mammalia; order Primates; family Hominidae; genus Homo; species Homo sapiens. The sequence continues at coordinate 46,333,071 of NC_000007.14, read as the reverse complement.
TGTTGACTCACTGCAACCTCCGTCTCCCAGGTTCAAGTGATTCTCATGTCTCAGCCTCCCAAGTAGCTGGAATTACAGGCCTGTACCACCACACCTGGATAATTTTTATTTTTGGTAGAGACAAGTTTTCACTATGTTAGCCAGGCTGGTTTCAAACTCCTGATCTCAGGTAATAGGCCCGCCTCAGCTTCCCATAGTGCTGGGATTACAGGTGTGAGCCACTGTGTCCAGCCTTCTTACTATTTTATATGGCCTTTGGTAGCATATGCTATAAGTCCTGCCTCTCCCTGCAGGCACCTGTCTCTTTCCATTTTTCATGTTAGTTGTTTACCCTATGATCTCAGTTCTTTCATGAGTTCAAGAAAAGCCTTTAATTTGCAGACTATCTTGGATTCTTTTTTTCTTTTAAGACTAGAAGTGACACTCTTTTCAGTTCTCTAACTCTCTCCACTGGAAGCTCACACCTCTATGTGATATATCACATAAACAGAATTAAAAACAAAAATCATATGATTACCTCAATAGATGCAAAAAGAGCATTTGACAAAATATAGCATACCTTTATAATAAAAACCCTCAACAAAATTGGCATAGAAGGGACACACCTCAAAGTAATAAATGCCATCTATGACAAACCCACAGCCAACATATAGTACTGGAAGTCCTAGCCAGAGCAATCAAACAAGGGAAAGGGCACCCAAATTGGAAAAGAGAAAGTCAAACTAGTTGTTGTTCACCAATGACATGATTGTATACTTTGAAAACCTTTAAAAAAGGCTCCTAGATCTGATAAATAAATTCAATAAAAGTTTCAGGATACAAAATCAATGTACACAAATCAGTAGCTCTGCGATACACCAACAACGACCAAACTGACAATCAAATTAAGAACACAATCCCTTTTACAACAGCTGCCAAAAACAAAACAAAACAAACAAACAAAAACCCTTAGGAATATACTTACTCAAGGAGGTAAAAGATCACTACAAGGAAAGCTACAAAACACTGCTGAAAGACATCATAGATGTCATAAACAAATGGAAACACATCCCATGCTCATGGATGGGTAGAATCAATATTGTGAAAATGACTATACTGCTGATAGCCATCTACAGATTAAATATAATTTTCATCAGAATATTACCATCAGCCCTTACAGAACTAGAAAAAACAATCCTAAATTCATATGGAACAAAAAAGAGTCTACATAGCCAAAACAATACTAAGCAAAAAGAACAAAGCTGGAGGCGTTACATTACCTGACTTCCAACAAGGCTATAGTTGCCAAAACAGCATGGTACTGGTATAAAAATAGGCACATAGACCAATGCAATAGAATAGATAATCCAGAAGTAAAGCCAAATACTTACAGCCGACTGATCTTTGGCACATCATACAAAAACATAAAGTGGGGGAAAAGACACCTTATTCAATAAATAGTGCTGAAATAATTGGCTAGCCACATATAGGAGAAAAAACTGGGTCCTTGTCACTCACCTTAAACAGAAATCAACTCAAGATGGATCAAAGACTTAAACCCAAGACCTGCAACCATAAAAATTTTAGAAGATAACATTGGAAAAACTCTTCTAGACATTGGATTAGGCAAAGAATTTATGACCAAGAATCCAAATGTAAATGTAACAAAATAAAAAGCATCTACACAGCAAGAGATAATCAACAGAATAAACAGTCAACCCACAGATTAGGACAAAATCTTCACAAACTATGCATCCAACAAAAGATAATATCCAGAATCTACAAGGAACTCAAACAAATCAGCAAAAGTAAAAACAAATAATCCCATCAAAAAGTGGGCAAAGGGGCCGGGCATGGTGGCTCACACCTGTAATCCCAGAACTTTGGGAGGCCAAAGTGAGTGGATCACCTGAGGTCAGGAGTTCAAGACCAGCCTGGCCAACATGGTGAATCCCTGTCTCTACCAAAAATACAAAATTAGCTGGGTATGGTGGCACATGCCTGTAATCCCAGCTACTTGGGAGGCTGAGGCAGGAGAATTGTTTGAACCTGGGAGGCAGAGGTTGCAGTAAGCCCAGATGGTGCCATCGCACTCCAGCCTGGGCAACAAGAGTGAAACTCCATCTCGAAAAAAAAAAAAAAGTGGGCAAAGGACATGAATAGACAATTCCAAAAGAAGATACACAAACAGCCAACAAATGTGTAAAAAAATGCTCAACATCACTATCAGGGAAATGCAAATTAAAACAATGAGATACCCCTGCAAGAATGGCCATAATTAAAAAATCAAAAAATAATAAATGTTGACGTGGATGTGGTGAAAATGGAACACTTTTTACACTGCTGGTGAGAATGTAAAATAGCGCAAGCACTATGGAAAAACTAGAGAGTCCTTAAAGAACTAAAAGTAGAACTACCATTTGATTCAGCAATGCCACTACTGGGTATCTACCCAAAGGAAAATAAGTCATATGAAAAATACACATGCACAGTCATGTTTATAGCAGCACAATTTACAATTGCAAAAACATAGAACCAGCCTAAATGCCCAACAGCCAACAAGTGGATAAAGAAAATGTGGTATATTTAAACCATGGGGCCAGGCGCAGTGGCTCATGCTTGTAATCCCAGCACTTTGGGAGGCCAAGGCAGGCAGATCACCTGAGGTCAGGAGTTTGAGACCAGCCTGACCAACATGGTGAAACCCCGTCTCTGCGCTAAAGATACAAAAAAAAAAAAAATTAGCGGGATGTGATGGCGTGCACCTGTAATCCCAACTACTCAGGAGACTGAGTCAGGAGAATCACTTGAACCCAGGAGGGGGAGGTTACTGTGAGCAGAGATGGCGCCATTGCTCTCCAGCCTGGGCCACAGGGCGAGACTCCGTCTCAAAAAACAAACAAACAAACAAACAAACGAACACCAGTGAGGAACACAGAACTTCATGCCTCAGCGTCTCTATTTCTATGGGCTTTTCTGTGAGGTTACACGGGGAAGGTAATGAACGCCATGCGACTTTAGAAAACCTCAAGGGCCCTGTCACCTAAATAATTGCTCTGGGTAGCATTCTAGGCTAGTGCAATAGATTCTGGGTACACATAGCCTTCCATTTAAGAACACATTAACAGGAGTTGTGTCTATGTACATTCAAATGCCAGTTTAGCACAACCATTATTTTAATATCTCCAGTACATTGTATGTGTGTCTCAAGCAAATAACAACAAAAGCAACAGCAAACTTGTGCTTGAATGTTTTTTAAAAACAGAAATTTCTTCATGTTTAATTGTATAACTTGGTTTTAGAAATTTAAACACAGATAAATGAATACAGATAAACAAAAAAATGAAGTCTCCTGCTCAGATGTAATTGACCATTTTCAGTTTTGTTTGAATCTTTTACTGGGCCTGAGTCTCACATCTTATAATACTGTATTTGTATAGGTCCTTCAGATGTGTAGAACAATTTATTAAGAATATTTTAAAGTATCAACCTACTATTTGACAGTCATGGCAATAGTGAATGGGAATTAAAGGAAAAAAAAGAAGTAAGCAAAGGAAGCGAAGAGGAAAGGGAAAAAGAAAGGAAATAAAAGGAAAAGGGAAATACAAGAAAAGAGATCAAATAAATAAATAAGCGACTGAAAGTCTGGGGGTTGGCAGATACACATTCAGACAAAACTGACAAAATAGGCCTCTCACTAAAAATAGAATGCACAAAGTACAGGAGCAGCCTGCCTGTCCTGAGAGGCTAGAGAGGTTTAAGAAAAGAGGCTGGGGAGATTTGAGACAGATCTTGAAGTATGTAGTCAGCTTTTGCTTGTTGGAGAAAGTAATCATGGGTGATTCAGAAAAAGGAAGATACTTACATAATAAATAATGGTTTAATACCTATTTTTGGTCTTCTATTACTTTCATAAAATTAATTATCTTTGCATTGAAAGTTATTAACACTTTCAGGACTCCGTGTATGCAAAATTCTTTGAATTGCATATCTTAATTTGTGTCGCACTGGTAATTTATCTAGCACAATGAATTGAGTGTGTGTCGTTATGTTTAAAGGGAAAAATAAAATTTAAAACGAATATTTGATATAATTTATGATTAGATAATAGAGAAATATCAATTTTAATATAATTTTTAGAAAGTAAAGCTTAATGAAAACTTCTTATTAGTGCAACTACTAAAAAAATACAATGACTCTAAACTCATATCTTACCACCCAGTAGGAGATGTATATCAGAATTTAAGCAGTAGAGAAATTGTTTTTAATTTTTTTTTATTTTTACTTATCAAAAAAGCATATGAGCTAAAAATATCAAGGCTTGCTAAAATGTACAAATCTCACCACAACTTTACCACACAGTTTTGTTGTGGGTTTTGCTATTTTAAAATACAAAACAATTCTTCAATATAACTCATAATAATTTAAGTATCAGCAATACTTTGTTATTTACATTAATAAATTCTGCTTCTTTTTGTGAGATTAATCACTCCATAGCCTTTGCCAGTCTGTTTCTGGGCATTTTACTATTTCTGTACTCAAATTTGTAATTGCCCTTTATCTATCCTTCTTAATGTTCTGACTAAGAACATTTTTTAAAAAAATATAATTTAAAAAAATAAATGTAACACTTAATTCAATGTAATACTTCTAAATAAACATATATATATATATATATATATATATAATATATAGTCAAGTTCATTAGGAATATATGTGTGATTTTTCAAATTTCTTTTTTTTGTTTTTGTGAGACGGAGTCTTACTCTCTCGCCCAGGCTGGAGTGCGGGGGCGCGATCTCGACTCACTGCAAGCTCTGCCTCCCGAGTTCACGCCATTCTCCTGCCTCAGCCTCTGGAGTAGCTGGGACTACAGGCGCCTGCCACGACGCCTGGCTAATTTTTTGTATTTTTAGTAGAGACGGGGTTTCACCATGTTAGCCAGGATGGTCTTGATCTCCTGGACCTTGTGATCCGCCCTCCTCAGCCTCCCAAAGTGCTGGGATTACAGGCGTGAGCCACTGCGCCCAGCCTCAAATTTCTTTAATGTCCAAAAAGGTATCTCACTGTATGTATGTTTTCTGGTGGGTTTTAATGTAGACATTATTTATTATTCTTTTTTCCTTACACTAGTGCTTCTCAAATTATCTGTGATAAAGAAACAGAAGTATTTTTGTTTTGTTTTGTTTTATTTAAAAAAATTTTTATTTTAGTTTCAGGGGTACATGTTCAGGTTTGCTACACAGGTAAACTTGTGTCATGCAGGTTTGTTGTACAGATTATTTTGTCACCTGGGCACTAAGCTTAGCAGCCTAGTACCCAATTGTTTCTGTTTTTAATTTCTTATTTGATGTAGACTGATATTTACTTTTTATAAGATAAAGTGCCAAATTGCTACAGAAGTTTGTAACCACTTTCCATTTCTGTATTTGTCTTGTCACTGAGAACAAATCCTTGGCACCAGCCAAGCAGGCTCCTGACCAATTGCACAGGGGAGCGTCCTGCCGGCTCCTTGCTTCTTGTTAGCGTTCCACTCACTAGACAAGTGCCTGAACCACCTGCTTCTCTTGTCTATTGATATTCAAGCAAAATCTCAATGCAAAAAAAAAAAAAAAGAATCCATGAAGTAATTAGAGAAGAGAAATTGTTCTTTTTGCATATATCCTAAAATATCTTCCTTCAAAATGTCAAAAATTCTATTACCAGAAATGTTCTGATTTTCCTAGAATGCAAGAATTCCTGGGAGAACATCTTGCAGTGCTCTTTCATCCTCACTGGCTCATTTTATTTAAAAAAAAAAAAGTTTATGTCGGCAGGAGATAATTTTTTATCCCCATTTTACAGACAATAAAACTGACTTACCAGTAGCTTGTCCAATGTCTTAAAAATAGCAAACACCGGGCCGGGCGCGGTGGCTCACGCCTGTAATCCCAGCACTTTGGGAGGCCGAGGCGGGCGGATCACGAGGTCAGGAGATCGAGACCATCCCGGCTAAAACGGTGAAACCCCGTCTCTACTAAAAATACAAAAAAAACTAGCCGGGCGTAGTGGCGGGCGCCTGTAGTCCCAGCTACTTGGGAGGCTGAGGCAGGAGAATGGCGTGAACCCGGGAGGCGGAGCCTCCAGTGAGCCGAGATCCCGCCACTGCACTCCAGCCTGGGCGACAGAGCGAGACTCCGTCTCAAAAAAAAAAAAAAAAAAAAAAAAAATAGCAAACACCGGCCGGGCGCGGTGGCTCACGCCTGTAATCCCAGCACTTTGGGAGGCCGAGGCGGGTGGATCACGAGGTCAGGAGATCGAGACCATCCTGGCTAACAAGGTGAAACCCCGTCTCTACTAAAAATACAAAAAATTAGCCGGGCGCGGTGGCGGGCGCCTGTAGTCCCAGCTACTCGGGAGGCTGAGGCAGGAGAATGGCGTGAACCCGGGAAGCGGAGCTTGCAGTGAGCCGAGATTGCGCCACTGCAGTCCGCAGTCCGGCCTGGGCGACAGAGCGAGACTCCGTCTCAAAAAAAAAAAAAAAAAAAAATAGCAAACACCTGGGTCAGATTTTCTGTGTAGACTTTGAAAGGTTTCCCTCGCTGGTGCCAATCGAAGTCAAGATGGCAAATTTTGGTTTCTACTTTTAAAACGCAGAAAATGTTCGGTAAACTCTAGTTTCCATAAGAATACAAATTAATACTTTACTTTGAATGCCTGTTATTCTACACTGGACTTTATGGCTCCGATGTTTTCAATCATATAATACAAATTTGGTGCTACTACTTGTGTAGATGAAATAGCGGGAACATTTGCCAAAAATTCCTCAAAACTTATGAAATTTATTTATCAATTGTCACACAAGATGCTTAAACTGTACATTTTAGCTTTTTGGCATCTACAGCATGCACCAAACAAACAACATGTACTCTTTTTTTTTGGGGGGGGTGGGGGGACGGAGTCTCGCTCTGTCTCCCAGGCTGGAGTGCAGTGGAGCGATCTCAGCTCACTGCAAGCTCGGCCTTCCAGGTTCACGCCATTCTCCTGCCTCAGCCTCCCGAGTAGCTGGGACTACAGGCGCCCGCCACCATGCCTGGCTAATTTTTTCGTTTTTGTATTTTTAGTAGAGACGGGGTTTCACCGTGTTAGCCAGGATGGTCTCAATCTCCTGACCTCGTGATCCACCCACCTCGGCCTCCCAAAGTGCTGGGATTACAGGCGTGAGCCACCACTCCCGGCCACAACATGTACTCTTTAGAAATTCAGAGTGGTTTCGAGCAGCACGAAGCATCCTATATTTGCCTTTGAAAGTTGGCACACCCAGCGTCCTCTCTGCAACCTCATGCTTCTCAGCCTCTGACAGAGTAGATCCGTCCCTCTGTCTCAGTATCTTTCCTTATTTTCCTTCACCACAAGACAGCACTCTTGCAATTCTCCTTTTCTGTTTTTCTATCCTTCTGTCCAGCTTGATCCTTGATAGACTAGTTCTTCAGGTTGTGTTCTTCTCACCCTTCTTCTCTTTTGGGTCTCTCTCCAGATGAACTCATTCCCTCTGTTTGCTATAACTTCTCCATACCTTATAACTGACCTATATCTTTAGTTTTGACCTTTTGCCAGAGCTCAAGAGCCATAATTCATGTTGCCTGTGGACACTTCTCTTGAGATCTCCATCCAAAAAACTGAACTCATCATCTTTGCCATCTTGCTTGTCTTCCCGTGGGGCAAGCCTGAAATCTAATCCCCTCCCAGTCACATCTGCAAGAGTCATCCAAATCTAAATATCTCCAAACAAGATGATCTTCATTTAAACTGAGTTGGAGTACAAGAAGACATCCCAGGAGGAGTAGCCAGCACGATCCAAGGCAGAGATTATCTGCAATTGGCAGACAGGGTTAGCCCAAGCTCAGGGATGAACACATAACCAGAGATTTCAGAAGATAGTTGGGTAAGAAAGAGAAGTGGGGAAAAAAAATTCTCTCTCAGAAGTCTCCTGAGAACAGGGAAATTTTTACCAAAAGGTCAGGAACAAAGGTCAGGTTTCACTGGGCTAGCAAGAATAAACTACAGGGAGGTAGAAACAATTAATATAGAAATTACATATTACAAATAATTCAGTAATTTGGGATATGAAAGGGGAAGAGATGAGAGAGAGAGAAAGAATCAGAGAACTACTATGGCATAGAATATAAAAGAAGAGATTAGGAAAATTTTAGTTATATTTTAACAGAAGTTACAAAAATGAAAACCTTATGTTTTTCATCTTCATTTCCACCTCCAAAACATATTTTGAAAACCTTTCTATTTCACTAATATTTTTTCTACAATATGTGTAATAGCAACATCATATTTCATTGAACAGAGGAACCAAATATTTAATTAATTTTCAATGTTAAACATTGCATTTATTTCTAGTTCTTCCACTTAAATAATGCTGTCACAGGTAGGTTCATAAATATTACAGTAGTCTCTCTCCCTTTATCCACAGTTTGCTTTCTGTGGTTTCAGTCACTCATGATCAACTACAGTCAAAAATATTACATACAAAATATTTTGAGAGAGACCACATTCACATAATTTTTATTATAGTGTATTGTTATAATTATTCTATTTTATTATTATTTTTGTTAATATCTTAGTGTACCTAATTTATAAATTAAACTTTATCACAGGTATGTATGTATAGGAAAAAAACTTAGCATATATAAGCCTTTCAGGCATCCACTGGGGATCTGGGAACATATCTGCTGCAGATAAAAGGGATTACTTCATATCTTTAGGATATATGACAGATATAACATTATTGAATGAAAAAGAAAACAATTTCTGAGGAAGTTCAGTGTTGAAAGTTGCCCTCTTAGGAGTTTATAACAAAATGCTCTCTTAACAATAATCCTGCATTCTTTCTAATCTTGAAGTTATCAGTTAAACATGTATTTATATGCTTGATTAAAAAATATTTTTTCTGTGAGTAGAATTTTTTAGCTAAGAATGGGATTGAATATATTTTATATTTTTGTCTATTTACAACTCTGAATTTTTTTGGCATGTCCTTTGCTTGGGATTTAGAAAAAAGTAGTTTTTCTTTTTGGCTATTGATATATAAAATCACCTAAAACTAATTGCCCACTATATCAGTCAATAATCTTTTTTTCCTGTGAGTGACAGAAAAAACTAAAATATGGGTGGTTCAACCAAGACAGAAATTTAATTATTGGTTGAGGGAAGGAATTCTGAGAGAAGGCAGTTGAGTGCTCAGACGGCAGTTTCAGGGCCCAGGCATCTATCTTCCTGACCACTATCTCCAGCCTGTGGCTTCCACATGTAGGAGTCCTTCACAAGCAAACACAGCAGGCAGAGCTCCAGCCATCACATCCACCTTCCACAACATCAGCAGGAGGAAATGGAGTAGAGTGGGCAAGTGAAGAAGCAGGATAAGCCTGCCCCCTCTCTAAGTATCTTTCCTAGAATCTTCTCAGCATGCCCTTACACTTGACAGAGGTTAGCTCCAGGGCTAACCTTGAAATCTTCCATCCATTTGGAGTGTATAAAGTGTAATGTTGTACATGGTGTAATATTAACATAAATAAATAAATGTGCAAAGGTTAGCTGTTTCCCCCATGCCACTGTGACACACTTTGCCTTTTTGTGTGAGCACTCTCACCCCTGCAAGCCAGCACCCAGGGAAAGGCCACCACCCTTGTCCCACCTGGGCTCCTGGACTGCCTTCTGGTAAGTTCTCCCTGTGTCCGCTCTGGCATCTCCCTGCCAGTGATTCCCACACTCAAATTAGCGCAATCCTCTAAAAGAAAATTGAATGCTAATTCCCTGTGATAACCACACTATACTACTCTTCACACTGAGAGAGAAAAAATACCCTCCCACCCTCTGGCTTAGGAGACCCTAACTGATGAGGGCACCTGTTGGAATTCTTTCCCGGGGCCACACTGGCTTCCTGGTCACACACCCATGAGCACACCCAGCGCTGGCTCCTGTCCACATGCTCTGCTTCCCTCCATTCTCACACCTTGGCCAAGAACCCAACCCTTTCATCCAGAAGTGCTGGCTATTTTAAGGGACTTAGTACATGTTTTAGGTTTTTTTTTTTCATATAGGCCTCATATATACGAAATTTATATTTACCTATTTTATACTTCTCTGCTACTGTGAAAAGAATAATTTGTTTTCCTTATTTTATAGGTTTATGACTTCTACTTTAAAAAGTTATTTCTTTGTATATTTATTTTTAACTAACAACATTTTACTGCATTCAATTATTAGTTGTAGTAGTTTTCTAATTTTTCTCCACCGTTTTCCAGAGAACCACGATATCATCTGCAAGTAATAATAACCTTATTTCCTCTTCTTTTGGACTGTAGTTCGTTTAGTTATTGCTATAGTGTTTTATTTCATTTCTGGTGTTGAAAATAGTGCTGATGGGAGATTCCTTCTGCTGTCTCACTTGCAATATGAACGCATCGGATGCTGCATGGTTGCTTTAGACAGCGAACAAAATGGAATGCAGAAAGAGCGCTCTATTCCTAATTTTCTAAGTTATTGTCTAAAATAGCCCCTGACTCAAGATAGTGAAGCCTTGAACCCTAGAAACAATGTTTTATGTGAAGCCAAAAGTGTTGTTTGTTTGGTTGGTTTTCTTTTCTTTTCTTTTTTTTTTTTTTTTGAGACGGAGTCTAGCTCTGTTGCCAGGCTGGAGTACAGTGGGGCAATCTTGGCTCACTGCAGCCTCTGCCTCCCGGATTCAAGTGATTCTCCTGCCTCAGCCTCCCGAGCAGCTGTGATTACAGGCACATGCCGCCCTGCCCAGCTAATTTTTGTATTTTTAGTAGAGACGGGTTTTCACCATGTTGGCCAGGATGGTCTCGATCTCCTTACTTCCCTCGTGATCCGCCTACCTTGGCCTCCCAAAGTACTGGGCTTATAGGCGTGAGCCACCGCGCCCAGCCATGAAGCCAAAAGTTTTAAGCATTGATGTTCCTTCATGTCTGTTTTAGATAGTCTCTCTTCTACAGCTGCAATCGTCTGCGTCATGTCCACAGTGCGTCAGCCCTCACCAGATCTTTAGCCATTCTTAACTGATCTTTCTAGGAACTGCCTAAGCATTAGTGAAAATATTTTTATTCCCTCAAGTAGGCTATCAGGGATAGTAGCTTTTTACAAAATGTACGTCATGGGCAGTTAAAAGGTGTTTCCTGAGAAAAGAATGCAATGGTAAAACAAATTCCAGAAATGCTAGGTGAAACAGCCTTAAATTGTTCTTTTTTAAAATTACAGAAATCCTTAGAGCTTTCCATTGTCGATGTTCATGTGAGTCATCAAAAAGGAAATGGTATATGGGCCTCATTCCCACACACCATGAGACAAAGGTCAGCTTTTTTTTTTTTTACATAGGGTTTTACTCTGTCGCCCAGGCTGGAGTGCAGGGAAATGATCATAGCTTACTGCATCCTCCACCTCCCACACTCTGGTGCTCCTCCCATTTCAGCCTCCCAAGTAGCTGGAACTACAGGCGAATTCGACCACAACCAGCCAATTTTTACATGTTTTATAAGAGATGAGGTCTTGCTATATTGCCCAGGCTGGTCTCAAAGTACTGGGCTTAAGCAATACCTCCTTCTCTACTTCCAAAAATGCTGGGACTAGAGGCATGAGCCACTGCACCCACCAAAGGGCATCTTACATACATTCACTCCCAACATCTGATGTGGCGAAATTGACTTTGAAACTTTAATAAAATGTAGGAAGAGGGGAAGGTGACTTACATTTATGAATCTAGAGTTTCCAAAGCACAGCCTTGAAAGATTTCCTATAAATTGTCTCATTTCATCATCAAATGGTCCTGAAAGATCAGCAGGCTGATTCCACTTTGCTGACACCCAGAGATTGAGCAATGGGGATGCCATCGCAAAGCTGAAGGACAGGGGGCTTGTGCATTAGCCCATGCTCTTCCTGGCTTCCGCACATCCTGTGGGTTAAGCTCACAGTATGGCAAGTGTTTATTTACGTCCTCTTTCTTGGCTGTACTAACAGTTCCCCAGGGGAAGGGAATTTTGTTTTAAGTTTCTTTTCATCCTCAACAGCAGATGCAATGCCTAATCCAGAGCAGGCACTTGGCAACCATTGTTCATAAAACTAAATATGCATATGAATTCATTGATGACTTGCCTGTATCACCTAACTTGGAGCTCTGCCGTTGCCTGATTTTATTTCTTCAAAAATGTCATTAAAAATGCTTTTACCCACTTTCCACTCTATGCCTTTTGTACAACAGAGGAGTTTTGCTGTGGCTATGCTACTGCAAGTGTTCACAGCATACAACTAGTTACTCTCTGTGTCCTTCAAAAGACTGGTCTTGAGTGAATGTGGTCATGTCTCAGAACTCAAGAGCCGCCATATCAAGAAAGCATCTAATTTGTGTGCATCCAGATTTGCTCTCTGCAAAGCAATGGCTCATACTCTTGTGTGATGCTTGTCATAACAAGACAATTTCTGTTCCTAGAATCCTCTTCCTATGTGTACCTACTGCTTGTTAATGAATTATCCCAAAACTTAATACCTACAGCAACAATTAGTAGCCAAATCTCACAGTTCTATGAATTGATTAGGCTCAGCCTGGCAGATCTGGCTTGGGATGCAGTTATTGTCACATATTCCTGATGGTGCAGTCCTGAAAGCCTTGACTTGGGCAGCACAGCTCTGAGAGCTCATCTCATGCTTGGTGGTTGGTGCTGGCTGTCCTGTTAGCCGGGAGGATTTACTGTCCTGGTTTGCCTGAGCTGTCCCAGTTTTATCACTGAAAGTTTCACATCCCAAGTCTTTCCACTTCCCTGCCTGAGAAAAGTCCTGTTTTCAACAAATAATGCAGAAAATAGGGGTTAAAGTACAACACCCTTTAGAAGAAGCTCCCAAAATAGGGGTTGAAAGCAGTGTTAATTTTAGTGCCAAGTCAATGGCATAGATTATCTGCCTTCAACAGTTTTTTTCCACTTGCTGCTGAAGTTGGCAACCATGTTTTGTGGTCTCCAACAATGGACTTTCCATCGTTGCATCACTCCTGTGATGGGACTTAAGTCTGTAGTTTAAGTGTGTTGCCATCCTCAACAGCCTATCTTTGCTTTTATGTTGTGGTTTCTATGGACACAGCGCTAGTTTGCTTTTTGCAATGTAAACATTGACTATGGTTTTTAAGGGTTCAGGTAATGAAAATAAAAATGATTATAATAACAATGCTAAAATGACCCCGATATCACCAAAAAAGCAGGCTATATGACTGTGTTCATTTAAGAGTGGAAAGAATGACACACAAGCTGGATTAAGGAAGTAACCAAAACAGAACATCTTCCCCAATATGCGGTAAAGAATCGGGGTTAGACATAGCAAAGGAGGGATATGAAAGTATGTATGAAGACTGAACCTCACAAATCCTGGAGGAGACAGGCAAATTCTTCTAAATTAATCAAAAGTTCATTTTTTTGTCTCCCTGCCAAATGCTAATGTCGAAAACAGTGGCTGTTGAAATAGTTGTGCATGCCACACAAACAAACATGCATCACTGGATCATTCCCTTGATTGCTCCATGAAACTGAGTCCACCTATAAGTCCTGATTCTGAGGATGCTACTAATACCCTGGGTATCAATCCCACTATAAAGAAAGATAAAGGGCAAATGCCAAACTCTGGGAAAGTTGAGCGGCACACCCCACCCAGAGACAAAGGTGGATGTCCTTGGTTCATTAAAATCTCTTACAAAATTGTGTGAGATGGACATTGCCATAGGAACAATAGATAACTGCAAACTACTGGAGCATGGGGAGAGGGGCACCTGGGTTGGAAAACTACCTGTTGGGTACTATGCTCATTACCTAAGTGATTGGATCTGTACTCCAAACCTTAGCATCATGCAATATAACCATGTATTTAATAACAAACTTGCACATGTACCCCCATATCTAAAATAAAAGTTGAAAATTATTTTTTAAATTATGTAAGAAAGAGCAACACATCACAAGGAAAACTGGAGAAAAATGCATAAACTAGCCATTTACAAATGCAGACATGGAAGTAGACAATAAAGAAAAAAACTGCCAAACTTTACTTAAATTTAAAGCAGCAGCCTTGAGTATTTCATTTTCCCTTTTAAAAATCTGGTTTCCTCATCCAAAAAAAAATTGACACAATAATACTGCCTGTATATGCCTAGTATGAGACTAAAAATACTAAATTTAATGGATATATGAACCATACTTAGCAATGTGTCTGGTGCCTGGAGCCTTCAACAAGATGAGACCCATGGAAGGAAAGTATATTGGATTGGCAAACAATTACATGTTGATAAAATCCATAATATTGTTTCTCTGTCTAGAATAACCATTTCTCTTCTCATCCAGGGTGTTTTTCTGGCTGTGATGATGCCTGGTGTTGACATGTACGCAGGCTAAAGGTTGAGCTGTACCCCAGCACTACAACAGAGGGAGGCACTGGGGTTGCCCTAGACATCATGACCTACAGCCGTGGGGTTCTGCCTACCTCTGAGCCCGAGGCCATGTGAGGAAACCAGGATGTGAGGGTGAGAATCTTACAACATCAGTTATCCCCAGGACTTTAAATCTAGTCATCAAGGCTCATGGCAACATAAAGCATGTCAAATGAAGCATGAAGTCCAACTCTGTAACCAAGCACAAAATGTCACTGTAAATTCATCTTGAGTTAGCCATGGAAATTTAGTGAGATGATCAACAAAGTTAGGAGGGTTGGTGTACTTAGGGCTGAACTCCAGTTCCACAATGTACTTGTAAGATCTTAAACAATTTAACCAAAGTTCTAAGCCCTAACTTGCTCATTCATAAATGGGTTAATCCCTACTGATAGGGTTATTTTAAGGAGTAAATAAGGTAATATCTACAGAATACTCAGAAGTCATTTGGAAAGGTCATAAGATCAGGAGTAGGAACACTGGTCTTGAAGACCAGTTCTGCCTCTACAGCAAGACACTAATCTCCCTACTTGACTGTTAACTTCTGTGTAAAATAAAGAGATTACATGAGATCTCTCACCCTTATATTTTCTTTGTGACCCAATAATTCCAGTGTAGTCTGAGTGCTGGAGTGAGCACAGGCAGGTTCCTAAATTCACTCCTTCCAAGTGCATAACCTATAACCCCGCTTCTGTACCAAACTGTACATTGCAGCTCCACAGATGGACCGAGTACCATGATGGAAACTATGACAAGGGCTTGAAGGTGCCAAGAGAAATATAACACGCAACATATAAGCCAGATGTGTGTTGTCTAGACAACTTAAGATCATGACCAAAGTCCACTTCCACAAATCAAATTATCTTCTGCACTCCATCCTACGTTTCCAGCCACAGAGAGAATCACTTAGAAAATGTCAACATTTTCCTTCCCTAAGATCTGATCCCATTCATGACACTGGAAAGTCCAACTTTGCCTCAAACACAGTTGCTAAAATTAAAAAGTCAACCTCGACTGTGCACGCTGTCATAGGAGGAATGAGTGGCATTCTTAGAAGAGGCGAGAGGGAAAAAATTGTTCATCTGTGTCTCTTCAGGAACAGTGGGAAGCAGTGGGAAGCGGAAGCTGTGTGAAGAAACTTGATGTGTCCTAAATATGGACTTCAGAGGATTCTTTAGTGTTGAATCAAATACAAATGTGATAGCTTCGGGATATTCTGACATTTCTGTTAGGCTTTTTTATGCTTTTGCAGGCTCTCACGGAGATGTCTGAGAAATATCCTTACAATGTGAAGTCTGGGATTCAAGAATCTAGGTTTGTTGAGGATTAAGAAAGTTTGGGGGCAGCTGGTCTGGAGCAGGCTAGATTCTAGTACTAACATCTCCTAGTTGTGTAAACTTCCCCAACTTCATTCCTGCCTTGAGCTTGCATTCTCACAGGTTAGATGGTGAAAATATTTATAACATAGATATCAGAATAGTTATATTTTATCATAAAGATTTTTTTTCTCAGTTAAAATTCCTATCAACCCTGCTTGCTAGTAATGATTGTCTGCATCGTCCAGGAGAAAGAACTTGGGCCCAGAGACAGGAAAGATACATGGTAATATGAGATTACCAAATGACAATGGTTTGTGTATATGCTTTGTGGGGTTTCCTGGGTTGTAGATCACATTCAGTACACAGTTTCTGTGTTTCTGAATGAAGTCAAAGAGAAGACAGAAGACTTACTCTGAGAATTTTCCTAGGCTAAAATATTCAGTAACAATTGTATTCGGCTTTAAGACACAGAAAATCCAAATAATTACTTTCAGAGATTAATTTCTTCCTCATATAAACAAAGTCTGGAGGCAGCAAGTCCAGGGCAAGTGCTAGTGGGCCAGCTCCACAATTTCATCTATATACTGGCACCTTCTGTCCTTAGAATGTGGCTTTTATCTTCTAATCTGCCTCATAATACAAGATGGCTACTGGAGCTTCAGCCATTTCAGCAACATCTTAGATAGGAAGAAGAGGTAAGGGCAAAATATTACATGTCCCAGCTAGGTTAGGCCCTTTGAGAAAAGTTCCTGAAAGCCCCAACTAATGACATCCCTCACACTCAGCTGGAAGAGGTGAGAAAATGTTGCTGTTTAGTTAAGACATTGCTACCTGAAATAAATGGGGGATTATGTTCATTGAGAAGAAAAGGAAAAATAGAAATTATGGAGCAGCAAATGGTCTCAGCTATGATTGTAAGCCATCATCCCAAACTCTGTTTATCAGAAATGATAAAACGTATCTTGTAAGTTTAAGAAGGCTTCCCAAATTCATGCTGATATCCTGTTGATCACTGAGCCACATGACAGTAATTGATCTGCCACAGGTAGAGCAAATTGTGAAATGCAGATGAAAGACAATTGAACTGGATCACCTAAAGGATGGGTTACTAGGCCCTCCTCTGCTATCGAGTAGCAGCATACCAGAAGAGACAGTCATCTCTCTGCCTGGACCCATCTTCCTTGTCCGTGAAAGAAACAACTTGACTAGTCCACGAATGGCCAGTATTAACTGCATGTTGCGCAAGAATCACAATTGTTCCCAGCATTTTTATTGCTGAGCTCACAGTCAGAATCATTCTCAACACAGGGTTCCAGATATCCACTGATAAATTCTAGCATCAAAAGAGTTTATAGCTGCTGGTCATTTATCACACGTTAAGCAGTGTTCTTAGAAGTTTACACAGATTGACATTCAATTTTTTAATAGGTAGGCAATTATTACTCCAATATAAAAATGAGAAAATTGAGCAGAGAAGAATAAAATATCACATCAAAACCACACAGACAGAAAGTACCAGAGCTGGAGTTCCACCCAGGTACTTTGGTCCCAGAGCCTGGCTTGGATCCACTGAAATTTAGTCTCTGCATCCCACACTTGGACTGCATGGCCCTCTATAGATCTTCTTAAGTGTAAAGACTTCTCATTGGTGTAAATATCCTCTCATGCCTGCTTCAGGAGGTTAGCTAGACTCTGGCCCTCAAAGCATCTCATAAACTCTTTAGGGTATGCGGGAGGCTCCAGGTGATACAGCCATGCATGGTGTAGTGCCTCGAGGTTCAGGGTTCAAATGGCTCTAGAAATCAGTACAGGAACAAGACAGCCTCTTATGCATCGACACAGCTCAGGAAATTCTCGTTATGCATGCAGAATGTCTACTTACAGTTTTGTGACATACAACAATAATTTACCTCTCTCAGTCTCACTTTCCAATTATAAAATGGAATTCCTAACAATATCTAGTCCTTGAGCATGTTGCAAAGATCACAGAACATTGTATGGGAAAACATGTTATGAAGGAGAAAGGGCTTGTAAACGGAGGCAGCATGTTGTAGGGTAATTAAGAGAGCCTTTGGGCTAAAATGGAGCCAGCTTTGATTCCTGGATCTGCCCTGACAAAAGGCATGAGCTTGAAAATATTAACATCTATTGATCTCCACGCATAAAAAGTGAGAATAAGAATTGTATTCTCTTCATTTGGATCCGTCTGAATCTCTTGGGTGCCCAGTGGAGCCAGTCTGCTTCCATCCAACTTTGAATTACATTTTTCAAACAATTTAAGACAAAAGCCACTTAGCAAGAAAGAGCCAAGGAACCCACCCCTGGCAGCTCAACCCCCAAGCTGCTGAACCACTGTATGTCTATGCCTCCAGCCAGAGAAACAGCCTGGCAGCCCTGCTCCCAATGAACCAGTCCCCAAGTTTGCTGATCCACCACATGCAGGCATGTGCCCCTGGCCTGAAGACCAGCCTGGCAAGCTTATCCCAAGCTAAGCTAAAACACCACCTCCACAAACTCCTGTAACCTAGGCCACTAAGGTGCTTGCAAACATTGCTAACATGGATTATAGCTGACAAAACTAAACTATACTACTGGGTACACCCAGAACAAAAGCCAACACACCCTATCCAATTAACACCCTAGAGCCCATCTACAGGAATATGTCTTTCCCTACAAAAGCTATTCTAAAAAATTCGGGGAAAAAAACTGTTCCCCCAGATGCACAGATCTCAGTGTAAGAATACAAGAAACATGAAAATGGAAGAAACATGACACCTCCAAAGAAATACAGTAATTCTACAGTAACAGTCCCAAGGAAAAGGAAATTTACAAATTGCCCAAAAACAAATTTAAAATAATGCTCTTAAGGAAACTCAAAAATATATTAGATAATACAGATAAGCAATTCAACAGAATCAGAAAAACAATTTATGATTTAAATAAAAATTCAACAAAGAGATAGATATCATAAGGATACAAAATCAACACAAATCAATCAGTAGCATTTCTAAACACCAATGGCAAACTAACTAAAAAATAAATCAAGAAAGCAGTCCTGTTTGCAATAGCTACAAAAAAAAAAACCCTAAAAATATATTTATCCAAGGAGATGAAAAACCTCTACAAGAAAAACTATAAAACACTGATAAAAAAAAATTGAAGAGGACACCAAAAAATGCAAAAACATCCCATGTTCATTGATTGGAAGAATTAATATTGTGAAAAAATGACCATAGCACTAAAAGAAATCTATGGAGTCAATGTAATCTCTATCAAAATACCAATAATATTCTCCATAAAAATAGAAAAAATAAGCCAAAATTTGTATTGATAAGACCCTGAGTAGCCAAAGCATTCCTAAGCAAAAAAAGAACAAAGCTCTAGGCATCACACCACCTGACTTCAGAATATACTACAAAGCTATATTAACCAAAATAGCATGACACTGGTGTAAAAAAAGACAGACAAATGGAACAAACTAGAGAATCCAGAAAAAAATCCATGCATTTACAGCCAACTGATTTTCAACAAAGGTGCCAAAACATTTATTGGAGAAAAGTTAGCCTCTTCAATAAATTATACTGAAAGCTGGATATCTGTATACAGAAGAATAGAACTAGGCTACTGTCTCTCACCATATATAAAAATTAACACAAAATGGATTAAACAATTGAATGTAAGACATGAAACTATGAAGCAAGTGGAAGAAAACATAGGGGAAATGCTTCAGGACATTAATCTAGGCAAAAAGTTTATGGAAAAGACCTCAAAAGTACAGGCAACAAACATAAAAATAGACAAGTGAGATTATATCATACTAAAAAGCTTCAACACAGCAAAGAGAATAATCAAGAGTGAAGACAAAACCTGCAGAATGGGAGAAAATATTTTCAAAGTATTCATCTGACAGGGGAATAATATTTAAAAATACAAGAAACTCAAACACCTCAACAACAACAAAAAATAAATAATTAAATTTTAAAAATGGAAAAATGGTCGGAATAGACATTTGTCAAAGAAAGACATACAAATGGCCAGCAAGTATATGAAAAAATACTCAGCATAACTAATCATCTGGGAATTGCAAATTAAAACCATAATGAAATATCATCTCCACCTGGTTAGAATGGCTATCATAAAAAAACAAAAAATTAAAATACTAATGAGGATATAAAGAAAGGGGAACTCTTATACACTGTTAATAGGGATATAATTAGTACAGGCATTATGTAAAACAGTATGGAGGTTCCTCAAAAGATTAAAAATAGAACTACCATATCTGTCAGCAATTCTACTACTGCGCGTATATATTTGAAGGCAAGAAACTGAGTATGTCAAAGAGATAGCGGCACTCCCATGTTCATTGCAGCATTATTCACAATAGTCAAGATACGGACTCAACCTAAGTGTCTATCAACAATGAATTAATGAAGAAAATGTGGTATAAACAATGAAATACTATTTGGCCATAAAAAGAACGAAATTTTGTCATTCATGGCAACATACATGAGTCTGGAGAATATTATGTTAAGTGAAATAAGCCAGGCAGAGAAAGATTAATACCACATGTTTTCACTCATTTGCAGAAGCTACAAAAGTCATCCTTGTAGAAGTAGAGAGTGGATTAGTGGTTAGCAGAATCTGGGGGACAGGTTAGGAGAGTACAGGTAGAAGTTTGTTAACAGATCAAAAAGTACACTAGATCAGAGGAATAAGAGATAAGAGGACTAAGTTCTAGTGCTCTATAGCACTGTACAGTTGACCCTTGAAGAACACAGTTTTGAACTACACAGGTCCAATGACGTGGATTTTCTTCTGCCTCTGCCACCCCTGAGACAGCAAAACCAACCCCCCCTCTTCCTTTTCCTTCTCAGCCTACTCAGTGTGAAGATAATGAAGATAAAAACCTTTGTGATGACCCACTTCCACTTAATAAATAGTAAATATATTTTCTCTTCCTAATGCTTTTTAATAATTTTTTTCTCTAGCTTATTTCCTTATAAGAATACAGTATATGAGAATACATATAACATACAAAATATGCATCAATCTAGGGGTCCTCAATCTCCAGGTCACAGACCAGTACTGGTCTGTGGCCTGTTAGGAACTGGGCCACACAACAGGTGGTAAGTGGCAGGCAAGTGAGCAAACCTTCGTCTTTATTTATAGCCACTTCATCAGTATTTATAGCCACTCTCCATCACTTGCATTACTGCCTGAGCTCCACCTCCTGTAAAACCAGCAGTGGCATTAATTTCTCATAGGAACATGAACCCTATTGTGAACTGTGCATACAACGGATCTAGGTTGCATGCTCCTTATGAGAATCTAATGCCTGATAATCTGTCACTGTCTCCCATCACCCCCAGATGGGACCATCTAGTTGCAAAAAAAAAAAAAAAAAAAAAAAAAAAAAAAAAAAACAAGCTCAGGGCTTCCACCAATTCTACATTATGGTGAGTTGTATAATTATTACATTATATATTACCATGTAATAATAATAGAAATAAAGTGCACAATAAATGTAATGCTCTTGAATCATCCCCAAACCACCCCCTCCCCAGGCCATGGAAAAATTGTCTTCCACAAAACTGGTGCCTGGTGCCAAAAAGGTTGGGGATTGCTGTGTTAATCAACTATTTGTGTTGTTGGTAGGGCTTCCAGTAAACAGTAGGCTATTAGTTAAGTTTTAAGGGAGTCAAAAGTTAGATGTGGATTTTTGAGCATGTGGGTGTCAATATCACTAACACCTGTGTTGTTTAATGATCAGCTGTAGTTAACAACAATTTATTGTATATTTTCAAATAGCTAGGGAGAGGATTTTGCATATTTTCAATATAAAGAAATAATAAATGTTTGAAGGTATGGATTTGCTAATTTTCCTGATTTGATCATTACGAATTGTACGTATGTATTGGCATATCACACTACCCCATAAATGTTTACAATTATTATGTGTCAATTAAAAATAATACTGCAAAAGAGAATAATCACATACACTTTTCAGTGCTAGTGTGAAAATGTAGATTCCATGTGAAAAGCCTCTATAATAAGGCTTGGCATAATTTTTTCTTTATCCTTTACTGTCACCCTTTGCTGAGATAGTTTTAAAATCTCATTTTGGAACAGTTCTCTTAAATAAACATCACCTGTCCTTGGTTAAAGTCACATCCTTTTTTTATAAAACTGCCAATGTCACCTAGTGCTAATATAATGCCATGCTTATAGTTGTAACTCAATAAATTTTTGCTCAATTAATGCATGCTAATCTTCCTAGGGTGACCTTACTAGATCTTGAAAGCGTGATGGATTTGTGTCCAAAACAAAGGTGGCAGAGGTAGCTCCAAATACATCAGAAATCAAACTTTAAGGCAAACTTTCTTCTTAGCCAAAAGAAAATACAATTCACTTTCATTTTCAAACACTACTATAGACAATGATTAAAAAGTTCAAAGTAGGGCATAATATTTCCATTTCCAAAAATCTGATAAGTTATTCAGACCAAGTTTGCCACTGAAAATAACTAAAAATGCTGATCAGATGTAGAGACATCATCAAGACATCAAAGAGACTATGAGATAGCAAGAAATTATTGGGTCATTTCTAAAGAAAGTAGGAATCAAAGGAGGTAAGAAAGCAGTAAAGCTAGCTTTGACTTGAAGACCTTTGACTATTCTGAAAATCTTGAATTCCATGCCAGACACCTCACAGAGGAGGCTGGCTGATATCAAAATCCAAGACCTACCCCAAATGGGAAATCCACTCTTTTAGCTGAATCCACAAAGGGACTCACCTTTTAGTTAAGGAAAAGAATACCTCCCCTCATCCCAGATGATCCTGTGATCTGCAGATCAGCTTTCCCTGGGCCTGAGCAGAACAGTGTATTTATGTGGGGTGTGTGTGCCTGTGTGTGTGAGAGAGGCTGAGTGTGTGTCTGTTGGGAAGGGGACTTACTAAGGAATTATAACCAAAAGGAGGCTCTCACATGATCTGTAGCCCCAAATCCCATTGCTTGTGGTGGCCAAAAAGAAAAAAGGCAGACGAAAAGAAAACACTTTCAATCTATGAAGTTAATTTTAAATGCCCCACCCTGGCATTGCTCTCAGGTAATGAAGAAAAGTAAATGCAAGTCTATTCAGGAGGAAGATATTGGAGAGAACAAAAATAAGAGAGAAAAAGAAAAAACAAAGAAAATCCAAGGGGCGGGGAGGATATATAAGGTTAAAATGAGCTTAATCATAAATCCAGGAAAGAGGAAAGATGGACTGAGTGAAGGCAGTAATGATTGAATGGATAATGACAGTGATGGAGAATTCTCAAGAATTCAAGTAGCCCATCAAATCCCAAATAAGGACAGGATATATTTTTCACTGGGATGTATTTTCACTTCTTCACCTCTGTTGCCATTTACAGAGGTGAAGAAGTGAAAATACATCCCAGTGAAAATATTTAAAAAAAGACAAAATCTAAAAAGCATCCACAGAAAATTTAAATTAGACCAATGAAACGAAATAGAGAACCCAGAAATAAGACCACACATGTACAGCTATCTGATCTTTGACAAACCTGACAAAAAAAAAGCAATAGGGAAAGGATTCCCTATTCAATAAATGGTGGTGGGATAACTGGCTAGCCATATGCAGAAGATTGAAACTGGACCCCTTCCTTACACAATACATAAAAATTAACTCAAGATGGGTTAAAGACTTCAATGTAAAACCCAAAACCATAAAAACCCTGGAATACAATCTGGGCAATACCATTCAGGACATAGGCACAGGTAAAGATTTCATTATGAAGACGCTAAAAACAATTGCAACAAAAGCAAAAATTGACAAATGGGATCTAATTAAAATAAAGAGCTTCTGCCCAGCAAAAGAAACTATCAGTAGAGTAAGCAGACAACCTACAAAAAGGGAGAAAATTTTTGCAAACTACGCATCCAATGAAGGTCTAATATCCATCATCTATGAGGAACTTTAACAAATTTACAAGAAAAAAGCAAACAACCCCAGGAAAAACTGGGCAAAGGACATGAACATACACTTTTCAAAAGAAGACGTACATGCAGCCAACAATCATATAAAAAAGCTCAACATCACTGATCATTAGAGAAATGCAAATCAAAACCACAATGAGATACCATCTCACACCAGTCAGAATGACAATTATTAAAAATTCAAACAATAACAGATGCTGGCAAGGTTGTGTAGAAAAAGGAATGCTTATACACTCTTGGTGGGAGTGTAAGTTAGTTCAGCCATTGTGGAAGACAATGTGGTGATTACTCTAAGACTTAAAGACAGAAATACCATTAGACCTAGCAATTCCATTACTGGATGTATACCCAAGGGAATATAAATCATTCTATTATAAAGACACATGCATGCATATGTTCACTATAACACTATTCACGATAGCAAAGACATAGAATCAACCTGAATGTCTGTCAATGATAGATTGGATAAAGAAAATATGGTCCATATACACCATGGAATACTATGTAGCCATCAAAAAGAATGAGATCATGTCTTTTGCAGGCACATAGATGGAGCTGGAGGCCATTATCCTTAGCAAACTGACACAGGAAAAGAAAACCAAATACTACGTGTTCTCATCTATAAGTGAGAGCTAAATGATGAGAACACACTGACACATAGAGGGGAACAACACACACTGGGGCCTTTCAGTGGGTGGAGTTTGGGAAGAGGGACAGAATCAGGAAAAACAACTAATGGGTACTAGGCTTAATACAAGGATGATGAAATAATCTGTACAACAAACCCCCATAACACAGTTTAAATATGTAACAAAACTGCACTTGTATCTCTGAACTTAAAAGTTAAAAAATAAAAGAATAGAAAATTTATTTCTTTTTGTTTTTGTTTTGTTTTTAAATTAAATTTTATTTTTTTTAAATTTTATTTCCATAGGTTATTGGGGAACAGATGGTGTTTCTTACATCAGTAAGTTCTTTAGTGGTGATCTGTGAGATTTTGGTGCACCCATTACCCTAGCAGTATACATTGCACATAATTTGTAGTCTTTTATCCCTCACCCTCTTCCCACCCTTTGCCCCTGGGTCCCGAGTCCATTGTGTCATTCTTATGCTTTTATATCCTCATAGCTTAGCTCCCACTTATGAGTGAGAACATATAATGTTTAGTTTTCCATTCCTGAGTTACATCACTTAGAATAGTCTCCAATCTCATCCATGTCGCTGCAAGTGCCATTAATTCATTCCTTTTTACGGCTGAGTAGTATTTCATCATATACATATATATATATATATATACACAAACACCACAGTTTCTTTATCTGCTCATTGATTGATAGGAATTTGAGTTGGTTCCACTTTTTTTGCAATTGCAAATTGTGCTTCTATAAACATGCGTGTACAAGTATCTTTTTTGTATAATGACTTCTTTTCTTCCTGGTAGATAGCCAGTAGTGGGATTGCTGAGTCAAATGGTAGTTCTACTTTTAGTTCATTAAGGAATCTACACTGTTTCCCACAGTGGCTATATTAGTTTACATTTCCACCAGCAGTGTAGAAGTGTTCCCTGTTCACCCCATCCACACTAACACCTATTTTTTTTTATGTTTTGTTTATGGCCATTCTTGCAGGAGTAAGTTGGTATTGCACTGTGGTTTTGATTAGCATTTCCCTGATCATTCGTGATGTTAAGCATTTTTTCATATGTTTGTTGACCATTTGTATATCTTCTTTTGGGAATTGCCTATTCATGTCCTTAGCCCACTTTTTGATGGGATTGTTGTTTCTTTCTTGCTAATTTGTTTGAGTTCATTGTAGATTCCAGATATTAGTCCTTTTCCAGATGTATAGATTGTGAAGATTTTCTCCCACTCTATGGGATATCTGTTTGCCCTGCTGACTATTCCTTTTGCCATGCAAAAGCTCTTTAATTAAGTCCCAGCTATTTATCTTTGTTTTTATTGCATATGTTTTTGGGTTCTTGGTCATGAAATTCTTGCCTAAGCCAATGTCTAGAAGGGTTTTTCCAATGTTATCTTCTAGAATATTTATAGTTTCAGATCTTAGATTTAAGTCCTTGATCCATCTTAAGTTGATTTTTGTATAAGGTGAGAGATGAGGATCCAGTTTCATTCTCCTATATGTGGCTACTCAATTATCCCAGCACCATTTGTTGAAAAGGGTGTCCTTTCCTCACTTTATGTTTTTGTTTGCTTTGTTGAAGATCAGTTTGCTGTAATTATTTGGGTTTATTTCTGGGTACTCTATTCTGTTCCATTTGTCTATATGCCTATTTTTATACCAGTACCATGATGTTTGGGTGACTATGGTCTTATGATATAGTTTGAAATCAGGTAATGTAATGCCTCCAGATTTGTTCTTTTTGCTTAGTCTTGCTTTGGCTATGTGGGCTTTTGTTGTTGTTGTTGTTGTTACATATGAATTTTAGGATGGTTTTTTTCTAGTTCTTTGATGAATGACGGTGGTATTTTGACGGGAATTGTGTTGAATTTGTAGATCCCTGTTGGCAGTATGGTCATTTTTACAATATTGATTCTACCCATCCATGAGCATGGGATGTGTTTCTATTTGTTTGTGTCACCTATGATTTCTATCAGCAACATTTTGTAGTTTTCTTTGTAGAGGTCTTTTGACTCCTTGGTTAGGTATATTCCTAAGCATTTTTTTTTACAGCTTTTGTTAAATGGGTTGAGTTCTTGATTTGATTCTTTGCTTGGTCGCTGTTGGTATATAGAAGAGCTACTGATTTCTGTACATTAATTTTGTATCTGGAAACTTTGCTGAATTCTTTTATCAGTTCTAGGAGCTTTCTGGGGGAGACTTCAGGATTTTCTATGTAAACAGTCATATCATCAGCAAACAGCAACAGTTTGACTTCCCCTTTACCCATTTGGTTGCCCTTTATTTATTTATCTTGTCTGATGGCCCTGGCTAGGACTTCCAGTACTATGCTGAAGAGAAGTGGTGAGAGTAGGAATCCTTGTCTTATTCCTGTTCTCAGAAGGAATGCTGTCAGCTTTTCCCCATTTAGTATTATGTTGGCTGTGGTGGTGCTAAGAGGAAAGTTCGTAGCCTTAAACACCTAGATCAAAACATCTGAAAGAGCACAAACAGACAATCTAAAGTCGCCTTTCAAGGAACTAGAGAAGCAAGAACAAACCAAACCCAAACCCAGCAGAAGAAAGGAAATAACCAAAATCAGAGCAGAACTAAATGAAATTTAATTTAAAAAAATAAAAGAGATAAATGAAACAAAAAGCTGGTTCTTTGAAAAGATAAATAAAAATGACTGCTAGACCATTATCAATATTAACCAAGAAAAGAAGATAGAAAATCCAAATAAGCTCAATTAGAAATGAAACCAGAGATATTACAGCTGACACCACAGAAATACAAAAGATTATTCAGGCTACTACCAACACCTTTACATGCATAAACTAGAAACCTTAGAGGAGAGGAATAAATTTCTGGAAAGATACCACCCTCCTAGCTTAAATCAGGAAGAATTATATACCCTGAACAGACCAAAAACAAGCAGCGAGATTGAAATGGTAATAAAAAAATTGCCAGCAACAAAAAAAAGTCCAGGATCAGACAGATTCACAGCAGAATTCTACCAGACATTCAAAGAAGAATTGGTATCAATGCTACTAACACTATTCCACAAGATAGAGAAAGAGGGAATGCTGGTCTAATTCTATGACACCAGCATCACTCTAATACCAAAAGAAAGGACATAATCAAAAAACAAAACTGCAGACCAATATCCCTGATGAACACAGATGCAAAAATCCTTAACAAAATCTAGCTAACTGAATCCAAAAACATAAAAAAATGATAATCCAACATGGTTGAGTGGGTTTCATACCGGGGATGCAGTTACGGTTTAACATATGCAAGTCAGTAAATGTGATACACCACATAAACAGAATTAAAAACAAAAACCACATGATCATCTTAATAGATGAACCACATGATCATCTCAATAGATGCAGAAAAAGCATTCAACAAAATCCAGCATCTCTTTATGATGAAAACTCTCAGCAAAATCAGCATACAGGGAACATACCTCAATGTAATAAAAGAAAATTTAAATTATCATTAAAGGAAGGAGAGCTCACCTGAGCAGACTTTAGAAGAAAGAGTAACCACTGGAGCATCTCCACAGTGCTGATGGAAAATGACTGCCAAGCCATCTCCCAAGAATGAGAGCAAATAGTCTTTTAGACAAACAAATATTGAGAAGGTTTGACTTGCAGATTCTCATTAAAGAAAATTTTAAAGGATGGACCTAAGGCAGAGCAAGGTAACCCTAAATAGGAGGCTTGGGGCACAAGAGAAAGTAAGGAACAAATAAAGTAGCCAACATATGAAACAATCCAGGTGAATTTGAACCTGTATGAGGCAACAGTAATAGTACTAGTTTGTGTGAGGTTAAAAACATGGTATCATTTAAATTTGTGTAAATGGCAACAGTGGCGAAGAAGTGACTAGAAAGAGTTCAGAAGTTCAGATACTGTAAGGCGCTTGCATTATCTAGACACTTAAGGATAAAGATATTAAACACCCTTAGACTTTGTCAGGGTAACTTTGCATTTTATGTATTTCATGGTACCTACTTTAAGAACAGAATCAGAGAATATAACTTTCAAATAAATAGAAGAAGAAAAAATAAAATGTAGAAAACATTTTATATCAAAACCCCACAGTACTTGAATATTAACAAACAAAATTCAGCAATATTAAAAATAATAACAACAAAGACGACAATAACGCATGGCTACACTGGGTCCACCAAATGAACTGTTGAGTGGGCAAGAGCCCTAATTAGCAGATTAGAAATTGAATAATCATATGATCATCTTTCAGTGGAAGCTGAAAGATCATCTGATACATTTCACCTCCATTCGTAATATTTTTTAAAAATCCCTGGAAAGGAAATCACTTAACCAGATAAACGTACCTATAAAAATAGTTCTGCAAACTTAAGTCACAAAGTTAACACCCTAAAAGCTTTTTCTTTGAGACTAGGAACAAGAATGGCCAACATCCAATAGCTTCAAACATTGTGCATGGAGGGATGGGGCATGTCAAAGACAGTAAAGTGAAACAAGAAAAAGAAATGAAAAGGGTTGAGTATTGGAAAGCAAAAAAGGAGAGCTCTCATGATTTGGAAACAATAGAATTATTTAAAGAGAAGACTCCAAAAACTCCATCAAATGCCATACATAGAAATTCCAACTGTTTTAAAGTGACAATATACAAAGTAAAAAGTTAAAGCTTTTAGAAAATGATGTAGTAGATAGATCTTTATAGCATAGCTATAGAGGAAGCTTTTAAAACACACAAAAAATACAGAAATTAAAAAAGAAAATATCACTAAATTTGTGTATTTCAAAATTAAAGAAATGTATTTTTTTAATGTCAGAAGTCAAAACATATAGGTAGTTAAAATTCCCAATCAACATATAATGGGTTAGAAACAAAAATTAATGCTTGTCTTCCAAATCAGAAATAAAGGGATCTTTAAAAAAAGAAAAATTAAAAAATTGTACGAAGAGTAAATTCAAAATCTGCCAACCTTATGCATTTGGTACTCCTGAATTATATTCCTTATAATAAAACTGTAATCATAAGTATTGTGCTTTATTGAGTTCTATGAGTCTTTCTAGGGAATTATCTGTCCTGGAAATCGCCAAATTTATAGCCTTGTAGTGTGTATGGCCTCTGAGATTGTGGCTGGTGTCTGAAATGGGGGCAGCCTCATGGGACTAAGCCCTTTAACCTGTGAGGTGTGTGCTAACTATTACTGGTTAATGTCAAAATTGAATTAAATTAACACACACACCTTGGGATGGAAATGGAACACCAGCCCTAGAACACTAATACAACCACCATTTTTGATTAAGACCACAGCACTTCCACTGGGCTTTGTCCTACCAAGTATTCCTTCACCACCTTTCTCCAAATTCAGGCAAGAAGACACTGCCTCTCCTTTACCTCTTTGTCTTCTTGTTGCCTGAGATTGTATCTGTTGCTCTCTTTGTATACACATTTCTTGAGAAAAATTACACCTTCCCATGGACTCACCCCTGAACTGAAAAATTCCAGTCTCCACTTCTAACACTCCCTAGGCATCTCCACTTTGATGCCCAAATATTCTTCAAATTCAAACCCATCAAATCCATCCCACCCCCTGAAAAATATTCTCTTCTTCAGCATTTAAAGAAAGCTTTTAGAAAATGTGGATGAGCAAAATGGGATCAGCTCAGTCCAAGTGCACTGCAGTGAGGAGAAAGCCTGCTCATGTCAGGGTCTCTTTGATGGTCACCAGTGGACAAAACAGAATAGCACAATTTTGTTCCTCAAAGTGCAGCCATGGGACCAGTAGCATCAGCCTTCCCCACAAGCTTGTCAGAAACACAGTCTCCCAGTACTCACCCTGGACCTTCTGAAATAGTGTCTGCATTGCATGAGGTCCCCATGATCCACGTAGACATTAGAGCAGGAAGAGGCTTGCTCAGGAAGTCAAGGGATGCAAGAACCCTCTACGGCCTCTCTGTCTGTAGGGAGATGAGCTGATTGAACCCAGCCAACCCACAGTGCAGGCTCAGCATTAGTAAATTAAACTCACTGCAACTTCTGCACTTCAGATGTGCAGGTGAGAAATAGGGCTTTCCTAATACACTCAGACAAGTTCAAACTCTTGGGAATATACTTGAGATAAAAATATCAAAGCTTAAAGTATAATAATAATAAAATTAAAAAATATCAAAGCATAGGTTAGCCTGGATCTCAGCACACATTGTGCTACCTACAGTGAGGCTCTTCCTTTCCTTTATGTCCCACTCCATGCACACTCTAGCTGATATTATAAGACTAGAGATGCAAAACAAGTAAAAAAAAATGAAGAGTCAACATATTTTTGAGTCAATATTTGTGATGGAAATTTAGATGGAAAATGCTAGGCATGGTAGTTCATGCCTGTAATTCCAACACTGGGAGGCCAAGGCAGGAGGATTGTTTGAAGCCAGGAGTTTGAGACCCACCTGGACAAAAAAACGAGACCTCTTCACTACAAAAAAAAAAAAAAAAAATTAACTGAGTTTGGTGGTGCATACCTGTGGTCCCCACTTCTCAGGAAGCTTAGGCAGGAGGATTGCTTGAGCCCAAGAAGTTGAGGTTGCGGTGAGCCATGATCGCATCACAGCACTCCAGCCTGGGCAACAGAGTGAGGCCTTGTCTCTCTATATATAAAGAAGAAAGAAAGAAAAAATTTAAAATTAAACATTTAAATGTAAATAAAGTTTAGCAACTTTCACAGTGAAGCTTACCAAACTGTTGCTGAAACAGTATAGATTTACTATGACTTACCAAGTATTCGTGAGCCCAGATTTAACCAAATAGAGACAAGTTCAAATCACATGTGAGTCATCATGTGTGGTGTGATATATTGGCTGTGTAGCACTTCTTTGTGGCTCATACTTCTGAAAATGTAGGAAAAGAGAGAAAACATTTTGAAGAACATATCTTTGACATTAGAATTTACAGTTTACTCCTAAATTTTCTTCTTGTTTAAAGATATGTATACTTTTCATTTCACTTTTCATTAAAAATTTTATTAAAATAATTGTAGGTCAAACATGCAGTTGTAAGAAATAATACAGAGAAATCCTACTGCCCAATTTTTCTTAATGGTAATATTTTGCAAAAATACCAATAATTATAATATAGTATAATATAACCAGAATATTGACTTGTATATAATCCTCCAATCTTACTCAGATGCCGCATTTTAGTAGGACTTGTGTGTGTGTGTGTCTGTGTGTGTGTTCAGTTCTATACAACTTTATCATCCAAGTAGTTTTGTGAATTCACCACCACTGTCAATGTCAGAAAACTGAACAGTTCCAACACCACAGGGATCTTCTATGTTAGTTCCTGTGCCTGGTCCCACAGACCTATCTCCTTGCAAAATATAATCTACCATCTATTTTGAATTTTGTCATTTCAAAAATGCACAAATAAAATTGTAAAATATATAACCTTTTCAAATTGTTTTTTTCCACTCAGCATAATTCCCTGAAAATTCACTCAAGTTATTGCATATCTCAACAGTTCGAGCAGTATTCCAAAGCATAGATGTGCAGCATTTTGTTTAACAGTTTACCTGTTTATGCATATCTGGGATGATTCCAGTTCCAAGAAAGAACAGCACAAATTTATAATAATGAATAAAGCTGTTATGAACATACCTGTACAGGTTTTTGTGTGAACATATGTTTCCATTTCTCTAGTATAAATTCCCCAGAGTACATTTGTTGGGTCACATGCTAATTGCATACTTAGTCTTAAAAGAAACTGGCAAATTGTTTTGTAGAGTGCATATATGTGCATTTTCTACCAGCAGTGTCTGAGAGATCCAGTTTTCTCACATCTTT